>NC_000023.11:16985972-17289003 GCF_000001405.40 Homo sapiens
ATTATAAATGCATGACTGGTGCTATTTTCCAATCCTGAGGTTTTTTGGGAAATTTTTTTGAAAAGAGGCCAGGATGAGGATAAAAATTAATTTTGAAAATCCATTTCAAAGACTCATTATGCTATGCTCCATCACTGCAATTTTAATGCAACTTATATATTGTGCTTTTACCTTTGGGACTAGCATTCTTAAAAGCTGACTTTTAATTTGGACTTTCTAATATGTGTCGGCTCTGTCAGCTCACGAGTGTGTTTTTATCTGTGCATCATGTTATATTGGGACCTGGGTGGAATGTAAATCTTTTACTGGCCTAAATCTGAGTCTAATCCTCTGCATGGCTTTGGTAGAAAATCAATTTCCTCTGCTCTGTCAAGATTTTTCAGGTCAGTGCTCTTTGGAAGTTTCCCAGTTCTCTTAGATTAAAATAGATTTTGTTTCTGTGCTACATACTGGTATTAGTTAGTAGGACACTGGGATCTAAAAGCAAGAGAACAGAGGCAGACAAGATATCCATGAGTTCTTCTATTTCAGTTAACTTGTTGACACACTGCACCTTTGAGGAACCAAGGAGTTTGTGTGCTTTCAGGCATCATTTGGGGGAGCAATTGTAAATGACTCCTGTAGGTGAGGCTGTGCACTTAATTTTAATGAGTTCAGGTTCATTAAGTGACCTGCTCACTGGGTCATTAGAAGTGACCTCACTAGAAGTGAATGGTAAAGAGAAGAACTACCTAAGTTCCACTCAGCTTGTTTCACTACTGTGGGGTATTGGAAGTAGAGTGACAACTTGGACTTTCTCAGTTTTAGCACTGAAAAGTCCCACATCCCAGGAACTTACTCAGTCCCCAGCAAACTAGGGGGAGCGGGGGATGGTTGGTCCCCCTAGCAGTGAAAAGTAAGGGGATGGATGATTTGGAACTGGTTAGTACCCTTATAGATTTTTTTTTTTTTTTCTGAGACAGGTTCTTGCTGTGTCACCCAGGCTAGAATATAGTGGCATGATCATGGCTCACTGCAGCCACGATCTCCTGGGTCCAAATGATACTCCCACTTCAGCCTCCCCAGTAGCTGGAACTACGGGGACAAGCCACCACACCCAGCTAATTTTTATTTATTTATATTAATTAATTAATTTATTTTTTTGTAGGGACAGGGTCTCGCTTTGTTGCCCAGGCTGGTCTTGAACTCCTGGGCTCAAGTGATCCTCCTGCCTTAGCCTCTCAAAGCACTGGGATTACAGGTGTAAACCACCATGCCTGGCTGTCTTATAAATACTTTAAGGAGGGATTTATTAGAGACATGTAGCACCTTGCTGCCCAGTGATGCTAGTAAATGAGTGACTCTACTTTGATTTGACAGAAGAAACAATGGAAAGAGGAGAGATGGAAGTTTTTCTACCTAAACTTCCTAAGAGGATGTGTTTAGGGGATGTGTTGGTAAAAAGTTATTAGCATTAATGTTTACCTGTATCTTTCTCATAGATAATGCAAAGACCTTTAACTCCACTTATCCCTCCTTTTAACTTATGTTGTTATTGCCTTGTATTTTAATACTATATATTAAACTCTACAAGACATCATTATTTTATGCAGGCATTGTTTATTTAATCAGAGTTCAGTAAACTTTTTCTGTAAATGCCAGATGGTAAATATTTTAACCCCTGCAGGCCTTATAGTCTCTGTCACAACTACTCAACTCCACTCTTAATAGTGCCAAAATGGCTATAGACAATATGGAAATGATTGTGTGTACCCATGTTCCAATAAAATTTATTTACAGAAACAGACAGTGGGCCAGATTTGGCCTGCAGGCCTTACTTTGACAACTCCTAATTTAGATTTATCTACATATTTATTTATTTTCCCTTTATTTCTTGCTATATCTTTGAGGTTCTACCTGGGATCATTTTCAAGGCAAGGATGTCTATTCTCATCACTGTTTTTCAGCGTTGTGCTAGAAATTCCAACCAGTGCAATAAGGCAAGAAAAGGAAATAAAAGGCATACAGAGCAGAAAGGAAAAAAAAAATGAAACTGGCCAGGTACAGCTGCTCATACTTTGAGAGGCGAGCTAGGAGGATTGCTTGAGCCCAGGAGTTCCAGACCAGCTTGGGCAATGTAGGGCGACCCCCATCTCTACAAAAGTAAAAATAAAAAAAAAATTAGCAGGGTGTTATGGTGCATGTCTGTGGTCTCAGCTACTTGGGAGGCTGAGGTGGGAGGATCACTTGGGCCTTGGAGGTGAAGTGAGCCATGGTGACTGTATCACTGCATTCTAGCCTGGGCAACAGAGTGACACCGCCTGTCTCAGAAAACAAAACAAAAACCTGTCTCTATTTGCAGATGACATGATTGTCTACATAGAAGACCCTGAGAAATCTACAGTCTACAGAATAACTCCTAGACCTAATTAAGTGAGTTCAGCAAGGTTTCAGGATATAAGATAAACATACAAAAATGAGTTGTATTTCTACATACTAGCCATAAACAAATGGACACTGAAATTAAAAATACAATACCATTTACATTCACTCAAAAAATACTTGGGTATAAATCTAACAAAGCATGCACAGGACTTGTATGCTGAAAACTATACAATGCTGATGAAAGAAATCAAAGTCTAAATAGATGGGGAAACATACCATGTTCCGGGTTTCAGGATATAAGATAAACTTACAAAAATGAGTTGTATTTCACATACTAGCTAGAAACAAATGGACACTGAAATTAAAAATACAATACCATTTACATTCACTCAAGAAATACTTGGGTATAAATCTAACAAAGCATGCACAGGACTTGTATGCTGAAAACTACAAAATGCTGATGAAAGAAATCAAAGTCTAAATAGATGGGGAACATACCATGTTCCAGGATTGGAAGACTCAACATAGTAAAGATATCATTTCTCCCCCAAATTGATATACAGGTTTAATGTAATTCCTGTCAAAATCTTAGTAAGATTTTTTTGTAGATATAATTATAAAATTTATATGGAAAGGGAAAAGAACTAGACTAGCTGAAACAATTTTGAAAAAGAATAATAAAGCAGGAGGAATCAGTCTGTAAGATTTTAAGACATATAACTACAGTAATCAAGACTGTGTGATATTGGTGGAGGGATACATGTATAGATCAACGGAACAGAACAAAGAACCTAGAAATAGACCAACAGAAATGTGCCCAATTGATCTTTGACAAAATTGCAACAGCAATTGAACGGAGAAGGAAAGATAGCCTTTTTGACAAATGGTGCTAGGTCAATTAAACATCAATATGTCAAAAAAAAAAAAAAACTCTTGCTGTAAATAGTACACGTTATATGAAAAATAACTCCAAATGTATCACAAACTTCAATGTAAAACATAAAACTATAAAAATAATTAGAGAAAATCTTCAGGATCTAAGGCTAGGCAGAGTTCTTAGACCTGACACCAAAGGTATGATCCATAAAAGAATTGATAAATTGGATTTCATCAAAATAAAAAATACTTACTCTGAGAAAGACCTCATAAGAGGATGAAAAGACAGACTACAGAGTGGGGGGAAATATTTGCAAACTACGTATCCGACAAAGGACTGGCATCTAGAATATATAAATAACTTTCAAAACTTAACAGTAGAAAACAACCCAGTTAGAAAGTGGAAAAAATACAAGAAGGGACATTTCACTGAAGAGCATATACAGATGACAGATAAGCATGTGAAAAGATGTTCAACATAATTAGCCACTAGGGAAATGTAAATTCAGACCAAAGTGAGCTATCACTACATACCTATAAGAATGGCTAAAATTAAAAATAGTGACAGCATCAAATGATGGCAAGGCTGTAGAGAAATGGAATCATTCATACTTTGCTGATGGGATGTAAAATGATACAGCCCCTCTGAAAAACAGTTTGGCAGTTTCTTAAAGACACTAAACATGCAACTACCATATGACCCAGCAATTGCACTCCTGGGCATTTATCCCAGAGAAGTGAAGATTTATGTTCATATAAATGCCAGTATGTGAATGTTTTATAGGAGTTTTATTCATAATAGCCCATAACTGGAAACAATACAGATGTTCTTTAGTGGATGAATGGTTAGACAAACTGGTATATCCATAGCATGGAATACTACCCAGCAGTAAAAAGGAGTGAAGTACTGATACATGCAATGATCTGGATGGATCTCCAGAGAATTATGCCGAGTGAGAAAAGCCAATCCTGAGTGGTTTAAATACCATATGATTCCATTTATGTAACATTCTTGAAGTGACAAAATTATGGAGATGGAGAACAGATTAGTCCATGCCAGGGGTTGAGGGGGCAAGGGTTGGGAGTAAAATGGATAGCTATAAAAGGCATGATGAGGCCAGGCGTGGTGGCTCACGCCTGTAATTCCAGCACTTTAAGAGGCCGAGGCGGGTGAATTGCTTGAGGTCAGGAGTTTGAGATCAGCCTGACCAACATGGTGAAACCCTGTTTTTACTAAAAATACAAAAAGTAGCTGGGTGTAGTGGCAGGTGCCTGTAATCCCAGCTACTCCAGAGGCTGAGGCAGGAGAATCGCTTGAACCTGGGAGGCAGAGGTTGTAGTGAGCTGAGATTGTGCCACTGAACTCCAGCCTGGGCAACAGAGCAAGACTCTGTCTTAGGAAAAAAAAAAAAAGGCATCATGGGTCCTTGTGAGCATGAAAATGTTCTCTATTGACTGTGTCAATAGAGACACACAATTATGTTGTGTGTCACAACCATAATCACAACATTATGGTTGTGATATTGTACTGTAGTTTTACAAGATGTTACCATTGGGAGGAAGTGGGCAAAGGGTACATAGGATCTCTGGGTATCATTTCTTACCTCTGCATATAAAACTACAGTTGTCTCAAAAGGTTTAATTAAGAAAGTATTTAAGAAAAAGAACCCCAGGATCTAAAAAGATCAGAGTCAGAGAATCACAAATGCTAAATAAGAAGCACTTTTGTATTTGGTGATGTTCTGAAATTCTGGCTCAGTTTTGTTATGAAATGGAGCCACGTGGGTCCATGTGAGTGAGTCCCTGTGCACAGGTGTATGATTGACTTTTTCCCTCAAGTGCTTCTAATTTGGGATGTTCTTCACTGTGTGCCCTTTGAGTGTCTCTTGCCTCTGGTTTTTTGTTAGACAAAAAAACCAGTTTTTAAATGTCAGTTCCAAGGTCTTTTCTGGGTACGGTTAACTTTTATGATTTCATTTATGCAGTGGGTTTTCACCTAAGGGCCATGGTTTCTAGACACTAGACTCGTTTTTCCCAAGCGATTCATCTCTTTGCCTGTGGGATGGAGAGATTCATTCTCTTCTTCTCTTTTGCAGTAGAAACTCCAGTTTTGAGCTGGGCACCTGGATGCCCAGAGTAAAGGTTGTACTGCCCACATTTCATTGTAGCTAGGTGTGCCTGCGTGACCAAGTATGAACCTTCTATTTAGATTAAGCCACAAGATAAGTGGAGCTATCAATTGGCTTTAACAAATATTTAGTGAATAGGTAAAATAAAATACTTTATATAAGAGCTGTGTGTTCTGGGTTGAATTGTGTCCCCCACAAAAAGATATATTAAAGTCGTAACCCTTAGTACCTCAGAATGTGACCTTATTTGGAAAGAGGGTCTTTGCAGATATAATTAATTTCAGGTGAGGTTATACCGGAGTAGGGTGGGCTCCTAATCCAATATGATGAGTGTCCTCAGAAGAAGGCAGTCAGGCACATGTACCCTAAAACTTAAAGTAGAATAAAAAATAAATAAATAAATAAATAAATAAAAAAGAAGGCAGTCAGGTGAAGACACAGACACACAGTGGGAACCCCCTATGAAGATGAAGATAGAAGCAATGTATCTACAAGCCAGGGACCGCCTGCGGCTGCAAGAAGCCAGGTGAGACACATGGAGCTGATTCTCCCTCACAGCCCTTAGAAGGAACGTGCCCTGCTGACACCTTGGTTTTGGACTTCCAGTCTCCAGAACCATGGGATAATAAATACATTTCTGTTGTTTGAAGCCACCCAATTTGTGGTACTTTATTATAGCAGCCCTAGGAAACCAATATACTATGCTTTTGATATTATTTTTAGGATGTTGTGGTTTGAATATTTGTGTCTCCCCCAAATTCCTATGTTGAAACCTAGTCTCTGATGCGATAGTATTAAGAGGTGGGGCCTTTAGGAGGTGCATGAGGGCAGAGCCCTTATGATGGGATTAGTGTTCCTAGAAAAGAGACTTGAGGGAGCTTGTTTGCCCCTTCCAGTATGTGAGGATACAGCAAGAAAGTGCCATCTATGAGGCAGAGAGTGAGCCCTCACTATACACTGAATCTGCTGGCACCTTGATCTTAGACTTCCCAGCCTCCAGAATGGAAAGAAATTTCTGTTGTTTATAAATTACTGAGTCTAAGGTATTTTGTTGTAGCAGCCCCAACAAACTAAGACATGGAGTATTTTAAAAAATGGGTTGAACATTCAGAGGCTTCTTAATCTGAGTCCTTAGATATTTGGACTGACTCTGCCTTCTTTTTCCAGTGAAAAGATCTCGCTGTATGAAACATAGACATTCTTCATTGCCCCAAAGCCCTTCCACCTTCCTTATGTTTTTATTGCTGGTTTGATGTGCTTGAATGCTAGCCAAAGTATAAGGTGAATGGTAGATGCAAGGACTGGGCGGTTTCCATGGAGACTTCTTGCAGGAGCCTTTCCTTTCTCAGTTCAACAGTTGTCAAGGAAACATCTAGTTTCAATTAAATAAATGTTTGTGGGGTCTGCCAATTTGAGTGTCTCTTGGAAGGGGATTTGGTTAAACTTCTTAAACATCGTAATAAACAAATTCAGAGCAGAGGCTTTTTAGGTTCCCTTCCAGTTATATTAGGTTTTTCTGTAACTTAGGGATGTTAACTAGTCCTCTGTCTGAAGTGATCAGACTATTTATTCATATCCAGAAAATATTATTTTTGAGTCTTGTGGGGAGGAAAACTGAGGCTTAAAGAAAGAGAGGCCAAAGCCAGGGAGCTGGTGTTACATGGCACCAGCTATATATACATGACTATAGTCCATGCTCTTTAGTACGTCCTGCAGGATAAGAGATCCAAGGGGCCTGACCTTTACAAACTGTTTACAGGCTATGGAGTTTGCTGGCTCAGCACTGTGTGTTTATTGCTTCTAGTTAGCTATTGTTGTATCAGTGGCTGGAGTTGGTGATGGTTCACGGAAATAGTGGTGAGAGTACAGATTCTAGGTATATGCAATTCTAATAAATGAGACTTCCCTAGTGTTATCTGTATTGTGACAGCCTCCCCATTGTGCTCTTTATCAAACAGTAAGGTATGGTATATTGCAAAATGCTCACAATACTTTGCAACTCTTCCCATCAAGAGGTAGAGTCAGTTTCTCTATTCTTAGGATCTTGGCTGTCCTGTTGATTTGGTCTGACCCTGGAATACAGTAGAAAAGACCCTGTGTGGGTTTTGATCCTAGGCGTGAGGTAGAGCTTCAGTTTCTTGCTGCTTTGGGAACTCTGCCACCTTGTAAAAAAAGCCCTGGCTGGCCTCCTGGAGGAAGAGAGACTATGTGGAGGAAAATGAAGGTACCCAGACAACCCAATAGTCAACTGCAGAAGCATAAGTGACCCTCATCTGAGATCAATGGTGCCTGGCTCGGATCAGTATAATTGTCCAGCTGAACTCAGCCCAAATTACTGACCCCCAGAGTTATGAATTAAATAAATGCTGTTGCTTTAAGGCACTTAAGTTTTGGGGTGGTGTGTTATACAGTAGTAGATAATTGATACAGCCAAGTTTGGAAGCTCTGGAATGATCAGGGCTCACCTTTGACCTGTCCTCTATAAAACCCAGGATTCTTAGTAACACAGTCCTGTTAATAACAGAACTTGCCTATGGCAAATCTAAGCGGAAAAGCAGTTTATTGGCAGGATATTGTGTAGCTACATCTTTCTTTAGGAAGACCAGGGACAAGGCTTGAAAACTGCACAACTAGGGGGCAGTACTGCCAGAACTACAGCCAGATAACCTCACAGAATTGGTAGCTACTGAATATTGGATGCCTCCACCTACACCACCAACATTGCCTGCATTGGACATTGGGTATGGGGCTGCTCCTGGAACTGGATGTTGTTCCTGTCACTAGAAAACAATCATCTACTGTTCTTGCTGTTTCACAGCACTCATTACTGATTCAGATGCCCGTGTGCCACGTGTTTATAGCAGTGCAATTTGTAATTGCAAAAATAGGGAACCAGCCCAAATGCCCATCAATCGAGTGGATAAAGAAAATATATCAAAAATATATTTTATATGTGTGTGTGTATGTATATGTGTGTATATATGTGTGTATGTATATGTGTGTATATATACACACACGTACATATATATACATATATATACACACACGTACATATATATACACACACGTACATATATATGCACACACACATATATATACACACACGTAACATTTATAATACGCCATGGAATACTACTCAGCCATAAAAAGGAATGAAATAATAGCATTTGCAACAACGTGGATGGAGTTGGAGACCATTATTCTAAGTGAAGTGACTCAGGAATGGAAAACCGAACGTTGTATTTTCTCACTTATAAGTGGGAGCTAAGCTATGAGGATGCAAAGGCATAAGAATGAAACAGTGGACTTTGGGGCCTCAGAGGGAAGGGTGGGAGGTGAGGGATAAAAGACTACACATTGGGTACAGTGTACACTGCTCGGCTGATGAGTACCTCAAAATCTCAGAAATCAGCACTGAAGAACTTAACTCATGTAACCAAATACCATCTGTTCCCCCAAAGCTATTTAAATAATAATAAAAACAAAAACAAATGCCTGTGTGGGTGGTGTCTGGCAGAGCGTAGGTCTTGTGCCCATACCCTGATTGAAAAGAAATCAGGAAAGTGAGAATCTGACACTTTTAGCTTATTTAGCTGAAAGCAGGTGGAAAATTTCATAAACACTGGCAAAGGGTTCGGATAACAGGCAGCCAAAAGAAAAATGGCAAATGTTCATTAGTTTCTGTTGTATACTCTGGTTAGCTCAGTTGGTTACAGCACAGTTATGATGAAGCCAGCATTGTGGTTTGTTCTTAAGTTTTATTGAAAGAAAATAGTTCTGAGATTGTCCCCCTTACACCTGCTCCCTCTCTCACAGATGTGTGCTGATAGCCATTTGTAAGGCCAGGCAATAGTGGGGCCTAACTTGCATCTGTCTCTGGCTGCTAAGGTACAAAGATTATGTGTCTTTCAGTTGGTGGGCCCAGAGACTCCATTCACTGGCATAGTGTGCCACATAAGAGAACTGAATGAATGGTATCTGTGTGAATCTAAGGGGTTGGCTAATTGCGCAGTGAATTTGGTTCATGTAACATTTATAATACAAATTGTTGGGCAGCAAGATCTTTCAATCCAGACGGTTTCTAGTTTTTCAGAATTTCTCTGATAACTTCTCTGAACTCTGAAATTCTTATTTGCAAAACCATCTATATAGGGTTCATTTAAATATTAGAAATAGTACTCATAAAGAGAAAAGCATAATGCCTAGAGGATGTGTAATAGATGTTCAATAAATGTTGATCATTTCCCTCAAACTTCTTAGATTCACACACCCCAACCAGATTAGAAACTCTGACACGGCTTGCCCTTTTTGTGTTCAATTCTCTCTCAGTTGTTAAGTGAAGACCCAATCCAGTTGTTAAAATAATAAATGCACCTCTTGCCTCCCTGACATTCTGGCAACCTTACTCTGAGGAGGCTGGCCCGGTTCGAAGCTGGCTGCTCCAGGGCACTAAAGCTGGAGAAGGGCCCTTCCACCCTGTTCATAACTGTGGACAGTAAACTGTATTTGGGATAGAGGATCTTGGGAACAATAAGGACCTAGATCCAAGCTCATGCATTGTGGTGGGACTGTCAATTTAGGGGGATGGGTAGATTTTATCAGATCTGTCAGTGGAAAGTTTGGGGAGATGGAATAGTATCTACAGGTAGTTCCAGGTAGGAGGAAGAGATCTACCTGGCTCCTAGGGATGTCCATCCTGGCAAGCATTGCTCAGTGGCAGGAGTTGTAAGAGTAGGGAAGGTTTAGGAATTTGGATATCAGGGAAGTGTCAGCAGGTAGCTGGGGATGAGGTGCAGGACAAAGACAGACGAGAGGAAGACCAAGCCTTAAAGTGATGAGTATCTAGATAGGGAAGAGGATGGATGGGTATAGCTTGGACACAGAAAGGGGATTCAGTCATGGAAAGAGGTCAGTCTGCAATGTAATGTGGCTATCAGGTCACAGGAGGGCCAAGAGCAGGACAGGTTTGGGGCTTGGTTCTGGTTAGTCGAGGCAGAGCCCCTTAGAGGTGTTTGGATTTGCCATGGTGATGCAGGGGACCTGAGTGTGCTGGTTGTCATGAGATCTTGTTGCTGGGAGAACAGTCAAGAACAGGGTAGAAAGGCCCTTCCCCAGCTTTAGTGTGCCTTGGAGCAGGCAGCTTTGAATAGGGCCAGCTTCTTCAGAGAGAGCTGCCAGAATGTCAGAGAGGCGAGAGGTGCATTTGTTATTTTAACAATTGGATTGGGTCTTCACTGGGAGCTCTACAAAGAAACCAAATTAGTGAAGTTAGATTGCCTATCCCACCAACAATGGATGTTTATGGTATGAGTTTAGCTCTGTGCTAGAGAATCTCAATATATTTAGATTTGGGCTTGAGAGAGAGAACTTCAGTGTGATCTGAGACTGAACTTCCATTCACATTCATTCCTCGAGGAAGCATGTTGAGGATCTATGTGTAATATACTGGTGTTCCATTTACTTGAAATATCCTGGCTTGCTCTATTCCTCTCACTTAGGCACTCACTCCTCTAAAAAATAAATGTGTATATGTGTATGTGCATGTGTGTGTACATGTAGGTGTAAGTGTGCATAAAATATGGAATAGACTGAAATCAACAAACTTATAAAAATACCAAATAACCTCAATCTGTAATTTTATTTTTGAGAAGCACTAAAAATGTCAATAAATGAATTGTCTGAAAAACTAATCCTTTGGCTGGTGAGATAAGTCTGAGTTGCCAGAACCAGTTAAAGCTTTATATAATTTGGCAGTACATTTGCGTTCACCTGAGATTTCTCTGCCTCCAGCTGTACAAAAATTCTGTGATATGCAGAGCCTCGAAACCTGGGCCAGAATGCTAAAACTAATTTTCTTTCGTAATCTGAGCCGTAATTGCATTTTAACTCAGTTCTAGTGTGAAGACTGCTTTTGTATGTGTGTGTGTTTACTTCATGTCATTAATTTCTGGCATTTAAGTTAGTGCCTGGCACATAGTCTACCCTCAGTAAATGTTAGTTCTTACTGCCGAGTCTACTGTTCTTTCCTTCTAAACCAGTGGGGTAGATGCTTCCTTTGTGCCTCAGTGGTTCATTCCCTTGCCCTCTTCCCCTCTCCTCACCCTTGAGTTGTTAGATCCTGGTTTTGCCCCAGGCAGGTGCCAACCCCGAGGAACTCCTGACCCTGTGGTGATGCATGCCTGCATGTGTGCAGCCAGCTGGGCAGCTTGGAAAGCCATAGTATTGACTTGCCAAATAAGGACTAGTTTACAAAAGTCATAAGAGATCACTGTCATCAACTGCTATCACTATCTATTATCCTTTCTCTTTCCAAAACACAATTTAGGTGCATAATAAAAACATCTGTAGAATTACTCTGTCAAGCCTATGTATGCCCATCAGTTGTGCAAGAGCCTCAGTTCCTACTTCTAATGAATTTTATACTGATTATCCCAGACCTTTCTGCCAGCTCCCTAATAGCAGAGGAGAGAATACACTGTTGGAGTCAGGGGCAACCAAAGCAGCTAGTCTGAGTATAGAATTTCTTTGAATTCTCATCTTTAAGAACCATGCTCAGCTGGGCACAGTGGTTCATGACTGTAATCCTAGCACTTCGGGAGGCCAAGGTGGGAGGATAGTAATGGCCTGGTGTGGTGGCTCATTTCCATAATCCCAGCACTTTGGGAGGCCAAGGTAAGCAGATTGCTGGAGTCCAGGAGTTCAAGACCAGCCTGGGCAACACAGGGAGACCCCCCATCTCTACAAAAAAACAAAAAAGTAGCCAGGTGTGATGGCACTTGCCTGTAGTCCCAGCTATTTGCAGAGGGCTGAGGCGGGAGGATCACTTGAGCCTGGGAGGTTGAGGCTGCAATGAGCTGTGATTGTGCCACTGCTCTGTAGCCTCGAGGACAGCGTGACCCTGTCTAAAAAAAAATGGATGATATATCCACATGATTCAGAATTGAAGAGGTACAAAACAATAACCAATAAACTCTTTCTCCCCACTGTGTCCTAGCCACCTTGTTTTCTTCCCTGGAGGCATCCAGAAGCCAATTTTGTTAGTTTCAACTTCTGGAGATGGCTTATGAAAATATAAGTAAATGCATCTATATTCAACCCCATTTTAGAAGAAATGATACCTACTATATCAGCTGCTTTCTGTGCACCTTGCTTTTTTTCTTTTTCACACTTTAGCATGATGATTTTTCTGTATTGGCACATAAAGAGCTTCTTCTTTGTTAGTTGGTGGTTCTTATGGCAGACAACTGAATCCACCCTAGATGGTTAAGCCAAAAAGGGATTCGGATTTTAGGTAACTCATGGAATCCTTTGGAGGGCTGGAGGAACAGGCTAGCATCCGGGTGCCCAGAAACAAAGCCCCAAGACACACGTAGTACTAGCATTAAGTGGAAGCCACCTGTGCTGCTGCCTCCACTGAACAGCAGATGCTAGGTATTTGACTTGACTGCAACTGCCTCTACCTCCACTCCTGCACCGGGAAGGCAACCTAGCAGTGACACCTGCAAAAGTAGAAGCTCTGAGCAGAGCCTCTTTCCTTACATTTCTCACTTCTAAAGCAAAATCTGGTGTGGATGTATCTGATTAGTGGTGACTAGGTGACACATTTGCATCTTAGCTTCAATAGAGTCTAGGAATTTTATTCTCAACTTTTAAACTTGGAGGTGGGACTTGTAATAGGTGAAATTTTTGCAAATAGAGAAATAATTTTCAAAGTATGATGGACAGTCACAGATATGGCAAATGTCCACTAGAGCTGCTTAGAATTCCATTGTATGGATCAACCACAATTGATTAAACTAATATCTTAGATGGTAGACCTCTAAGTGTTTTCTAGTTTTCTAGTCTGTGACTTAGGCAATACTGTATTAATGACCATATACATGTGTCATTTTGCTAATGTAAAATGGAATATAAATTTCTAGCAGTGGAATTGCTAGATCAAAAGGTAAATTGTAATTCTTGTGGATATTGCCAAATGGTTTCTGGATGCTATACTGATTTTTTGCTTCCACTAGTGATGTTCCTGATTTTTTTTTTTTTTTTTTTTTTTTGCACAGAGTCTTTTCCTTTTTTAGATTCCTTCTGAGCCAGAGTGGCAGGCTGAGTGTTCCCTGCTACTGGGGTGAGTTTTGGGCCTTGGGCCAAGAATGCTGACAAATCAGATCTGGGCCATAACCTATGCCAATATAGACTGTATTTAGCATCTGGACTGGATTTGGCTTATAGTTTATTGTAGTCCTTCTAGCCCTAAATTAAATGGCATCTTGGGGTATCTAAAAGATAATGTTGCTTCCAAAATTGATTTGCAATGTGGGAGTAGCTTACATCTTGGATTGTTATGTGTTCACAAATGCATAAAGATGTTTTCAAAGAATGGTTCTAAAGAATTATAATACCTTTTCTTTTTAAAAAAGCAAAATCTTGGCCGGGCACGGTGGCTCACGCCTGTAATCCCAGCACTTTGGGAGGCCGAGGCGGGCGGATCACGAGGTCAGGAGATCGAGACCATCCCGGCTAAAACGGTGAAACCCCGTCTCTACTAAAAATACAAAAAAATTAGCCGGGCGTAGTGGCGGGCGCCTGTAGTCCCAGCTACTTGGGAGGCTGAGGCAGGAGAATGGCGTGAACCCGGGAGGCGGAGCTTGCAGTGAGCCGAGATCCCGCCACTGCACTCCAGCCTGGGCGACAGAGCGAGACTCCGTCTCAAAAAAAAAAAAAAAAAAAAAAGCAAAATCTTATTTCTAGTGTGTGAACTATTGCATAGATTTTGCCAATATCTGAACTATGGCATCCAATTGCTCTGGTTGGTTGCCATGAAAGTTTATAGTAACATAGGAAGCTCCTGTTTGAAAGCTCCTGAAAAATTTAAACAAATGTATATAAATGGGTGAAAAATGGGGGCTGAGGAAGAAGGTGAATACATGTGTTTTCTTCTCATGGAAGTGTTCACTATTTTTTATTAAATTTTTTTTAGAGACAGGGTCTCACTATGTTTCTCAGGCTGGTCTCGGACTCCTGGGCCCAAGTGATCCTCTTGTCTCAGCCTTCCAAGTAGCTGGGACTACAGGCACGGGCCTCCACATCTGGCTGTGTTTGCAGTCTTTAAGTTGGCATTTACCTAGTGCAGTTGATTATTTCAAGAAAATACACTTTCTACATGGCTACTGAGGGTATCTGAAAGGATATAAAGTATAGCCCAGGGAAGTAGCATGTTGTTAGGCAGGGGTTAGTAACTCTTTCTGGAAAGGGTCAGTTGGTATTTTAGGCTTTGCAGGCCAAGAAACAGAATCAAAGATATTACATAGGTAATTCTATAACAAGAGAAAAAATAAACTTCTACAAGCTTTTTATTGACAAAATTCAAAACATAATAACTGAGGACTTTTTTTTTTGGTAATACAGGTCTACTCATAAGAAGAACAGCATTCTTACTTTGGGGATAACATTTTGCTTAATGGGATTCAAAGAATAGTGTTCCCTTTCATCAAATCGATTGCAAATGTTCATCTGTAAATACCATTTATTTTCTCCTTGTGGGCCATAGAAAACCAAGCAGTGGGCTGGATTTGACCCATGAGCGGTAGTTTTCCAACCACTGATGTAATGGAAAGACCATGAGCTTTGGACCTGGATGCATGTAGGTTTGAGTACTGGCTCTGAATTTGTGACCTTGAACATATCACTTAACTTTCTGAATTGGGAAGGTTTATTTGTGTATAAACTGAGTGTAATGACACCTATCTCATGGAAAAAATATTACCCCCATCTTTGTGATTTTGCATTAGTATTCTAGTTCTGTAGATGCTGATATGATTTAGCTAGACTTACCTAGAAAATTAGTATTTAACTGATTTTAAAGCTGACTTTTCAAGGGATAGAACACTCACATGGTCTTAAAGTACAATGTAAAAACATAGCTTTGCAATGAAGAGATCTGGCAGTCACCACATTAATCAAATGACCAAGCTTTGCAATCAGTACCAATGGTGGGATGTTCTGACATTGTGTGCCCCTCACTGCTGTGTACCTCTCACTATATCTCAGTATCACCTGTGTGGTGTTCTTGCCAGAAACTTTTGACTTTAATGTAATCACAATAAAACAGACAAATCCAAAACATGGGATGTTCTGAGGACAACTGGCCTGGATTCTTAAATGATTCAGTGTCATTAAGAACCAAGGGGGATTGTTCTAGATTAGGGGGAGACTAAGGGAAAATGAGATAAAAATGCAGTGCATGAACATTGACTAAATCCTGGATGAGGAAAAGAAAATTCAGCTCTGTAGGCATTTTCTGGATAATCAAGGGAATGTGAATGTGGACCATATGTTGTATGTTAGTCCATTTTCACGCTGCTGATAAAGGCATATCCGAGACTGGGAAGAAAAAGAGGTTTAATTGGACTTACAGTTCCACATGCCTGGGGAAGCCTCAGAATCATGGCAGGAGGCAAAAGGCACTTCTTACATGGTGGTGGCAGGAGAAAAATGAGGAAGAAGCAAAGGCAGAAACGCCTGATAAACCCACCAGATCTCATGAGACTTGTTCACCATCACAAGAATAGCATGGGAAAGACCGATCCCCGTGATTCAATTACCTCCCCCTAATTGTTCAAGTCCCTCCCACACACGTGGGAATTCTGGGAGATACAATTCAAGTTGAGATTTGGGTGAGGACACAGCCAAACCATATCATGTTGTATGATAATATTGTGTTAAAGTTGATTTCCTTGGGTGTGGTGATGATGGTGCGGTGGTGTACGAAAATATCCCTGTTCTTAGAAGGTGAATAGTAAAGTACTTAGGGGTGGTGTGTCATGAGGTGTGTCTGTAACCCACTTTTCAGATGGTTTGGCAAAATGGGAGGGAAGGAGGGAGGGAGAGAGAGAATGTGTGTGAGTTTGTGTGTATGTAGAATAGGTGATTCTGTGCATTGCTGCTCAGTTCTTAGCATAGCACTCAGCACATTGCTTTTGATAGGGAGGTGCCCAACCAAAACTTGTTAAACTAACAAGTACTTTAAGGTTTTAGTAGGATTCTCTGAAATCACACCTCAGCACTGCCTGTCTGCCCTCTCTTTAGCAGTGTCATTTGGCTTAGGCATATACTATAATGCCTAATGTTGGGTAATCAGATATGGGGGTTCATGTTTTCTTGAGTAGCTCACCCATGTCCCTCTGGACTGAAAGTCTCTCTTGAATGTTACAGTATAAATGAATGGGAAAGGAAAACCCAGCATAGAGGTTGACCTGCGTGTTCAGCTGTTCCCTGAGAGGCTGAGGTACAATTTGTAAGCATGTACTTCAGATTCTCTTCTGTATTTCTGTTGCTGAGTTTGCCCACTTGGGGAGGGTTGACACCTCCTGGGGCTGTGCTGAGTAGGAGGTGCATCTCTGGAGTTCTGACTGGCTGGAGCATCACTGAGGTATTCTCCTGGGCTATGAGGGCTAGGGCCAGGATAAAGAATGGTGGATGCCTTTCCTTATGCCTTGATCCTAACCGGTACCCTCTTAGCTGAGCAGGAAGGGAACAGAGAAATTAATATTCTCTTATATTCCTGCAGGAACTCTTATGGCTATATGGTGTGAGATGACTAAAGCCAATTTAGCAGCTACTTGTAAAAGTAATAAAAATGGAGGGGAAGAAGAAAGATTCTGATGCAACAGGCTGTGAAGACTAATTCAACATTTATTTATTGAGCTACTGAGCATATAGCAGGCATAGTAAAGTATGAGTCCTGGGGGATACAAATAATAAGAATATACCCTCGCTTTCTGCTGGGCACTTAGGGCATAGGGAAAGGAGATGGGCTACAGTGGAGATAATTATCAAAATACCAATTGTGCTGTGTTGCAAGGCTAGGGATGTGTTAGAAAGCTAGTAAAAAGTGTTATGGGAATGCAGAGAACATGCCATGTGGAATTGACTACAGTTTCAAAGATAAGGTTGGTCTTGAGGTGACTTGAAGAATGAGCCTGGCAGGCAAAGAAATGGGCATCTGGTGTGACTAAAGTCTTAATTAGCTGTAGGGTGGGGAGGAGAGAGACATGACGATGTTGGAAAGGTAGTTTGGGCCAGACAGGAGGGCCTCAGAAGCCATGCTTGGTTTCACAGGAAGGGCGTGAAGAGTCCCAGAAGCCCTTTGAAGTTGGAGGGTGATGTGGTTTTGATAAGAGGTCACGGAGGGAATGTAGAAGCTGGTGTGTGAAGGTGTGTGAGTCTGGAGACAGGACTTGAAACAGTCGAGGCGAGAGCAAAGAATCTGGATTTTGCTAGCTGCAGCAGAGGGAGAGTAGAAAATGGGGTGCTCTTGGAGAATTCTTCCAGCCCCTCCTACTAGGAGTTTTTACATTTTCAAATCTTTCTAAGGAAACCTTTAATAATACTTGAGAGAAGCTTATTTAAACCTTTGAACAGTTCTGAAAATGTATTACATTTCAGCCAGGAAAGAAAGTATTATTTCAGGCAAACTGGAACATGGTTACTCAGCACAGTCGCCTAATCTTATAGAATTAGGTAGGAGGGAAGCTATGTTAGTGGCCTTCAACCTTCTTCCAGAACTTTGTTCAGATTTCTCCCAAATGGTCGGTGAATTTTTCTGATTTGTATCCAGCATCCCAGCCATTTAGTGTACATCCGTAAGCTGTAAGGAAGTTGATTTAATCTATTTCTTTTTTTCATCTCTTGCCTTCCACCTGAGAAAACACTACTCCATAGGTTCTTATTCTGTATTAGGAATTTGCACAATGTGTAACCTAAGATGGATCCAGCTGGGAGTTGGATCCAGCTGGGAGTGTTACAGGTTTGGAGTTTAGACTAAAGAAGAGGAGTGGAATCTTTTCATTTTTTTCCCCTTTATTTTGAGGAAAGCCCAGTGATTTGGATTGTTTGAAGGATCAATTATATCAAATATCTCCACTAATTGAGTATCTGGGATAAACTTTTTTTTTCACCTTATTTTCTTTAGATACCATTAAGCATTTCGACCCACAACTTACAGCTTTTCCATGGAGATTTTAAACTTAGAAAACTTTGAACCTTGATGAATGAAAAAAACCTTTCAGAACTAACCTTTTTTTTTTTTTTTTTGATTCAGAAGTCCATGTGTAAGTTCCAAAGGCTTATAATTCTTTTCTCTTCCTTGAGGCTTGACTATTTCAGAACGTTCTTGGTATGTCTCTTGGAGGTTTGGTGTACAAAGAGCAAGGAAAGTAACCTATGGGCTTAACTCACTTATGTGTATATATTCTACTTTGGCTCCAAAGCAATGATTCTAGTGGTGATATGGGACCAAGGGACAGATTTCAAGGTAAATAAGGCTGTTTACTAATGTCAGATTAAGGTATTAGTCTTCAAGTACCATAAATGTTTTACTAGCAATTTCAGTTACCTGTAGTAAAGAGCTTTCCAGTTCCATGTGGTAGTTATGGTAAAGGAGCAACTGAAAGTTAACTTGATAGTAGATTAACACTCACTGAAAATATAGTTGTTATTTTTTCACATACCAAGGATTACAATGTCTTTTTTTTTTTCTATTTTTAAAATAGAGACAGGGTCTTGCTATGTTGCCCATAGTCTTGAACTCTTGGCCTCAAGCGATCTTCCTTGAGGCCTCCCAAAGTGCTGAGGTTATAGGCATGAGCCATTGTGCCCGGCCTACAATTTCTTAATATTAGGAGTTATTTTGCAAGACAACTATCTCAATGTTGGAACTACACTAATGTTGGTGTGTTTTTTTCCTTGTGTGGGATAGTCTGTATCTTAAGATGTGTAATGTATATATTCACAATAAGGGCTACATTATAAAATTCAGAGACATTTTATTTTTGAGGTAGGTTTCATTCACTTAATTGAGAATTTGTTGACTGTATCTTGGGTGCCTATCCTTATGCTAGGAGATGAATGGAAGTTGCCCCCTGCCATTGAAGAGAAGACATTTTAATGGGAGGCAGAGATAAACAGATAATTAATTATAATGTGATACATTTGGAAATAGTCACAAAAAACTTGAATATGGAGATTTTCAAAAGTACAAAGAATAGGATATTGAACCCTCATGAACCCACTACCAAACTTCAACAATTACTAACTCTTGGTTATGCTTGTTTCACCCATGTGCCCCACCTCCTCCCTTCCCCCTTTTATTTTGAAGCAAGTCTAAGACACTGTATCATGTGATGGACATTAATAGATACTTGGATAGAGTACTCTGAGAATACACTGGGAAAACATACTGTATCGGGACAGGGAAAGGAGCTACAGAAAAGTAACATTTGAGTTCAATCTAGGTGGGGAGGAGGATGTTGTTCCAGGTGATGGGATGGAAACTGACAATTATTACAATGTCTTGAAAAATGTGTATATACAACTTTTTTGTTCCTCTGAACTGAGCACCCAAGATGTAATTTCCAAGATTAGGAAATTGTTTTGCCTGAGGACTTTATAAAAATAATTAATTCACTTTTAATTTAGATAAACTAGAATAATCCATGAGTAGTGGTAATGACTAATCTGTTCTCTTTTCACCCCAGTGACTTTCTAGACTTTGAACATTAGAATCCACTCCCTGAAAAAGTCACTCTCCTTTGTAACTAGAGCAACAGCTATCCTTTGTCACCTTTATTTTTCTCTTTGGAAGAGGAGGAATAATCAGTGGCTCACTTCTGAAACATCATGAATAGGTAGAATTTAGTAATCTGAATTAAAAACCTCCCTGTAAACTGAAGGAAGAGGAAATTGACCAGTGGGCACACAGAGGTTCTCAAGGGACTTTTTTGGTTAGCCACTAGGTGAAATCCTTGATATTTCATCATGTACCTTGTCTCATTTTCCTGTTGTGAAATTGGGTGTTCAGCATTGTTTTTCTTGTCTGTTCTCAGATCACAGAACTGTGTGGTGCAAAGCGGGTTGGTTATTTTGGTCCAACACAGTTTTACATTGCCCTGAAATTAATTGCTGCAGCACAATCTGGCCTCCCGGTACGGATAGAGAGTATTAAATGTGGTGAGTATCTCACATTTGTATGTTTTATTGTCCATGGCGAGTCGCTCATTTATGAGAACCATTTTTAATGAGTTTAAACTTTTGTGGAATTTCTCCTTGCTTCCTCCAACTCTTCTGCAAAATAAAATAAGAAAACTTGGCAGGTAGGTAGCTTAGTTTCTTTCTTTTTTAAATGGGGAAAATTCTGAGAGTAACCTGAGATTAGTTCATTTTAACTGATTTGCAGTTAAAATAGATTTTATTCTTTAGCAGGAAGAGATTGGGCCAGGAATTCTAGAGCCTGTGGCAAATAATCACATTGACTTTAATTTTCCACTTGAGGTATCTATAATGTTATTGAAGGCTCTGTTAGAGGAGTAACAAGGGAGTTTGAGTGGAACTATGCCTTTTCTCTTTCCCATACCTGCCAGTGCTCAGCCTTTAATTCTTAGTTTCCAAAGCACTGTTCTGATGCTAGTAAGTACTTGGGTGCTACCAAAATTTTGGCAGAATGAATTTATCTTCTTAAGGTTCTGATTTAATATTTTCTCATCTTGCCATCCCTGCCCTCAACCCACTGTATGCTTGAGCACTTTCTACAATTTAAACAAAAAGCAAAACCCCCAACTATTAGCAGTATTTCTGCTGCCTCAGGATTGGTTTTAAAAATCTGTATGAAAAAGGTGATTATTCAAGGGGTGTGCCAAGGTCCTCTGATAATTCAGTTTGATACAGATTACTTTCATATGTCCATACAGGTATGTAGGAACTTTTTTTCTTTTTCTCATTCTGAGACTAAAAACCTCTTAACTGCTCATGCCTGTCCTGTGAAGTCTCTGATAGACATACAAGTGGATTCAGGATTTATGGTGAGCCCATGGAAACCTCGTAGGACAATCCAAATGGCCGAGAAGATTGCCATAGATGGCTGGCTGTGGAAGACCAAGCCCTTCACACTAACCGTTAGCAGGTGGCAGTCATCATGCTAATCTTTATCAGGGGGCTAGCTTGTGCCAGACACTTTCATTTAATCCTCATGACACCCTACTAAATTAGGTACTTGTGTCAGTTTGATTGCTTAGGATAAGCTGCGATAACAAATGTCACAATCTCAGTGCCTCAACCAGACAGAGGTTCGTTTTCCACTTTGCAGTGGGTCAGGGTGACCCTCCAGGGCAGCTGCCCTCTATGTGGTGACCATGTGATCCTGGCTGCTTTATCTTGTGGCACCTCCCAACACAACACCTGTTCCCATAATCGCCACACCAGGGAAAGAGTATCTCACCCTAGCGGTTAAATGCTTTGGCCCAGACATGACTGAAGTTATTGCTGCCCACACTGCATTGGCCAGAACTTGTCACATTAATCTGCTTCAGTGCAGAGCAGGTGGGAGAACACAATTCTCTCCTGTGCCTGCAAGGAGAGGACAACTGCGAGTCTCTACTATGGCTGCACACTGCAAGTCTCTACTATGGTTATGGCTGCACACTGCAGGTCTCTACTATGGTGCTGCCGTTGTTCGTATCTTACAAGTATGGAAATTTGAACTTTAGGGAGGTTGAGTAACTTACCTAAGAATATAAGGTTAGTAGAATTTGGAGCCAGGATCTACTTCCAGTCCCCATGCTCTTAATTTCTATGCAAAATAGCCTTGTCTCAATTTTTTCTATTTAGTAAGATGCTGACAGTAATCTGTTATACAATATTTTCTGAATGGGAAAAATATTGGACTTGAAAGGCATCTCTTGGTATGACAGAATTTTGTTCTTTGAAATAGGTTTCTTGATGGAGTGTCATTTGACAGGCAGGCTTAGTATTCATTGCTGCAAGACACAGCGGCCATTTGCTTTGATTAGTTGAAAGTTGCATCACACTGAATTTGGATTTGTGGTAGGCACTGATAGTTTTTATTCCATTGTAAATGATCATTAAGCTTTATTATAGTATCTTCCAATTTTATCTTCTGGAAAAGTTAGAGCTGCTTTATTGTATACAGAATAAACTTTTGACACTTTTGTTACTTATTTTAAGTTAGACCTAAGTCTTTTACCTGATTTGTGCCCAGATTGACAGTTTAATTTCCTGAGGGCAGGGAGCAGGATTGTTGAAGTTATCACTTGTGTAAAGGATTAACAGTTTATCACAAATATAAGGCTTTCTCAGTTTTATTTTATAAACCCAGTTGCTGCCTTTTACCTCTGAGAGTTTATATATGTCCAGAGTTAATTCTGAATTATCTTCCTTCACCACTCTCTACTAATCCATTTAAAGATTGATTAAATAAAATTATTTGCAGTTAGCATATGTTGAATAAGAATTAGGGCAAGATTGGGCCAAACTTTGAGCTGCCACTTAGAATTTTCCAGTTTGTTGCTTGAAATCTATTAGCTTAATGCTTGATGACACAAATCTTGAAGGCCAAAGGGATCACTCTGTGAGAACCTAATCTGAAAGGCTGTGCTAGCCCTGTCACACCCAGGGCATCATACCCAGGGAGTTGTGGATGGATACCCTTATGTCATGAATAACATGCACCTGTGTGTATGTGCGTGACCCTCTAATCCCTAGTCCTTCCCATTTCGGTAAATGCCACCACCATCCTCAGCTGCACAAGCCAGAAACTCAGCAGCCATCCTGGATTCCTCCTTTTCCCTCACTCCTTAATAGAATCCATCAAAAGTCCTAGCAATGTGGCTCCAATCTCACTCCCTGTTGCCTCTATCTCTTTGTCCCTGCTAGACCAGACAACCTTCATCTACTTACCTGGACACCACAATGGATTGACATCCTAGCCCCTCCTCTCTTCTCTACTGTGATCTCTCTTTTCCCACTGGTTTTTTGTTTGTTTGTTTTTTGACAGAGACTCGCTCTGTCACCCAGGCTGGAGTGCAGTGGCACGATCACAGCTCACTGCAGCCTTGACTTCCTGGGTGCAAGGGATCCTCCAACCTCAGCGCCCCGAGTAGCTGGGACTACAGGCATGCGCCACCACTCCCTACTAATCCTACTAATTTTTGTATTTTTTGTAGAGATGGGGTTTTGCCATGTTGCCCAGGCTGGTCTTGAACTACTGAGCTCAAGTGATTGGCCTGCCTCAGCAGCCTCCCAACTTTTTTTTTTTGAGACAGGGCCTCACTCTGTCACCCAGGCTGGAGTGCAGTGGTGTGATCACGGCTTGTTACAGCCTCTGCTTCCCAGGCTCAAATGATCTTCCTGCGTAGCTGAGACTACAGGCATACATCACCATGCCTGGCTAGTATATATGTCTTTTTGTAGAGATGGGGGTCTTGTTATGTTTCCCAGGCTGGTCTCAAACTGCTGAGCTCAAGTGACTCTCCTGTGTCAGCCTCCCAAAGTGCTGGGATTATAGGAATGAGCCACCATACCCAGCCTCTTTTCCTACTTTTGAAAGTGTGATCTTTTCAAAATACACAGCAGATTATTCCATCCTCATCCTTTAAACCCTCCAGTAGTCTGCTTGTTGTACTTTGTAAAACATTCAAAGTCCCTACACTGATCTGTAACACCCTACACAATCTAGTTCTTGCCTACTTTTCCATCCTCATCTCAAATCTTAAACCCTTGCTCACTACCTGTTCCCCAGTCTCAGTGGCCTTCTAGCCATTTCTGGGTGACTTTTCCTGCTGCAGGCCATATGTCCATTTTATCTTGCAGTCTTGGGTTCCTAGGGATCTGTTTTTCCTTTCTGCTTCCCCTGGTTGGCTCCTTCCCAACCTTCAGGATTCAGAGTCTGTCCCTACTATCCTACCTAAAGTAGTTCTGTCAGATTCATTAATTCATGAAGGAACCAGCATATGGTAAAACTGGCTCAAGAAAGTATAGAGAGTCAGATTTATTTATAGTCATAGAAAGAAAGGATGCTGGAATAGAATTGCTAAATTAGGTATAAAGCTAATTAACGCCCTACGGGGTAATACAAGTGCAGCCTGGCTATTGTACTTTTTTCTAAGATGAAAGTATTTGCATTGCCGTCAGACAAGAATTACTTGTTAGCTAACAGTTTTTTCCAAGTTAATATCTACCCTTTCAGGATTATCAAATGCCCAACCAAGAGTAAACAGTAACTCAGAGCAGAAGTCCATATCCCTAGGAAGTGAGGTGATCCTTGGGTGGGCCTGCTGGGTAATGCTTCTGCAGGGCAATCTCCTCCCCACTTTGTTCTTTCCCAGCATCTGTTTCCTGATAGCACTTAGCAGAGTTTGCAAATATTCCTTACAGGTTTCACTATTTTTTTTGTCTGTCTTCCTCACTTGTCCAGTTTGTGTAAGGGGGAGGGAAGAGGATCTGACACCCCTTGCATTGTGGGGCATTATAGGCACTCTGTGTGTATTGGTTGAATGAATGAATGAAGAGGTGCATGTCTACGCATGAGGAGGGTGTCTTAATCATCTGCCACTCTTTAATCTAAAACGATTGGAATTCAGATTCTCCTGGAACTCCAGAGGAGTTTTTACAGAAGTCATCTCAGTCTGCATATCATCTTTCTTAGGCACTGATTTTCAACCTTGTCGGCACTTGAGAACCACCTGGAGAGCTTTAAATATAAAATAAAAAAATACAGATGCCTGGGTCCATCTCCAGAAATTCTAATTTCATATATCTGCAGTCCGGTCTGAGCATCAGAATTTTTAACAGCTCTCCAGGTGATTTTTGTATGGAGACATGTTTAAGAATAAAAGCTGCATCAAGCATTTTTAAGAGCTTTGCTTAAACTGTGTGTGTGTGTGTGTGTGTGTGTGTGTGTGTGTGTGTGTGTAGTTACAGTAGCTGCATCTGAACTAGGGTGCTGTACGACACAGGGCACATGATTTAAGGGGGCACTTACTCTCAGGGCAAGTGCCGACTCTACATTTACACCACCCTGAGAGTGCGTGCCTCCTTAAATGTTGGCACTAGGTATCTCTCTAGCCCCACCCTCGTCTGAGTTGGGGTTAAACAGATGGCAAAACAGCTAGGGCAGAAGGAAAGAAGGTGAAAATTAAGGACTGGTAGAGAATTTCTGATGAGGAAATCATGTGGTGAACATTTGCCCTGGGACCTGCTGTTACCTTTCTTTCCAGGGTCTGAAGTTGAGCACGTGTGAGGACTGAGGGAAGGTTAGGCAGAACCTAGAGTAGGGTTTCTCATCATTTTTGTGCCAGGAGCCCCTTTGGCAGTCTGAAGCCTGTGGGCCCTTTCTCAGAATTATGTTTTAAATGCAACAAAGACATAAGATTATAATGGAAACCAATTATACTGAAATAATCACTAAAATAGTTAAATTGTTATATAACAACATACATGCTTCTAGGCCTGGCACAGTTTCTCATGCCTGTAATCCCAGCACTTTGGGAGGCCGAGGTGGGCGGATCACTTGAGGCCAGGAGTTCGGGACCAGCCCGGCAAATGTGGTGAAACCTTGTCTCTACTAAGTTCGAGACCAGCCTGGCCAGCATGGTGAAACCTTGTCTCTACTAAAAATACAAAAATTAGCCGGGTGTAGTGGCACATGCCTGTAATCCCTGCTACTCAGGAGGCTGAGGCAGGAGACTAGCTTAAACCCAGGAGGTGGAGGTTGCAGTGAGTCGAGATTGTGCCACTGCACTCCAGCCTGGGCAACAGAGTGAGACTATATCTCAAAAAAAAAAAAAAAAACCAACCCCCAAAACATATATGCTTCTTTATTAATGCATTAAATAAAGCATCTAACAGTGTTTGAAATAACCACTACTTTTTCAAATTAGTAATATGCATAAACAGTACTTCAAGATGTTGGCCCGGCATGGTGGCTCATGCCTGTAATCCTAGCACTTTGGGAGGCCGAGGAGGGTGGATCACGAGGTCAAGAGATTGAGACCATCCTGGCCAACATGGTGAAACCCCGTCTCTACTAAAATAGAAAAAAATTAGCTGGGCGTGGTGACACACACCTGTAGTCCCAGCTACTCAGGAGGCTGAGGCAGGAGAATCACTTGAACCCGGGAGGCGGAGGTTGCAGTGAGCCAAGATCACGCCATTGCACTCTAGCCTGGGCGACAGAGCGAGATGCCATCTCAAAACAACAACAACAACAACAACAACAACAACAACAAACAAAACCCTAATGTGATAGGTGACAAAGTTACCGGTATTGCTAGTGATAATACAGTGGCTTGTTGCCTACATTCATAATGGAAAGAAATGCTAAATTTCAGTTATAGTAGGGAAAATGAAGTTGTAATTTTTTTTTTTTTCCTAATCAAGGTGACAGACCCCGTGATTTCTTTTCACTAGTCCCTTTGGGAGCCTGTGAACTCTGATGGTGCAATGACATGATTCATGTAGTCTTTGGGGCTGTGTTCCCCAAACTGGTTTATGGTCTGGTTGCAGTCTGGCACAGTTTAGAATTAGGACAAAAGGATGAGTTATTTATAAAGCTAAATGTATTCAAATCTAAGATTGGGTTTTTTTTGGTTCCTCTTGTTAAGTGTCCTTTGTGAAACTGCTAATGGGTAATAGTTTGGGGTAAAATTCTTGACGAGATAAAACATTGGCAACTTTATGTTGGCTTTCTTCATTTCTTTTTTTGTTGTTGTTGGGGGAGAGATTTTTCCTATTTTGTGAAATCCCCAAATTTGTGAGCCACTGTTGTGGTCACGATTCTACTGCCAAGAAGATACTGAGGCAAATCATTGAATTCCCTTTGACTCCTCCCTTATCTGCAAAACAGTTGTTCTCCACCTAGGTGATTTCGTCCCTTTAGGGACTTTCGGCAAGGTGAGGAGACATTTTTGGTTGTCCCAGCTGCGGAAGGGGACTGCCTGGCATCTAGCCGGTAGAGGCCAGGGATGCTGCTCAACACCCTACACTGCAGAGGACAGGACCCCCTCTTCCAACAACAACAAACTTATCTAATCTAAAATGCCAGTAATGTTGAGACTGAGAAAGCCTTCTGTAAAATAAGGATCAAGACTTAGGAACTCTAATCCTGCTGCCTTGCTTCCTGTGCTCTAGTTAGTTTTTTTGTTTTTTTAATCATACAAGAAAGGTAGAAGGATTTTGCAGCATTGAGTCCTATTTCTGTGGCTTTTGTTTTCAAAGAAGAATTATTTTATTCAAGGAAAAATAAAAGCAGTTATTCTCTGGTTGAATTGAGGGTGGGGTTCCCTGTGCTTTGCCTATTTGACAAACCCTCCCTATCTCTTAGGGCTAGGAGAGAAATCTTTTGAGTGTGACAACCAGTTTGGTAATTCATAGAAAAGACAGGATAGGAAGCCCAAGGGTAAAGAAAGAAGCCCAGGAGGTAAGGTTGTAGCTGGCTCTGTGTGTGTGTGTGTGTGTGTGTGTGTGTGTGTGTGTGTGTCCACACAGTGTCTCTGTATTTTGAACACTAAATACTATGTTGGGATGTCTCATTAAGCTAAGGTCAACTCATCCTTTCTGACTGACGTCCAACCCAATCCCCCTTTCCTTTTTTTTCCTCAGTGTTCCTTTGTCAATTTCCTTTACCCCCTCTCCCAGCCCTGCTACAGGGACACAGAGCTGCTTTGGACAAAGTTCGCCTATGCAGGTTCACTGACTGTACGGCTGGACATTTGTGTTTTCTAGGGGTCTGTCCCTCTACCCCATAGCGCTGTCATTAGCTCTATTGTTGCTCCTCCCCAAAGGTTCTCCCCAACCTTTTGAGCTGTGGATTTTCACCTTATTTGTAAAAATCTTTGTTGTGGGATTCTTTGACAATCTAGTAAAAGCTCTGGATCTTAGCAGGAAAATACACATTGACATTATGTAAAAAATGTTGCCTTCAATGTCAGGGGTTTCTGGACCCCTAGAGCTGGTTCATGGAGCCCAGTGAAGAGCCCTTCTTCCAGAGAAATGCAGTGTATGGGATGGATATAGAGGAGGTAAGTTGGAAGATGCATAGTGGGGAAATTGAAGGCCAAAGAGGTAAAATAAAAGGGATGCTGCTTGCTAGCAGCAGAGCCCAGTGGATTGTGGACCTCCTAACTCACTCCTGGGGTTCTACCCGTGGTATGGCCAGGAAATTGAACTTATCCACCATCCTCCTCTGCCAAACATTTACAAGATCACCCTTCCCATTGTAACCTCCACCCCGCCATCTAGCGATTACCTACCCATTTCCTAATTGACAAGAGGTATTTCAGATCAATGGGCAGATAGGAGGATAATAGGAGACTAGATAGCTTTGATTACTCAGGCCTGGGTTGATAAGACTGGCCTGATTTTTTTTTTTGTTTTGTTTTTTGTTTTCCCCCAAAGTAACTTCAGGAAAATGTGTAGGGATGGTTTCACTTTGGAATTATAGAACATTATTGTCATAATTCTTTGTTAACGTATAAGTAGCTGGTATAAGTGAATAGGTAACAAAAAGCAGTGGGAGAGAAGGGAGCCAGCAGTCAGGAGTCAAGAATTTTTGTTACGGTCTTAGCTCTGCCACTGTATTGCTGCATGACTAAGGCAAGTCTTGCTCTCTCTTTCCTGGGCTTATTTCCTCACCTGCAAAATGCAGACATTTGAGCAGGTTTTCTCTAGATTATTTTCTGAAATGCCACAGTTTCATGCTAAATGTTCAAATCTGTACTAGAAAGAATTTTAATGTTCAGGATGGTAGTATAGCCTTGTGGCTGGGAATGTAGGTCCTAGCAATAGGCTACCTCATTATGAATCTTTCCTTCATTACCTTTTATTTGTGTGGCCTCCGGCCAGTTTCTTAATTTCTCTGTTTCAAATGACTCCCTGGAGGAAAAGGTATACCAATAACACCTGCCTTATAGACTTGTTGTAAGCACAAAATCAGGGAATCCCTTATCAAACATTGTAGAAAAGCATCTACAACTTTGTTATTTAATATCGTAGCCACTTGCCATGTGTGGCTATTGAGCACTTGAAGTGTGGCAGTGTGGCTAGTGTGACTGAGAAACTGAATTTTTCATTAAATGATTTAAATAAAAGGTTTTAAACAGTGTAAAATATTTTCTGTTAAATGCAACCTTATTGATTTAGTAGGACCACTTTTCACTTCAACCATCAAATTCTGTAAGACAAGGGTCAACAACCTTTTTCTTTTTTTTTCTTCTTTTTTAAATTTTATTTTATTATTATTATACTTTAAGTTTTAGGGTACATGTGCACAACGTGCAGGTTTGTTACATATGTATACATGTGCCATGTTGGTGTGCTGCACCCATTAACTCGTCATTTAACATTAGGTATTTCTCCTAACACTATCCCTCCCCCCTTCCCCCACCCCACAACAGTCCCCGGTGTGTGATGTTCCCCTTCCTGTGTCCATGTGTTCTCATTGTTCAATTCCCACCTATGAGTGAGAACATGCGGTGTTTGGTTTTTTGTCCTTGCAATAGTTTGCGGAGAATGATGGTTTCCAGCTTCATCCATGTCCCTACAAAGGACATGAACTCATCATTTTTTATGGCTGCATAGTATTCCATGGTGTATATGTGCCACATTTTCTTAATCCAGTCTATCATTGTGGGACATTTGGGTTGGTTCCAAGTCTTTGCTATTGTGAATAGTGCCGCAATAAACACACATGTGCATGTGTCTTTATAGCAGCATGATTTATAATCCTTTGGGTATATACCCAGTAATGGGATGGCTGGGTCAAATGGTATTTCTAGTTCTAGATCCCTGAGGAATCGCCACACTGACTTCCACAATGATTGAACTAGTTTACAGTCCCACCAACAGTGTAAAAGTGTTCCTGTTTCTCCACATCCTCTCCAGCATCTGTTGTTTCCTGACTTTTTGATGATCGCCATTCTAACTGGTGTGAGATGGTGTCTCTCTGTGGTTTTGATTTGCATTTCTCTGATGGCCAGTGATGATGAGCATTTTTTCATGTGTTTTTTGACTGCGTAAATGTCTTCTTTTGAGAAGTGTCTGTTCATATCCTTCGCCCACTTTAAAGGGTCAGATAGACTTTGTGGGCAGTATGATTTTGGTCACAACTACTCAACCCTGTTGTAGTATGAAAGTAGCCATGGACAGCATGTAATCAGAGGATCATGGCTGTGTGCTAATAAAACTTTATTTATGAACACTGAAATTTGAATTTTTAATTTTTTTTATTTTTTATTTTTGAGACAGAGTCTCACTCTTGTCACCCAGGCTGGAGTGCTGCAGAGGCACGATCTCAGCTCACTGCCACCTCCACCTTCTGTGTTCAAGCTATTCTCCTGCTTCAGCCTCCTGAGTAGCTGGGACTACAGGCCTGTGCCACCACGCCTGGCTAATTTTTGTATTTTAGTAGAGATGGGGTTTCACCATGTTGGTCAGGCTAGTCTCAAACTCCTGACCTCGAATGATCCACCCATCTTGGTCTCCCAAAGTGCTGGGATTACAGGTGTGAGCCACTATGCCTGGCCTGACATTTGAATTTAATATAATTTTCACATCATGAAATATTTTTCTTTTTTCTTTTTTTTTTTTTTTTTTTTTGCAAATATTCAAACATTGTGCTTGCGGGATGTACAGAAATAGGCAGCAGACTGGATTTGGTTCTTAGGTATACACCCAAGATAAATAAATTCATGTCCATCAAAAAACATTTATAAGAATTTCACAGCAGCTTTATTTACAATGGGCCCACACTGGAAACAACCCAAATGTTTATCACAGGATAATGGATTAAAATTTTCAATATATTCTTTTAGGGTCTTGCTCTGTCACCTAGACTGGAGTGTAATGGTGCTGTTTCAGTTCACTGTAACCTCCACCTTCCAAGCTCAAGCCATCCTCCCACCTCAGCCTCCTGAGTAGCTGGGACTATAGGTGTACACCACCATGCCTGGCTAATTTTTGTATTTTTTGTAGAGATGGGGTTTTGCCATGTTGCCCACACTGGTCTCGAACTTCTGAGCTCAAGAAATCTACCTACCTCGGCCTCCCAAAGTGCTGGGATCACAGGTGTGAGCTACTGCTCCTGGCTCAATATATTCTTAAAAGTGGATTGCTCCATAGCAATGAAAAAGAATGAACTATGTGTACAATACATTGGGTGATTATCACAGACAAAAAGGTCGTAAAAAAAGCTTGTCACAAGAACAAATACTGTATGATTCAATGTATGAAGTTCCATAATGGCAAAGATAATCTGCAAGTATAGAAATTAGTACAGAGGTTGCTCGGTGGAACAAAGGGAGGGGATTACTGGAAATGAACATGAAGGAAAATTCTGTATCTTAATTTGGGAATTTGGGTGTTGGTTACAGGGATATATATATATATATATGTATTTGTCAAAATTCTTCAAGTGGAACACTTACAATTCCCTATAAATCATCCCACCATACAGAATACTCTTTACATAATTTAAAAAGAAATCAATTAGTTGCTTACATTTAACATTGTAATAATAATAAAATACAGTAAAATACAGATTTCTGGCCACAATGGCTCACATTCCCATGTAGCAACTATCAACTAGAGCTGTGCTGTTTCAGTATGGTAGCCAGTAGCTGCATGTGGCTGTTGAGCACATAAAATGTGACAAGCACAAATTGAGGTATGCAAGGAGGGTAAAATATACATGGGAGTTTGAAGGCTTAATATGAAAAAAAATGTAAAATATTTCATTAATAGTTTTTAATGTTGATTACATGTTGAAATGATAATATTGGGTTAAATTAGATTATTAAAATTTTGCCATTAAAAATGTTTTGAAATGGAAAATTTTTAATTGTGATAAAATACAAATAACATTTCCCATCTTAACCATTTTAAATGTATAATTCAGTAATGTGTAAATATAGTCACATTGTTGGGTAACTAGTTTCTAGAACCTTTTCACCTCACCTTACAAAATGGAAACTCTGTATTCATTAAACACCTTCCCATTTTCTTTTTCCTACCCAGATCCTGGCAACTGCCTTTTTTTTTTTTTTTTTTTTTTTGAGTGCAGTGACGTGATCATGGCTTACTGCTACCTCTGCCTCCCAGGCTCAAGAGATTCTTGTGCCTCAGCCTCCCGAGTAGCTGGGATTACAGGCGCATGCACCACTACACCCAGCTAATTTTTGTATTTTTAGTAGAGATGGGGTTTTGTCATGTTGGCCAGGCTAGTCTTGAACTCCTGGCCTCAAGTGATCTGCCCACCTCAGCCTCCCAAAGTGCTGGGATTACAAGTGTGAGCCACTGCACCTGGCCTGCCCATCTACTTTCTGGTTCTATGAGTTTGGCTACTCTTGATGCCTCATATAAGTGAAACCACACAGTACCTGTCTTTTTGTGACCAGCTTGTTTCACTTCTTTCTTTCTTTCTTTTTTTTTTTTTTTAATGTGGCTCACATTCTTTTTTGGCAGATAACATTGAAAGACTGTGAACAGCTGCTGCCATTTTGATGGAACATGAGTTCTCTGCCCAGCACCCTCCACTCCATATTGTCTAGCTAATGAGGCTCAATGTCACTTGCCATTTATTATTGCATTTATGCTGTTTACATTTTTTCTAATGGATTGAGGAAATTGAGGTATTTTTTTTTCTTTTTTGAGTGACAGGGTTTCACTGTCACCCAGGCTGGAGTGCAGTGGCATGATGCAGCCTTGAACTCTCAGACTCAAGCGATCTTCCTGCCTCAGCCTCCTGAGTAGCTGGGACTACAGGCATATGCCACCATGCCCAGCTGATTTTTTATTTTTATTTTTTTAAGAGAAGGGGTCTTACTGTGTTGTCCAGGCTGGTCTCAAACTGCTGGGCTCAAGTGATCCTCCCACCTCGGCCTCCCAAAGTGCTGGGATTACAGGCATGAGCCACCACTCCCAGCCTAAAGTATTCCTAATATATCTGTATCTCTATCAAATATGGAAAAACAAAGGATTTTTCTCTCTTGTAGAGGGTCAAGTGTTTAAAAAGGAGCAGGCATAATTTTCTTTGTGGAAGGGAAAAATAGTCATTTATGTTTAATATACAAAGCATTTCTGTGTTCAAAGAATGTAACCTAAGATGAAACAACAATGAAGCAAATTGTCATCTTGGATGGCCACTCTCATTGTCTCCTCAGACCCTCTAAACATTTAGTGTGAACTCTTACTTTGTTTGCTGTGTGTAATTCAATTCAGTTTGGGAGACAAGATTCTAACCAATGACTACAAATAGACCTTCTTCTTGACAGACATCATTGTATAGCAGGTACTTTATTGATTAATTTTTTCAAAGTTTCACTATTAAATTTTGTGTATGTGTGACTAGGAAAAACATTCAGTTGAGTATGGTGACTCATGCCTGTAATCCCAGCACTTTAGGAGGCCAAGACGGGAGGATCGCTTGAGCTCAGGAATTTGAGACCTGTCTGGGCAATATAGCAAGACCCCATCTTTACGAAAAATAAAAAAAGAAATTAGCCAGCATGGTGGCAAGCACCTGGAGTCCCAGCTACTTGGGAGGCTGAGGCAGGAGGATCAGTTGAGTCTGGGAGTTCAAGGCTGCAATGAGCTATGTTAGTGCCACTGCACTTCAGTCTGAGAGACAGACCTTGTCTCAAAAAAACAAAAACCAAAAAAAACATTCAGACTGAAAATTTACAAACTACTTTTACCTTTCACTTTTTAAAAGCTTGCATCAGTTTAAGGGAAATGGCACCTTCATGAAAGTTTTCCATGATAAGAATATTATTATGTATGGTTATACTTCTGTTAAGTGAGAGTTGCTTGGAACCACCTGACCAAAGAAAGTATGAGAGAACTTCAGCTGTATTTTGTCTTTTGCTGTTTGGTGGCTGTCTGGGGGAGAGAGGTGGTTTTCTAGGCACATAGCTCTAAAGAAATGCCATAGACAGGGTGGAAGAATGTGTGAAGTGACAATGTCCTAGACAATATCTGGGAGCCCTACTTAAGTCCTAATATAATAATTGATATTCATAATTCAGTTAGTGTATTCCATTGTTCCTTGGAGGTATCTGTTGAATGCCAGTAAGGCACTGGTCAGGGAGCTTATAAATACTGAGCATTTATTTCTTTTCTCCCTCAAGAAGTACTTGGAAGTAGAGTCATCCTCTTATGGGTAGATCAGGGTGCAAATTATTTTATGTGATCTTGTTTCATCTTTTTAGATCCTTTTTCCTGACTGAGCTGGAGCACATACCTGAGACCAAAACCATAGAGTTAGCTTATATTTGATTTACTAAGAATCTAGAGTTTCTTTTCTCTTGCTTTTTTGCTTTTGAAGCCCATTCCTGCTTTGAGTGCTGGAGAGCTGCCCGAGATTGGGAAACATTAAGATTGGTTACTCTATTTATGTCTCTTGGGCCCTTGGCTGATTGATCACACAGGGATTTGTCATATTGCCTGCTTCTTTTTTTTTTTTCTGGTACAGAATTTTGCTCTTGTTGCCCAGGCTGGAGTGCAATGGCATGATCTTGGCTCACTGCAACCTCCGCCTCCTGGGTTTAAGCAATTCTCCTGCCTCAGCCTCCTGAGTAGCTGGGATTACAGGCGCCTGACGCCACGCCTGGCTAATTTTTGGTATTTTTGTGTAGAGACGGGGTTTTACCATGTTGGCCAGGTTAGTTTCGAACTCCTGACCTCAGGAGGTCCACCCGCCTCCGCCTCCCAAAGTGCTGGAATTATAGGCGTAAGTGAGCCACTGCGCCCGGCCGCCTGCTGCTTTGAATCAAATGTGAACATAGCAACTAAAAGTAAACATCATGTGGATGTTAGAGAACCAGGGGCCTTCTTTGCCTGGGGAACTCTAGGATACTTGCTTGCTGTTGCTAAGATGTTTTCTGGCCTTAGCACAGCATCAGTCATTGAAAGTGCAGCTGTGTTTTTGGAATAGAGAGCTGATGGAAGTGCAAAGGCACACTGATGAGTATTATCCTGAACAATGGATACAGATGCAAATCATTATGCATAATCCATAATGTCCCCATTTTTGTAGGGTTTTGTGCTACGTGATTGTGTGTGATTTGATGTGCTGAGAACTAGAAGTGTGCCAAAGTATCATTTCCGCTTTCAGAATAGTTTTGTTAGAATTTTGAAAGATGAGTAAATATACCAGACCGTTGCTTTTCAACTCTTTGTAGCATTTTGAGTGGCTAATGGTTTTGACAGAAGAATGTGGCTGAATGATAGATTGATTGCTCTGACTTGATATTGTTTTCCTTATTCCATTATGAAAAGACAACCAGAGATTGGATGTGAAAATTCCTTAAAGAATTACATAGGATGAGAAACTGTTCTACCCACTAAGTTTGCCATAGGAACAAGGGACCATTCTGTAGAGCACTGGTAAAGTACCAGCTTGCCTGCATTCAAACCGTGGCTCTGCCACAGATGAGTTGTGTGATCCTGGGGACATTACTTAGCTCCTTTATGACTGTTTCTACTTTTGCAATGAGGGGGTGGTAATGATAGTTTTATCATACAGAGTTGTTGTGAGGATTAAATGAGTTAATATTTGCAAATCTTTAATACTGTGCCTGGCATATTTAAGCATTATATGAATTTTACCTGCCACCATTTGTCACTTATTATTGTATTATACAGTGTCATATCCTTTTTCTTGGTTATTGAAGGATGAAATGGGAGATCAGTCCCAAATCTGAATTTATTCTGCGATTTGGCAACATTGAAAAATGTTAAGCCAGAATACTTTGGTTAAACCATAGCATTTTAAAAATCAGGACGTTATTATAGGAGTACTCATTGTATCTAAATCTAAATTTATATTTAGTGCTCTGGAATTTTTCCTCAAAAATGATTCATCGTTTGGCCATTGAGTTCCCCTTTTTTGCAGTTTTTAAATTAAGTCTGACTAGAGCTTCTCTGATTTCTGGTCCCAAAGAATTGCCTCTGCCTCGCTTTATGATGTCAAAGAATGATGGTGAGATACGATTTGGGAACCCAGCTGAGCTGCATGGAACTAAGGTTCAGATTCCATATTTAACTACAGAAAAAAATTCCTTCAAAAGAATGGACGATGAGGATAAACAGGTAAACAGTTTGTTCAGATGTGTTCATTTGATTCTGACCATGAAACCGCATGTAGCAGGGCCTCGTATCTACTGTTCAGCTTCCAGCAAATCTCACCATCTGGAACCCAATTACAGACTTGGAAGTGAGCCAGTAAAGTTTTCTCCTAGCAAGAAAGAGAGACCGACACATATGAATCACCACCACCCACTTAAGGGCCCTTTAGAGCCTACTTTAAAGTAGAATTGTGTCTAAAATAAGGCTACCGATTTAATACATTTATTGATTTCACTAGCTCAGTGGTTTTCTAAATGGATTCTTGGAAATGTAACTTCCAGGAGTTTTTAATAGGTTCTCTTCTCCAAAAAGAAGTCTGTAGAAAAGGTTTCTCCTATTATAATAAATGTGTTTGGAGAATGCTGCTTCATATTCCCTTGTTGAGGGAAGGACTAAATCCTCAGTCTTGGAAATTCGTAGTGCACATTAGCACGGTAAAAGCCCTGAGAAGTTCTGCAGTGAAGAGACCTGGAAATGTGTGTTTACTAAACTTCTTTCACCAGGAAATTCTTTCTTGGGGAACATATTTGGAATACTATCTTGGGAAATGCTGCCATTACCCATTTAGCAGGTTTGGAACCAGAACAGGGAGGATAGGCTTTTAAAATTAGACCACTAATTGCAATGGTCAGATGATGATTGGTGGAGACAACAGTATAAAATCTCAGAAGAGTGGGCAGATCCAGAAGAAGTAAATAGTCTACACATTGGTGTACCCTGCAGGCATCAAGGTATAGCTCATACTTCCAGCAAAGATACTGAATCATGCAGAGAAGTCAAATTATGTTCAACATAGTGTCTTCTATAAGGTAAAGAAATTTATTATAGGAACACTTGAGGCTGGGCACGGTGGCTCACGCCTGTAATCCCAGCACTTTGGGAGGCCAAGGCGGGTGGATCACAAGAGGTCAGGAGTTCAAGAGCAGCCTGGCCAACATGGCAAAACCCTGTCTCTACTAGAAATACAAAAATTAGCCGGGCGTGGTGGCATGTGCCTGTAGTCCCAGCTACTTGGAAGGCTGAGGCAGGAGAATGGCTTGAATCCGGGAGGCGGAGATTGCAGTGAGCCGAGATCACATCACTGCACTCCAGCCTGGGCCACAGAGCAAGACTGTGTCTCAAAAAAAAAAAAAAAGGAACACTCGAATGAAAATGTTTTTAAAATGCAATGAATATTAAATGATTATGTTGGAAAACTAACTTCTGTGACTTACCCTGTGATGTTGTGTAGATGAGGTGTTGCTACAGAAGTTTTATATGGATAGTTAGGGGAGGTGTAGCACATCCTGTTAAACAATTCCATGTACTGTCACTTTCATAATTCTGACACATTTTAAATCAGTTCTTCAGGGATATATTTAAAAAGGAAGAGGTATAGGAATTTTCAGTCAATATTCTTTGGCATATTTTCCCACCAGCATTTGGAGAGGAATGAGGGTCCACTGTCCCACGGTGGTTGATGCCCTGGGAAATTTCCAGGCCCAGTCCCTGATTGTGTGAATGAGAATACATCCTTTCACTTCAGGCTGAGTTTATGCATGCCCCACCCAATCTATGGGTGTGAGCTCATGCTTTAGAGCAAACATATTTTGCTTTTTCTTGAAGAAGAGTATTTGATCAGTATTTCAGATTACATATTTCTCTTTAGACTAAGGGAGCCTATATATATAGTCTGTGTGTTGATAGAAAGCATTGTTTTGGCTGGGTGTAGTGGCTCATGCCTGTAATCCCAGCAGTTGGGGAGGCCGAAGCAGGAGGATTGCTTGAGCCCAAGAATTCAAGACCAGCCTGGGCAACATAGCAAGACCTCATTTCAAAAAAAAAAAAAAAAAATTAGCTGTGTGTGGTGGCGCATGCCTGTAGTAGCTACTGGGGGTGCTGAGGTGGGAGGATTGCTTGAGCCCAGGAAGTCAAGGCTGCAGTGAGCTATGATCACGCCACTGTGCCCCAGCCTGGGTGACAGAGCGAGACCCTGTCTCAAACAAACAAACAAACAAAAAAAAGCACTGTTTTCTTGGTACTTGAATACTCCAAAGTTACCAGTCTACTAGTAAAGTTTTTTTTTTTTTTTTTTTTTTTTAAAGAGGAAACTCAGCAGCAGATAAGGTTGCTTACTTTGCCTAGGGTTCTACATCAGGTTCATATTTGAATTGAGATTCAAATTGTAGCTTGTTAAGATTTCATCTTAGTGTTTGGGAGTAAGCTGGTTGGAATGGTTTACCTATAATGAATTGTTTTGCAGTCTCTCATTGTTAAAAAAAAAAAGCTAGCATTTTACTTTGACATGGTAAGCTCCAAGAATATTAAGTATTAAGCATTTAGAAATATATATTTTAATATTCACATTTGCTGGAAGACTTGATAAGTATAAATCCAGGAAATAAATTTATTAATGAATGAAAATGAAATCTATCCACAGAGAGATCACAATTGGGAGCGGGTATGAATGTTATTTCATGTGATCAGTGTCTTTCATTTTCCAAAGGAAAATATTATTGGAATAACCAAAAGTGTTTCAGGCTGGTTTTAGTAATTTAGGTAACTCAGCACTGATGAGATTTTATTCTCTGGGAGACTTTTTGAATCCTCAGACACTGCTGTTTAACCATGCTGCATTTTTGAGAAAACATTTCCCCCCATTTGTTAAACCAGCTGGGTCACCAGCAGTAGAGTTGCGTTATGCTTCCTGACTGCAGCTCAGAACGCCAGGCTTGAGTGAGCGCCTCTGAACTCTGATCTGGTTCTTTGAAGCAGGAAACACAGTCTCCCACGATGTCACCCCTCGCCTCCCCTCCTTCTTCCCCGCCTCATTACCAGAGGGTGCCCTTGAGCCATGGCTACAGCAAACTGCGGAGCAGCGCAGAACAGATGCATCCAGGTAAGAGGCGACCTGGGGGCCAGCTGTCCCAGGCAGTGTCTTAGAGACTCCTTAATTTACCAGGCGGTAACGCTTCAAGCTGCTTAATTTCCTGATTTAATTACCCCTGTCTTTGGAAACATGGCTCAATTTAATTTTATATTCTCAAGCAAGGTTTTTTTTTAAAAATTGATTTAAACATATTTGAGTAATGTTTCATCTCCTGTCCTAGAAACTAGTTCGTCTTTAGACTTGTAAACAGCTAGATGATTTAATCTTTCATATACAGATTTTATTGAATAGAACATACCATATTAAGGGCTTGTATTTTTTTTGGAATTGTTATTCCTTTCTGTAAGCACACCAAAGATATTTATATAGTAACTGCTTTAATGAAATTTCTTAAGAAATATAACTGCAAAAGCAAAAGAGTTGATCCAACCTTTGAAGACTGAGCACGTAAATGAAAATATATAGGTCCTGTGCTTTGGAATAAGGATAAAGGAAATGCTAGGGGTAGCATTTTGCTGAGGGGTATGTAGCATGCACAGTTGTGGGGTTGCCTTCTTGCTCACATTTATGCTCTGCTGGCCTCGTTAGGTGGTAAAATACGTTAGTTCTGAGGATGACTTGCAGAGTTGGCTGTTTAGGCTGCAGTGCCTAAAGCACTGGAAATTCACTGCAGCATCTTGTGCCTCCTGGGGTTCAGACTCCTAGTTTAAGATATGACCAATTAAAGGTATTCTAGAACTGGATATCTGTAAACCCCCACCCCCCCAGTTTTGTTTTGTGGGCTGTGGCCCCAAATGACCCAGTTTCTGCAGGTTTTTACTGCATTAAAAATAGTGGTGACTTTTAGAGGGACACAGAAATAAAACTGCGCGCTAGGCTGAATAAAGAGAGGCTGTAATCTTGCAGAGAGAAGCAGGCGTGGCATAATGGCAATAGCTTTTGATTGGAAGCAGAAGGTGTGTGGGTTTCTGTGACTAGCTGTAGGACTTTGGGCAGGCCATTGAACATCTCTGAACCACGATTACCTCTTCTCTCTTAAAATGGAGTAACAGTATCCTAGAGGGGTATTAGAAGATTAAGTGAGAATGTGAGTATAAAATCTGTTTGGAAATTAAGTCCTATGCACATGCAAGATGATGTTGCTAATGGATAGTAACAAAAAAATCACTGTCCTGTAACTTGAATATCTCAGTGGGGTTAGAAACTAAATGGAGTTGAGAATTCTTCATTTTCCTCTTATAGTTTCCCTGATCTGATTTCCCTATTTTCAGGAGTGGGTTTTTTTTTTTTTTTTCCTATTTCTAATCTTACTTGGGTTTGGAAGTTGGTTTTTAATTCACAGGTGAAACTTTTTGTTCTACTGAGTCAGCCTGTCAGCAAGTTCTACCTTTGGTATTCCTTAGAAAACTTTTCTGTTCCTCCTCCTTAATGCCCCATTCCCTCCTCATTCCATACAAATTGGGCTTCCATTTCCCCAGTGGTAAGGAAGCAGCTTGCTTCTCTCCATCTTTCTTGACTCTCAGCAGCCTGTGCCAAAGCTGTCCATGCCTTCATTTCTTTTCATACTTTTTTAAAAGTGAGGTAAAATATACATATGATAAAATGTACCCGTTTTATTTGTTCATTTTTGAGACAGGTTCTCACTTTGTCACTCAGGCTGGAGTGCACTGGCGCGATCATGGCTCACTGTAGCCTTGATCTCCTAGGTTTAGGTGATCCTCCCACCTCAGCCTCCTGAGTTGGTGGGATTACAGACATGTGCCACCACACCGGGCTAATTTTCTTTTTGTATTTTTTTGTAGAGATGGGATTTCGCCATGTTGCCCAGGCTGGTCTCGAACCCCTGGACTCAAGCGATCCGCTCTCCTTGTCCTCCCAAAGTACTGGGATTACAGGTGTGAGCCACAATGCCTGGCCATGCACATGTTTTAAATCTTCAATTTGAGTTTTAGCAAATGGATAGGCCCTTGTAGCTACCACTTTGATCAGTAATTGAACATATCCATTATGCCAGAGATGACCCTCTCCGGTCACTCCCTGCCCCCTAACGCAATCACTGTTCTGATTTTCATCACCATCATTAGTTTTGCTTCTTCTAGAACTTCATATGAATGAAAACACACAGAATGACTGACTGTACTCATATGTGTTTGCCATCTTTCCTTCAGCATAATGGTTGAAATTTATCTGTATTGTTGTATCAGTAGTTCATTCCTTTTTATTATTTAGTAGTGGGATATATTGTGTGAATGCATCACAGTTCGACGATCTGTTCTCCTGGTGCTGGACATTTGAGTTGTTTCCAGTGTTTGGCTATTATGAATAAGGATACTATGAACATTCATGTATGAGTCCTTCTGTGACATATGCTGTCATTTCCCTGGCTCCTAGGAATAGAGTCACTCAGTTTTAGGGTAGTTGTATATGAAACTGCCAAAGAGTTCTGGTTTGACACTGAACTTCAGAGTGATGAAATCTTTAGGTTTTTTTTTTTTTTTTTTTTTTTGTACACCTCCCCTTGGAGAAAGATGGTACTTCCAGTTCTTATTAAACCTCTTGTAAGGGGATCAAAGAATTATTTGTTTTGCACTGTATTGCATGTTTGGGGTTTCATTTGGGAAGAAAGAGAGTTGAGTAATAGCTACTTTTTAACCTTCTGAATTCAGATCCAATTAAGGAAGGAGCCAGAAGTCAGACAATTGATGGCCTGAATATCAGCTTTATTACTGATATAGCTGATCAGAGCACATGTCTTAGATTTGTGACCAGATGGGCTTTAGACACTCACCTTTCCAGTCACAGGCAGGCTTGGCCATCCCAGATTTCCCACACAAGTAGGAAGAGAAAATCTGCCTCTCCAAAAAAGGCCCCCCATGCAGCTGAGTCTTCATCCAAGCCCTACTGATGAGATAGGTCTGTCTCTTCCAAGGGAAGGCCCTTGTAGGTGAGGGATAGAAGCCAAGGGCCAGATGGTGGCCTGTTCCCCCATGTGTCTCCCCTGGAAGTAGAAGTAGAAGCTCTTATGGGAAGCAGAGGCACGTGGGATTCACTTCCTAAGGAAAGCTCATGACTGCTAGCACCCCAACCATGCCACAGTTCACTGTGTTTCAAACCTTTTGGCAGAGCGCAATTGGTATTAGTGATTTAATTCAGTGCTCCATCAACACAGAATGATTTTAAAAATCCTACTTCTCAGAAGACAATGGTGGCCTACCAGCTGAGACTTACTTTTTAAAATTTGGATTATGTGCTCTCTATGTATGTATGTTTTGCAGTTTTTATATCTGTATTCATTCTTAGCAGGTTCTGAAAATCTACTTGATGGGTTGCCAGGCAATTGTTTTGCTATTTTAATGTGTGTTAATGTATTGTAACATTGTGTTCCAGTTACTAGGAAGAAATACAAAAAGCAGATGTGAGCCCAAGAGTGATTTATCATTCTTGATGTGCTATTGTTGTACCTTCTTTATTTTAAAAAGAGCAAACTATGTTAAACATGAGGTCATAACAGGCTGCTCTGCTCTCTACCTAATTTTATTTGTAAGTAAGCTACAGAAATAAAACATTTTACTTATTTATATATTTTCAAAAACTTGAACTATTAACCTATAGAGATGAGAAAGAATTTCAACTTGGGTGATAATTTCTGCTTTCTGTTGGAGCTGCATACTACCTGGTTATGTTTAACTGTCTCCCTGCCATATTGGTAAGGTCATTATTAAGTCTTCTGGAAATAAAAGGAGTGAAAACATACATTCATTTTTGTGGCTTAAAAAGTTATTTTAAAGGCAGCAAAATTGTTTTTTAAAAGTTTGGTTATTGAATAGTAGAATAATAAATATAAAATATATTTATTCATTTTCGTAGTCTTCTCTACATGATTTTACATTCTGTTTGATTTATTTTTCAAAAATAATGTTGGTTCTTAGTGTTCAAAATGCACATTAGTTTTCTTCTTGGGGAAGTGGATGATCAATGGAAGACATTTACTTAGGGGGGATATATAGAATTTACCTCATATTTAGAATTTGAACACTTATGACACTTTTCTAGCTATTGTTGCTTTCTATCCCAATTGAAGTTCTCACTGTTCCACCTTCACAATTTATTCCTAATCATAACCCAGTGTAAATATTTTTCTGCTTATCATGAATTGGTTGAATGTCTTTAGATTGTTTAGTGAAATTGTGCCAAAGAGAATCAGGGGTTGTCAGTCCTAGATGGCCCTATGAGTATTCTGTTGCCAGTTCTTTCCTGAAAAGCAGATGCTGTATCAGTTTGAATGTGAAGTCATAATTTTTGAATGGAATCTTTGCATACCATACTGACTTTCCTTTCTGCTGTTTCAGCACCTTATGAAGCTAGGCAGCCCCTTGTCCAGCCCGAGGGATCCTCATCAGGGGGCCCAGGAACCAAGCCCCTTCGGCATCAGGCTTCCCTTATCCGGGTAAGTGATGATGCAGGGTTATGCCAATGGGACAGTAGAGTCAAGCTTTGGGCTTCGGGGACATGGCTTTTTGATGGACCCTTTTTCATTGCAAGGAAGATATAAAACTGATCCTTCATGCAAATATTGCATGTCTTGTTTGGTTGCTTGTATAAATTACTAAATCTTTTCTACTGTGTATGTCTCTACGCCTTCTCAGTGTCTCTAGAATAAACTAGGCTGCTTCTTGATCTTTAGTATATCTAAAATGTCCCTCTGCCTTCACCTATCTAATCATTAGCCACCACTTTCAGGAGAGCTTCACTTTTTCTAAAGCAGCCCATCTTGTCTCTGCCTTATTCTTTATTATTACTCATTTAATGCATAGTTAACTGTTTTCCATTTGTTTTGTGCCTCTAATTACATGGTAAACTTTTGGAAGGCAGAAGTAGTTCTGTATTCTCTCTCAGTGCCTAGACCAAGAGAACAGTTATTGTACAATGGCAGCAGCTGCTGTTTCCTTATGTAATAAATACAAAAGAAATATTATGGCAAAAGCTTCTGGCTATACCACAGCTTAGACAATTTCAGCTTCCCTTTCTGCAGTGTTTTCCTTTGGATAAAGAGCTCTTATTTTGTTCTCTGTCTGCAGCTGTTGCCTTGTGTAGTGTCTCTGGGTCCTGTGCTGGGGAAGTTATATTCTCAAAGAAGGGTGTGTGTGTGTGTGTGTGTGTGTGTGTGCACGCGCGGGTGTGCAGGTTTACTATTTGACACTAAAGAGGAAGTGGGGCAGTTTGTATAACATTTCAGTCATCTAACTCGGGAATAAGGAACATTTTTGCACAGGCACTTCTACTCAGAATAGAAGGGTGGTGTCAGACACTCCCATAAAGATGTGGGCTGCTAGGTTGGAATAGGATAAACAAAGTCTAAAGAAGGTCCTGGGGTTCATGGAATACCTTCTGGGGATGGGGCACTGTGTTAGATGTGGTGCAGAACTTGATTTTCTAAGGTGGGACTCTGTGTACAAATAATTTCTTAAAGATAATAATTTAGCCATAGGCTATTTTTTATATTTAATGCTTCCTACAACCATAAGATCTAGTTACTGCTGCTTCTAATAGTATAAGTGAGTTGACTGTGGTTGAGAGAGGTCAAATAGCTGGTTTAAGGTTTCATTCATAACTAGTCAGTGACAGAGCCAGAATTTGAATCCAGGCCTGTCCAATGTCAAAACCTGCTCCTTTCATTACTTTGTCCTACATTAGAGTCCCATATTACAAGAAGGCTAGGTTCTAGAGTTGCTACATAAAGAAACGTTGGGTGTAGTAAAAAATACTCTTGAAAAATCCCTTATTGATACCACACTGGAGAACCAATATGCCATTTGCTCCCAGGGCCAGTACAGCTCAGTTTTATCCCCAAGTTGGAAAACACATTTGTTTCTTCAGCTGAGCTCCAGATGTAGTAGTTGGCTGTGTTTAGAGATCCTGTGGTACAAAAATATGTGCCTTTAAACACGAGAATCACACCCACTGTGGAGTGAGGTTTACGTTAGAAAAGGTATCAGTAGGACTGGGATTTATCCCTAAGCTCTCCAAAATGTGGCTGTGTAGGTTCCTACAGAGTGTGTCCTGGGAATACAGAGGCCAGATCCTGAATGGTTAGGATGATAGTCAAACTACCAGTGCATACTGAGCTTTACAGCAGTGTGACTGGGCTCACTAGACCCTTTCTACCTAGCCCCTGGCTGGCATGGGCATGGATGCTCATTTGGATTGGCACCCTGTGGCTTCTCTTCTAATCTCCATGTTCCCTTTTCTGCTGACAAACATGCTTCATGAGCCCTTCACTCAACTAATATTTAGTGAACACCTATTAAGTGCCAGGCACTGTGTTGAGAATACAAAAATGAGGTATAACACTAACAGTTTCTGCCCTCATGGAGCTACTGGAGAGATGGTCATTAACCAAACCACCACAAAGTAAATGTATAATTATGATATGGGATATCAGTAGGAATTACACTGTACTTTAAGGATGAAAATGGGCATGGGGTATGACCTAGCCTTGAGGGGCAGGGGCTGATCAAAGAAGGCTTCTGGTGGGGGAGCAACATTCGAGTTGGAATAAGGGTACATGGGTGTTATCCAGGTGACAGGGTGGGAGTGCGGGAGCAAGGTGACAAGATGGAGGGAACCGCATATACAAAGACATTTCCTATGGGTTTGCCATTTTATGAACATTATCTCTTTCAGTGCCCACAGCTATCTTATGAAATAATTAGTGTTGTTATCCCATTTTCAGATGTCAGAACCTGAGGTTTAGAGACCTTATTTAATTTGCCCAAGTTCACAGCTAGGAAGTGGCAGGGCTGGAGTTCAAACACTGGTCAAGGTTCCTCAGTCTCTGGCTCAGGAACCAGATAGATGGTGGTGTCACCTGTTGAGCTAGGAAGCCCTAGATGAAATACTGGCACTGGGGAAAGATCACAGGTTCAGTGTTTGATGTCAGGAACTGAGGTTTTGAGATAGTCCAGAGAAGCTGTTGAAGAACTGGTAGATTACATGGGTCTGGAGCTTGGGAGAGAGCTTAGGCTGGACATAGGTATTTGGCAGCAATTGGCTATCAGAAGGTCTCATGGTATAGTGCAGAAAAAACCAGACAGGTGCTCGCCCAAGTCCAGCAAAACTCTGTGTGACCTTGGGCAAGTTCCTTCTCTTTTCTGTAATACAAATGACTTCGAATGGATTTAACAGCCCATTGTAACAATCAGCAACAGTCCGATTCTCTTAATGTGTCTGTGGTTTTCATGGCTGGTGTGTTTTTCTTTCCTCTGTTCTTAGGTTTCCTTCTTATGCCTGTTAACTTGGTTTGGCTGGACTCCGTGTTCCAGAAAGCAAAATGCCAACCTGGATTAGTCATGTAGATGAGGGGATTTGAAGTGAAGGTTCTTGGTGATAAGGGATTAATGTTTACTGGGCATGGTGCTAGGCCTAGGCTGGGGTGACTAATCCCCCTCATGTTGTCACGTTGATGTGCCGATGGCAACCTTCTTTCTCTTCTAACTAGTTCTCTGGCCTTGTATTCAAGTTCTTCCTGCCTGATTACAAGGGGGCATGTCCTCTGGGTCCTGGGGGAAGCCTTTAGGGACTCCCAGCCAGTGCTGTTGCAACCCATGGTGTTGGCATTTTAGAGGTGCTTATGCCAATCCAGTGCCTAAACATTGGAATGATTTGTCTTTTTGCTTACTATTTTAGGAATTTCACTTTTGTTCGGGTGTTGGATTTTTTTCCCTTTGAAATTTCAGACACTAAGCATATCCTATGTTGGTAGATGATTGATAGTGCTTTGTAAAGAAATTATAAGACTTATTTTCTGCTTCATCTGTTATCATATGTTTAGATGTTGTTTTGTGGTTTGTTTTTCACAAATTACCCTCAACATCTAGATGATGTAGTCATTTGTAATTTTGCTGGCAAAAGATTTAGAATTGCACGCTTTATTCCTACTGTTCTCAGCTGCCTCTGTTTTTGCCAGGGTCATGAGAAACTTTATGTTAAGCCGTTGTCTTTATTGTCTCCTTGGCAGCTGTGGACACTGACCATCTTCTCGAAATGCTCTCATCATTTGGTGTCCATTATGCCTGCTCTCCTGGTTTTCCTCATGCTTCTATGGCTGCCCCTGCCTCATTTGTTTCAATCCTCCTTCCTCTGCCCTCCCCTTGTTATGCTGGAGACTGCTGGGCCTACTTCTCACTCTACTTACTCTTTAGATGTGTGGATGCTCATGACCACATAGCACCATCTGCCAGACATCTTCACTCTAATGTTCCACTGTCACTTTCAGCTGACATGTCTTTCTCATAAAATCAGCTTTCACTCTTCCACTCCTAGCTCCACCCACCCATCAGCACAGGCCAGAATGCTGGTCATTGTCTTTGACTTCTCTTTCTCTCCTTATGCCTGTTCAGTCCCCAAGTCCTGACCATACCACTTTTCAAATAGCTTGTGTCTGTCCATGCCTCTGTACTTCTTCGTTCAGGCCATTATCCTTTTCACTGATTGTATTGTATTAGCCTCTCTCTTGTTTCTTCTTGCTTCCACCCTTGCCTTCTTCCAATTCATTATTCTCATTGCACACAAAAACAATCTTAAAAACACAAATCTAATCATCCTGCTGACTTGATTGAAGCCTGTCCCTCTCTGCCCATGGCTCTTAACATGTCATCCATGTTGCTGTCTGGCCCTCGCCTACCTCCTCGGCCACAGCAGCTCACTGCCGCTTTCCCTCCACTCTCTGGCCATTTCCCGGATGGTCAGTGTTCTCTGCGTGGGAGCCTTACTCTTCACCCTCACTTTTGCCTTCTTTGTTTTCTCCTTTGTCTCAATTCATCTATGCTTTTTTCCCCATTAAGAACGTGAAACGTAAGTGTTTTCTGATATTTTCTTGTATATGCGATGTTTCCTTTTTTTTTCATTCTTAAAAAGAAAAAGATCTATTGCTTGTCAGCTCATTTATGTGTGCAACTCAGCCAGAGGGATGGGCGTCTGATCATTATTGGTTTCCCATCTCAGAGGCAACCAGGGTTGCCTGTTTCTTTTGTATCATTCTAGGAACATTTTACGCATGTACATGCAAATATAGGTATTCATATATATTAATATGTGTGTGTATGCACTATATGTATTTATATATTTATTTATTTTTTTAGACGGAGTTTTGCTCTTGTTGCCCAGGCTGGAGTACAATGGCACCATCTTGGCTCACTGCAACCTCCACCTCCTGGGTCCAAGCGATTCTCCTGCCTCAGCCTCCCGAGTAGCTGGGATTACAGGCATTCTCCACCATGCCCAGCTAATTTTGTATTTTTATTAGAGACGGGGTTTCTCCATGTTGGTCAGGCTGGTCTTGAACTCCTGACCTCAGGTGATCTGCCCGCCTCGGACTCCCAAAGTGGTGCAATATATTTTTACCTGAATTTAGGGAGACATGTTTGGCAAATGAATATATTCTTCCAGCTAGATTGCACTAGAAAAAATTATCTTTTATTTAAAACCAAAACACATTCACTTTTCAAACCCTCAGGATACTGTTGTGATGTTTTCTTTGCTTTTTGGAGGGATGAAAGTAACAGTTTTCTAGAACATATTCTCAACACTCACTACTCTTCTTCAGAGATGAAAAAATGACAAACAGAATTTAGATACCTCTATTACTCTACCATTCCTCAGGGGGCTTAGCTATATTTTTGGTGTAAGTTTTCTAATGATCAGGTAGGGGAGGGGATGTTAGGCATTGTTAGCCAGCACCATATTCATCTCGAAGTGCATAACTTGAAAAATGTTTATTTAACTTAGTTATCTCCTTTCCTCCTCATCTCAGTTTCTTGCCGTACCTCCTCCCCTAGATATAACTGCAGGTACTTACGGCCAGAAGCAGGTGATCTCCACTCCTTGGGTCCTCTTGGAACCCAAGAGAAAAGGCAAGTATATGAAAGATGATTAAAGAAATGAATATTCCTGAGGCTCTGTCAGAGTGGTGTTGGCCTGAGTCAAAAGATAATTGATAGTCACCACAAATAAATTGTTCATTCTAAGAGCTTTGATGAAAACAGCAGGAAATAGCCTTTGGGGGAGGCTGATATTGCACCGAGAGATCTTCTTGTGGCATGAAAGATATTTTATGGGTAGACTGGACCAGGATGCAAGCAGGATAAGGAGAGCGGAGGAGTGAGAATGACTGATGGTTTGGGATGGGATTGAGTGAGGTGGGTTAGAGTTGAGTCATGAGAGAGTTGGTCATCTGAGTTTGGAAGAAGAGTGAAGCAGGTAAACAAGCGGGGCATACTGGGTACTGTCTTGGCTACTCTGGTTGTCTAACCTAATACTCAGCCCAGGGAATTGACCCACAGAGCAGGTCAGGCCCGCCCGGATTCTTTTGGGGTTCAAGAATTATTTACCAAGGCATTACTTGGTAAGTAAGTGTTCATACGAACGTGTGTGAGCTCTCAAACACACTTGTTCTTCAGAGCAAATACAGATTTTAAAAATATGTCAAACATTCAACAGATACAAAAGGGCACAGTGAAAACTGTCCCTACCATTTCCCCGCACAGCCACTCATCCCAGGGGCAACTGATATGACCCATTTATTTTGTATAGTACTATACAAAACATTTATATAATATTGTATATGAATATCTTTTTTATATACAAGTGAAAATAGGTATTATATATAATTACATGTAATATATGCAAAACACAGTTATGCTTTTTTACACATATGGTGGCATACTATACATCTAACATGCATTTAGCACTAACAATAAGCTTTATTAACGTTCTATAGCAGCACATAAAGTACTTCCTCATCTTTTTGTTTTTTACAGATGCATAGTATTTCCTTGTCTGCGTCTTGTGTAAATCATTTAGCCAGCCCCTTTTGATTGACATCTTGTACTTGCAATCACTGCGTTGTTTGCAGATATATGGGAGACCAATTCCTAGAAATTGAATTATTGGGTGAAAATGCCTATATATTTGTAATTTTTGATAACGACTTTCAAATTGGAGGTATAGCAGCCTATGTACTTGCCAACAATATATGAAAATGTCTGTTTTCTCGTACCTTTGTGAAAACAATGTGCTAACAAATTTATGGGTCTTTGCCAATCTGATAGGTGAAAAATGATAGCTCACTGTAGTTTAATTAGCATATCTCTTTATTAGTGAAGTGAAATATCTTAAGTTTATGAGTCACTTGTATTTCCTTTTCTGTGAACTGTTGATTCATATCAAGTGCCCCTTTTTCTTTTGAGTATTGGTTTGTCATTCTTAATGGCATGAAACCAGAAGCTGGTCTGTCTTTTCCTTTGGACCAGAGATATACTGGAGTGTGTGTGGAAGATTTCTCCCTGAGTGGTGAGAGGAGATGCTGGCACCTGAGGCTCTCGAAGGAGGTTATGGACCCCAGCTGCTTCCCAGTTCTGGAGAACCCCAGGCCTGCCTGCAGTGCAGATTTCTTGTTTATAAGGTCATGACAGTAAAGTTGAATTACTTAGTTTATGGGTAGAGATTAGGGCTAAAAAAAAATCCTCTGTTGTTAGAGATGGTAAATGTCAACACTGTGTGTGTGCGTTGATCTCTCAGCATTGCTTAGACAGCTAAATTATGTTCCTTTCACTGAAATGGGTGGGAGGAGGAGATAGAGGTAGAGATAAAGATAGATAGAGGGAGAGAGTATAAGTGTGTGTGTGTGTGTGTGTTAGGAAGAGTGAGTTTGATGCCTTTTCTAGGTATGTATGTGCCTTATTCTTGAGATCTTCTTTCACCAAATTCATTCCTCGTTTCATTTGAGACCCCAGCTGGACGTTTATACCATCTCCTAAGGGGTCAAAGGTTAACATGTCCTCCAGGTGTCCTACTTCACTGAGTCTACTATAGAACCCACATATACCTGAACGGACACTATTGCCACAAGGAGGTCCTATTTTTTCATAGCCTCCAGTCTCCTGCTTACTTATTTTCTTCACCTGCTTGTAGTTCTCTTTCTGATTTTCTAGCCCTTAACTTTTGAGGAAGGATTTCTAGCTCTTAACTTTTGGGGAAGGAAACATTTAATCTCAACTGATACTGAAGTTTATTTTCTCAGTGCCAATCTTTTCTACTTGTTTCTTTTTTCTTTTTTCCTTTTCTTTTCATTGATTGATTGATTGATTGATTGAGATGGAGTCTCGCTCTGTTGCCCAGGCTGGAGTGCAGTGGCGCGATCTTGGCTGACTACAACCTCTGCCTCCCAGGCTCCAGCAATTCTCCTGCCTCAGCTTCCTGAGTAGCTGGGACTACAGGCGTGCGCCACTGCGCCTGGCTATTTTTTGTATATATTTCTTTTAGTAGAGACGGGGTTTCACCATGTTGGCCAGGGTGGTCTTGAACTCCTGACCTCAAGTGATTCACCCGCCTTGGCCTCCCAAAGTACTAGGATTACAGGCGTGAGCCACCATGCCCGGCCTCTACCTGTTTCTTAGTGTATTCCTCAGGTGCTCACTGTGTACCACACTTCTTGACAATAAAAGAGATGTTTAGTTAATTTAGCCTCCCAGAGGTAGCTGAAAACACTGGTTTGAACTGCTGGTTCCAGGCAGTACTTTGTAAATCTGGAAAGGATAGTAGCTTATTCCCCAGGACCTTTTGGTCTCAGTTATATGCCAGGCTATGGATATGGAAGACTTCTTTACAACTGGCACCATTTTAGCCCCTGGGCCCATCAGTCTTTCCCTTGATCTCAGGCGAGCAGGGAGTGTCATGCCCCCCCAGTTGCCTATCCCAACAATAGTCACTACTGACTGAGGTGCTTCTTTGGTCCCAGTGCTGTGCTGGCCCTTTTCAGTCCTCCCAACAATCTCACAAGGTAGGTATTATTACATCTTCCATTTGTCCATTTGGAAATACTTAAGTGGCTTCCATGAGTCAGCCACCATGCCAGGGGTACACTGAGGAGTACACCTATAGCCTCTTGCTCTCTAGGTGCTTGCAGTCAAAAGGAGGAGATAGATTTGAATCAAATGATCCCACCTATGCATGTGGAATTAAAAACTGACAATTGCCCTAAAGGCCTTAAAACATGGTACCATGTAGCAAAGGAATCCAGCCTATAGCTAGAAAGTGAGAGAAGGCTCCTTTAACAAAGTATGTGTTGAGCTGAGCTGTGAAGGATGAATAGAAGTTAACCAGGCTAAGGAAGGATGGTCCTGGGAGGTGAGGAGAGGAGTGGAGTGTTTCCTGTAGAGGTAAGAGCCTCTCCAAAACCGCACAGCAGAGCTGGGCTGCTGAGAGAGCTTTGCTTCTGTCACAATCAGAAAGCTACAGCATTGGGAAACTGCTGCCCTAGTGTCAGCTCCAACCAGATCCACACTACAAACTACCTTGGCAGCCAAATGAAAGCTTTGTTCCCTGCCTGTAACTTGGGTCTGCATCCGTCTTCCGTGGGTGTATTTGTTGAGTGGAACCTAAGTCCTATTTGGAATTCTAGCAGCAAAGGTGTTTTGACAGTGGAGTTTTTAGCTAGCCAGCTTGTGCAGTGCTGGGACTTATGCTGACGGGTGGAATGGACTCGTGACCCAGTCTCTACCATATTTCACAGGGAGAGCAGATACATTTGAAGAACTGAAAGAAGGCAGCTGTGGCTAGAGCCTGGAGTGGGAGGGAGATGAGGTCGGAGAGGGAGGCAGGGCCCTGTGGGCTATGTGACTGCCTTGCAGGTGGGAGCTGATGGCTCAGAAGTTAATTTACTGGTTAGTAAGTGACCATGCCAAATTGGAACCCAAGTCTGTCTGCCTCTGGAACCTGTACTCTTTTTGCACCTCCAGTCAGTAGCCTCATTCTCCAAAGCATTCTTGAATTCTGTCCAAGTTGTGGATGCATCTGTTTCCCATCTGAACTCAGACTGCCTTGAGTGTGAAGGGGAGAACGTAGTGAAGAGACAGGCAGCCTTGGCCTGACCAGCAAGGACAGGGGTGGGAACGTCATCGCTTCGTTAATGGAAGTCTGCAGCCTTGTCAGAGTCTCCTCTTACTGCTGATTTCTCATTTTTCTTGGCTTTCTCCTCTAAGCAGAGCACAAAATCCTGATAATAGTGAAGGAAAAGTGCCCTTCTGGAACAGCAAATCTTGGCCCCTGAGGGGAGAATTGGAGGCAGTGGTTACTAATGAGCATTTCTTATGTTAATCAAAATACTGTTAGCGCCACATACTGCAATCACAGTAAAATGATTACATACCTGGATTGTATGGCTAGCTCTAGGATTCTTTTGTGATGACGTGCCAGATGCTTACCTGCAAAAATTATGTGAGAAATAAAATGGTGCTCTGTCAGTATGATTTAATAGTTCGCCAGCCAAAATCTAAAACTAAACTAGATGATGGGGAGGAAGGTGTAATACAGCATAGTCATAGCTCAAGCACAGATCCTCAATCTGCAAAATTGCAGCAATGATTTAGGCATTGCAGTGAGGTTCTTTTTGTAATAAATGCTCTATTTTTACAGGATGGATGAACAGATAGAGATAACTATAGAGCTTGATGATCAAGTGTACGTACTTTGGACCCAGTTTGTATTCTGGCTCTACCATGTGCCATAGGTGTGTGGTCTTGGTAAATTACTTCCCTTACCTAATCCTCAGTTTCCTGTTCTGCAAAATGGGAATTACCGGATTTACCTCGCAGGGTTGTGAAGATGAAAATTGATTGTGTGCATTAGGTACTTACAGTGCCTGGCACTTAGCAAAGCAATGAATGCTTGTTACCTGACATTCTTCTGTGTCTAAGTGATCGTTTCAAAAAGTATAGCTTATTGTAATAAGCAGCAACTGTGTGTTGCACATTAGGCTCAGAGAGATTCCTACAGTTTGGCAGTCAGCCTTCTGAACTATTGAAATTAGATCCCTAAGTAAGTTAGGTAATATGTGGTTAAAGGCATCTTTGTGGGTTTATTTCCCTGAAGAAACAGATAAGGTTAAATTTCTCTGTTGGGACTTAATTTTAACTAACTTCTCTACAGAAAAACCAAATTATTTATTGCAACTTCCTGTGAATCTATAATTATTTTGAAATAAAGACTAGAAAGAAGGAGTTTTTTAAAAAGTTCTCTGACTTCAGAGGTAAGGGAGAGGGCTCAGCCTTTATAGTGTTGGATGACATTATGTGATAAATGCATATAAAGTTCAGCTTCAGTCAGCTTAAGAGAACTCAGGTTAACCTTTCTCTGTCTCTAGACTGGGATTGAGAATTTTTTCGAATGTTTGTTTGTTTACTCATTCAGCAAATAACTTATTGAGTGTTTTGTATGTGTTAGTGACTTTTCCAGGCATTTGGGATATAGCAGTGATCAGGATAGACAAAATTTTCTGTCCTCCTGGGTTTTATGGGATAGCATGGGGTAGGGTGAGAGGCAGAGCATAAACAAGATTGATCAAGCATAATTTGGAATCGTTTCATGTTAAAACAAAATTGCTAAGCTCTGTCTCCTTTTCTAGGTCCTTTTCTTCATTTCTCATTGAACACTTTCCCCACAATTTTACTTGAGCTGTCTTTTCTTTTTAACTGGGAATCTCCTTCAAATCCATGGAAGATGAACCTATATTACTCAAACACAGAAAGACTACTATAAAAATGAATCAGCATCCTGGTCCTATAGATTGTCTGCATAGATAATCAAATTAGAATGAGAAAGTTGTTTGGGCTCATAATGGTCTAATGTCATTGGTCAGATTGCAAAACCACAATAGCTTCAGGCTTCCATCTCCAGGATGGGCTTTGTGGTTGTGAAGGGCAGATCTTCCTTTCCTTTGGGTCTTGCTTGAAGGATACATTCATTGAGGGAACAGCTGCTATAACAAATAGGCCCCACATTTTAATGACTTTGCACAGTAGGTATATTTCTCACTAATATAATAGTTTGGCAGGCCGCTGTCCTCAGCATGGTGATTCATGCACCAGAGCTCCTTCTGTCCTGTCACTGTGCCATCGTCTGTTCAGTGGGCACATAGGAAAGAGAGTAGAGGAGTGCTACAGGGTACTAGTCCTGCTTGGAAGTAGGGTAGGCCACTGGTGCTCACATTGCAATGGCTACAACTCAGTCACATGGCTGCATGTAACTTCAAGGGAGGCTGGAAAATGTCATTTCTGGTTGGGCAGCCACTTAGTGACACCTCTACACCAGGCATAGTAGAGCATGAATTATTGGAGGAGTCTGCTGTAATCCCACCTATCAGCACTGCCACCACTTGCTTCTGTGACTTTTTTTTCTCAGCCCCATGACTGACCAATTTCCTTGATCTTTCTTTAGACAAATTGATATTCACTTGGGCTATAGTGTAGTCTCACCAGCCCATTAGCTATCCTTTTCTTTACAGTAGTCAAGTCTTCTCACATCTTTGCTAATGAGATCGTTTTGATCAGCAATTGCCTTGTGGTAGTCTTATTTCCAAAATATTTTTGGCGGAGGAGGCATCCTCAGATATTCACTGTGGGCTTAGTATGAGCTTTTGCTACTCCAAATAGTTTGTTTACTAAGGCACTAACAGGACACTGTTAAAAGATCATTACCCCTCATAGGTGAAATGGCTGGACTCTAAAACAGCATTTATAGGATGCCTTCGGGGTAGGTTTATATTTTAAACAGAAATGTTCTATGATTGAAACAATACACACACCCTTCTTAAGTTCTCTCCAACAATGCTTCCTTGCAATTCATATTATTTAGCTTTGTTTGATTTTTAAGATAGTTTGATAGTAGGGGTAAATGTTACCTTTTGGGATTTTATTAATAGTATTACTTTTTAATGAGTCTTTTGAAGTCTTTCATTATAAACAGCCTGCTTTCCCCAGAGATAATAACTTGCCATGCCAAATATTTGCATTTCACTTGAAACAAAACCAAGGGGTTGAATGTTTTAAATATAAGCAAATCTAATTCTCCTGTGTCTAGAGAAACTGTATAATGAACCATATGTATGTGGCTTAAGCAGACAGATGTGAAAGATTTCTCCCTCTCTCCTTTTATTTAAAAAACAAAACACTGGCAGAGCTCAAAATTGGCACCAAGTAGCAAACATCTCTGCTCAGCCAACAAAACCACTGGAGCTGGAGTTGATGGGGGGAGGCCTCTTTAGGGTGCATGCAAAAGTGGAGCTTTTCCTGGTCCTGGCTTCTACTTGGAAAGCTAAGGCTCCACAGCTTATTTGCCCTCATTTCTCAGTGCCTTCAGGCTTCAAAATGAGCCATTCTCAGGTGACTGACTTTTCAGATCTTTGAGAAGATTGTTGTGGTTGATTGTTGGACTGGTTCAGAAGACATGGGTCCACGCATCTGGGTCCTGCGGTGACATGGCCTCTAGCTGCTGACAGAGTGGTGCTGAGCTACCAAACAGACTCATAGGCTTCCTTTCACAAAGAACATCATAGGGCAGTGTTTCCACATCTCTTGCAATACAAGACATACCTCTGAACTTCCTCAAGCTTGCCAATAAGTAGAGCTCACACTACCTTTTAGTATCTGTGATGTACCTGCCAGGGACTATAGGTGGGATAAAGTATCTGATATGGCTCCTGTCCTTCACATTGAAACCTGGGTGAAGATGTTTAGGAACACTTTAAATGTTCAAACTGTGGTACTTACCATGACTATCATAAAGATTCATATATATTTTTTTGAGACAGGGTCTTGCTCTATCACCCAGGCTGGGGTTCAGTGGTACGATCATGGCTCACTGCAGCCTTGACCTCCTGCGCTCAGGTGACTCTCGCACCTCAGCCTCCTGAGTAGCTGGAACTACAAGTGCATGCCACCATGCTTGGCAGTTTTTAAATATTTTTTGTAGAGATGGGGATTTGCCATGTTGCCCAGGCTGGTCTCAAACTCCTAGAGTCAAGTGGTCTGCCTGCCTTGGCCTCCCAAAGTGCTGAGATTATGGGTATGAGCCAACATGCCCAGCCAAGATTCATATTTTTTAAGACGCTCAAATCACTTGGCTTAGTAAATCAATTTCAAGCATACAGCGAGAAGCAAGGGGAAAGAGATGGGGGGGTAGGTTAGCACACTTAGTGCAAACCAGTAGAAGGGCCACTCTATGGGTTACACAGAACTCATGTGCCCTCTCCCTTTGTCCTAAGGCCTTTCTAGGTTTAGGAGTAGGAACTCTCCTTGCCCACTTAAGTTTTCTTGGAAGAGGGGTTGGGTTCTCATGGGAATCTAAGAAATGAGAGCCAAGGAATGGCCCACTGGTCTGTAGGGGTGGGAGTTCTTGGCTGTTCATGCTTGTTCTACTGTTAACAGGCCTTGCCCTGGTTGTGTTAAGTTTGCTCCACTGTCCACTTATCTTTAGGCTTCTGCAGCCTTTCTTGCCCCCCCCCCCGGCTTTGTGTCCTTTCTGTACCTACCTCCCAGCTTGTGCTGATGCTTGGTTCTGGCGCCCTCATAACTTTAAGTCCCACCTACCCTTTCTCTATACTACAGCCCCACTGAGCATCTGTTTAGGGTCTACTTTCTCTTCTCATTGGCCTTGATATTTCTCATCCACATTCCCAAGAATGAGCATCTGACCTAAGCCCTTGTCAGAGCATCTCAAAGGCCAGTATACTGTGTGCCCATGAACCCTTACTCCCACTCAGGTGACGCCAGGTGTGAGGTGGGTCATGGTGCCCACACAAGGCTGCCAGGCCCACCTTTGCAGCAGAGCATGGGAACGAGCAGTGCCGTCTGTCATGGCCGTGGGTACGGCAGGTACATTGGAGGATTTGAGCAGGGGAAGAGTGTTCTGGGAAGAAGACAAACATCTTACCCCTGAGGAGTGAGCATGTGCAGTCGGAAAGCCTGCTGAGAGGAGGCTGGGGTGCGAGGCTTCTGAAGGCCAGGTGGAGGAGGTGGACTTTTCTGTTAGGCAGCAGGTCATCTCTGCAGGCTTTTAAGCAGAGGAGTTAATCACCCCCTTCTGTTCATTCCTGATTTCTGTTGTTAGAGTAGACCTGAGACCTGCCTGCTAAGAGGCCACTAATGCCACGCTGGAGTGAGGTGATGTCAAGAGGAGCTAGAAAGCAGATGGTTATGGCATTGAGGAAAGAGCACACATGGGCTGACAGGGACAGCTAAGCAGCAGCTTCATGAGCAGGAGGGAAAGGGCGTGTTCTAGGGGAGCAGCAGCTTCCATGTCAGACTCAGGAATGCAGCAGACCCAACATCCAGCTTGGAGATTTCTTCTCTTTTTCTTTTTTTTCAATGGAACTGTATTTTCGCAAAATGTTACAGATCACTTATAGCAAACAGAATGGTGATGGTCAAGGAAACTGACTCTGGGCTCCTTTTTGACCGCAGCAGCTATGTGGAAGCAGCTGCAGCTGTGATAAGGGCCGCCCAGCATGGATATTTCTGTGTCTTCGTTCACTGGGAAGTGGAGGGACAGAGCTTCCGACCCACATCCCACCTTCTTCACGAATCATCTTTGCCACCAAATCGTTGGCTCATAGGTGTCTGTTCTTGTCTTTCCTGCCCATGCCTGGCTTTTAGGTTCCTTTGCTCCAGCTCTTTCTGTCAGGGCTGACCTGGAGGGCAGTGCTCCTGTGAGTTCTCCACATTATATCATGGCCGGTAATCTAATCCAATTCAAGCTGACATTCTCCACCCTATGTTCTACCAATGGAACCTGGTCAGACATCTGGGCTCATTCAGGAAGTGCTGCTAGGGCATGGCTCTGGAATTTGGTGGGAGTATTTTGGAAGGTTGTGTGGTCTGTTTGGTTGTTTAGTGCTCGGACTGGATTTTGATTTTTTTTGCTTTACTTATTTTTACTGAGACGGAGTTTCGCTCTTGTTGCCCAGGCTGGAGTGCAATGGCGCGATCTCGGCTCGCTGCAACGTCCACCTCCCAGGTTCAAGTGATTCTCCTGCCTCAGCCTCCCGAGTAGCTGGGATTACAGGCGCCTGCCACCACACCTGGCTAATTTTTTGTATTTTTTTAGTAGAGACGGGGTTTCACCATGTTGGCTAGGTTGGTCTTGAACTCCTGACCTCAGGTGATCCACCCACCTCAGCCTCCCAAAGTTCTGGGATTACACGTGTGAACCACTGCTCTGGGCCTGTTTATTTTTATAATAATAAGAGGTTTTTGAAAAAAATTCAGATAGATGCAACCCAGTTAAAAAAAATCCCGGTATACAAAATCCTGCCTTTGAATAAGAGATTAAAAAAAGATGGTCATTATTTGCTGCCTGCAGGGGTTCACTAAGGGATATGGGTAAGTTCCCTTAGCTCGGAAAAAGGATAATAATTAATACCCGCTTACATCTCCAAAGTCTTGAGGTGCTCAAACAAGTAGGAGTGTGTGAAATGCTTTGTACATATCAAAACACTCTGTGAAATTTAAGGTATTAACTAATGGATAATGACTTCTTGAACATTTAAGAGTGGTTTGATTTACGTTTAGTAGAAACTCATCTAGTATGAAAATGATACATTTATTACAAATGATTAACAACCCTACAGCTCTCAACCTCTTTATGTAACCTTCCTTCTGACTAAAGGACCCAGATGACTTTGAGGAATAGCCTGTTTGCTGGGTGCATTCTCACTCAGCACTTCTGGAAGTATCCATTCTACAGTTAGTATTTCATCTCATTGTCCTGGCCTTCCGAAAGCACCCTTAACCCAAGGTGTGAGATATCAAAGTAATACATATTTTACTTCAGAGATGACATCTCAAGGTTTTACAGTAGCTCAACATTTTCTAGTCTCCTTTCTCTGAACATTGTCAGAGGGGAGACAGGCGTTCCTGGGAAGAATTAATTCCTGGAATGGTGTGTGTGTGTGGGTGTGGGGAATGGGAGGAGATGGCCGGCCTTCTTTTCTAGGGTTAGTGGGTGGAATTGCCCGCCCAATGATTAATTCCCTCCTTGACAGTGTGTTCAGAAGCAGGCACCTTGATGGCTCTTTAGCAGCAATACCCTCCTCTTCTTTCCTAGCCTCCTTTTGTCATAAAGCCTCATCTTTTTTATTTATTTTTATTTATTTTTTTTTTTTTGAGACAGAGTCTCACTCTGTTGCCCAGGCTGGAGTGCAGTGGTGCGACCTCTGCTCCCAGGTTCAACTTCTGCCTCCCAGGTTCAACCTCTGCCTCCCAGGTTCAAGTGATTCTCTTGCCTTAGCCTCCCGAGTAGCTGGGATTACAGGCACGCACCACCATGCCTAGCTAATTTTTGTATTTTTAGTAGAGATGGGGTTTCATCATGTCGGCCAGGCTGGTCTTGAACTCCTGACCTCGTGATCCACCTGCCTCGGCCTCCCAAAGTGCTGGGATTACTTGCGTGAGCCACTGCACCCGGCCAAGCCTCATCCTTCTGGTGTTCACCTCTTGGTCCTGTTAAGGTGGCCCTTGGCAAGTACCTCTTTAGTCTTAGGGTTCATGGGAGGGATAGAACAAAGGCCCACGCCTCCCCCTAGCATCGACATTTCCCTTCGTCTGCCAATGCCTACCATAGCTTTGTTTTCTCCCGCACTGCTTCCCTGGTTTTCTAGGCTCTTAAATCCTCAAATTTGACTTGCATGCCCTCTAGTGGCAGGTCTGATGCACCCCTTGTTACCCTGTTTATTGTGGTACCATAACAGCTGTTCTCACCACCCAGCTCTGTTACTAAATATTGTCTGTAATTCACAAATGCCAAATGAGAGGTTCAGTGGTCCTGACTTGCCACTCAAGTAGGAGCTGGAAATGTGGGATTTGAATTGGAGCTTTTGATTCCTGGATTTATACAGCATTTCAGTGTAACGGCAACAGTAAAAAAGATGTGGTTATAGTTGTTCTAGTTTCTTTTTTGTCATTTAAAAAGAATCCAGATTATTTTACTATCCACTCAGCTAATCTGAAAGAATGAAAATGTGAGGAATAGTGGAAAATAAGAATGATCATCTTTTTTTAAACCCTTTATTACAATTAGAAATTTTTTTGTCACTTACTGAGTATTCAGTATTTCATGCCTCAGTCCTGTTAACTTTGAAGAATACAAAAAATACATAAAGCATGATGTCTGCCCCTAAGTTTCTGTTCTAGTTAGATTCTAGTTATGAGGCAGTTAAATTTCTTCACCTGAGGAAAAAAATTAAGCATAACACATGATAACTTTTATTGGTGTTTAATTTTTCTACTTCTCACTAAAGACAGGTTCTCTGAGCATTTACTTTTTAATTTATTCTTACAGTCCTTTTCAGTGGAGAGGGAACTACAGGATAACAGCAGTTACCCCGACGAACCCTGGAGGATAACAGAAGAACAGCGCGAGTACTATGTCAATCAGTTCCGATCCCTTCAGCCAGACCCAAGCTCTTTCATTTCAGGTAAGAATGTGGGCTCCCTAGGCATCACTCTCACCAGAACATAGCCACCATCTTGAGAAATCATTCACGCAAAATGAGTATGGCAGCCTTCTGTGATTTCAGTTTGTTTTTCATCTAAAGTCGAATTTCTTATCAGATGTAAACCATGCAGAAGAAAAGTTGCCAATGACGTTTGGAAAATTATATTTCCATTTCAAAGGGCTTAAGTGGGAATTTGGGGGCAACTTGGCCCAGACCCTGCACCTTATCAGCTGAGGCAGTTCTTGAAATGCTAGCGTGTCGCCCCAAGGGGCCACCTCTCATTGCTTCCTCGTTATATTAGAGCTCGGGCAAGGACAGAATGTGGCCTCCTAAGGAGTTGGTGTCACAAGTCTTTTTATGTTATATGTGCCTTCAAACTTCAAACTCAGGCTCGTTTTCTTTGGCTCAAATGTTTGTCCTCCAGTTTTTCTGAGAGAAATTAAAATGGGGGAGGAAAATTGGCCAGTGCTTTCCCACTTGTCAGTTCTTCTGGGTTGTCTTCAGATATATAGATTCCTGTTGAGTTCTCATGTAAAATTCAAGCTCAGAGGAACTGGTTTAATGCCAGTGTGGCTACATTTTACCAGGCTGAAAGACTAACAGTGAAATAGTAGAGTCTAGAAGAAAAATTCATAAAGCTTTCTTTTTAGACTTTAAAATTTGAAGAATAACAATATGTCCTTAATAATTGTAACCTGCCATATTGAAGTGTGGGCAAAGATTAGTTTTATCTTGTGAAATGAGGCACATAATTGAAATATACTTGTATAAGTAATTGCAAACATCATTTACTGATTGGTGGTAATGGCTTTATTGACGGCAGAATAGTACAGATACAACAAATTAATGTTGACGTCATGATTAAGGAAAATAAGCAGAAACCCATATTGCACGATTTGACCACTTGCTAACCTTACCCCGTGCTCAGGTGAGTTTCTTTACGACATGTGCAGATATTTAGCCAAATACAAACAGGTACTTGTTAGAAATGTTTTTGTTTTCTTTTAACTTTTGTATCTTGCAGAATTTCAGATATAGACACAACTAGTCTGGCTGATACAACAAACCTCTGTGTACCTATCACATAGCCCCAATGATTTTCTCTTACCTACAGTTAACACATAAGGTTGTTTCAGTCAGTCAATGATGGCGGTACCATAACAGTATCACGGAGCTGAAAAATTCCAGCTCCATTAATCACCTAGTGATGCTGTAGCCATCATGATGTTGTAGCACAAGGCAGTGCTCACATAAATGTGATGATGCTGGTAAAAACAAATCTGTGCTACCAGTCGTATAAAAGCCTAGCACATATGATTATGTACAGTATATAATACTTAATAATAAATGGCTATTATTAGCTTATTATGTATTTATTATGCTATACTTTTTTTCTTTCTTTTCTTTTTTGAGATGGAGTCTTGCTCTGTCGCCCAGGCTGGAGTGCAATGGCACGATCTTGGCTCACTGCAGCCTCCGCCTCCCGGGTTCAAATGATTCTTCTGCCTCAGCCTCCCGAGTAGCTGGGACTACAGGTGCATGCCCCACACCAGGCTAATTTTTGTATTTTTAGTAGAGACGGGGTTTCACCATGTTGGCCAGGCTGCTCTCAAACCCCTGACCTCGTGATCCACCCACCTCAGCCTCCCAAAGTGCTGGGATTGCAGGCATGAGCCACCGCACCTGGCCTTTTATTATGCTATACTTTTATTGTTATTTTAGAGTATACTCTTACTTATATATAAAAAAAAGTTAACTGTAAAACAGCCTCAGGCAGGAACTTCAGGAGGTATTCCAGAAGAAGGCATTGTTATCCTAGGAGGCGGCAGCTACCTGCAGGTTATTGTCCTCTTCTAGTCACCTCCACAGTATAGAGGTGGAAGACAGTGTTATTGATGGTCCTGACCTTGTGAAGGTCTAGGCTGATAAGTGTTTGTGTTTCAGTTTTTAACCAAAAAGTTTATACGTGTTTGTGTTTCAGTATTTAACCAAAAAGTTTAAATGGTAAAAAAATTAAAAATTTTAAAAATAGAATAATAGAATAAAGATATAAAGAAAGAAAATATTTTTGTACAGCTGTGCAATTTTTTTAAATTTTTAAATTTTTGTGGGTACATAGGTGTATATATTTATGGGGTACATGAGATGTTTTGATACAGGCACACAATATGAAATAAGCACATCATGAAGAATGGGGTATCCATTTCCTCAAGCATTTATCTATTAAGTTGAAAACAATTTGACTACACTCTTAAGTTATTTTAAAATTGTACAGTGTGTTTTTGTTTTAAGCCAAGTGTTATTACAATGGAGTCAAGAAGGTTAAAATAAATTTTAAAGTTTATGAAGTAAAAACTTACACTCTAAGGTTAATTTATTATTGATGAAAGGATTTTTTTTTTTGGTAAATTTAGTGTAGCCTGAGTGTGCAGTATTTATAAAGTCTACAGTAGTGTACAGTAATGTCCTAGGCCTTCACAGTCACTCACCACTCACTCTCTGACTTACCTAGAGCAACTTCCAGTCCTGCAAGCTCCATTCATGGTAAGGGACCTACAAAGGTGAACCATTTTTCATCTTTTATACCATATTTTTACTCTGCCTTTTCTATGTTTCTTCTTTCTTTCTTCCTTTCTTCCTTTCTTTCTTTCTTTCTTTCTTTCTTTCTTTCTTTCTTTCTTTCTTTCTTTCTTTTTTTTTTTTTTTTGACAGGGTCTTACTCTGTGCCTAGGCTGGAGTGCAGTGATGTGATCTCGGCTCACTGCAGCCTTGACCTCCTGGGCTCAAGTGATCCTCCCACCTCAGCCTCCCTAGTAGCTGGGACTGCAGGTGCACATCACTATGCCTTGCCTGGCTAATTTTTTTGTAGAGAGGAGGTCTCACTATGTTGCCCAGGCTGTTTTCTATATTTAGTTGTGTTTAGATACACAAATAGTTACTATTGTGTCCCAACTGCCTATAGTATTCAGTACAGGAACATGCCGTACAGGTTTGTAGCCTAGGAGCAATAGGTTCTACCATCTAGCCTAGGTGTATAGTAGGCTATACCATCTAGGTTTGTGTAAGTACACCCTGTGCTGTTCGCACAATGAGGAAATCACCTCATGATGCATTTCTCAGAACGTATCCCTTTTTCTAGAAATGGAATCTCATAATATGTGGTCTTTTGTGTCTCTTTCATTTAGCATAATGTTTTAGTTTTTTTTTTAATTAAAACATTTGTGTGGGTACATAGGTGTATATATTTATGGGGTATGTGACATGTTTTGATGCAGACATGCAATACATAATAATCACATCATGGTAAATGGGGTATCCATCCCCTCAAGCATTTATCCTTTGAGTTACAAACAATCCAGTTACATTCTTTAAGTTATTTAAAATATACAATTAAGTTATTGACTATAGTCACCCTATTGTGCTATCAAGTAGTAGGTCTTAGTCATTCTTTCTAACTAGTTTTTTGTACCCATTAGCAATCCCCGCCTCGCCCCTACTCTCTCCCTGCCACTACCCCTCACAGCCTCTGGTAACCTTCCTTCTACTCTCTGTGTCCATGAGTTCAATCATTTTGATTTTTAGATCCCACAAATGAGAACATGCGATGTTTGTCTTTCTGTGACTGGCTTATTTCACTTAACATAATGATCTCCAGTTCCATCCATGTTGTTGCAAATGATTGGATCTCATTATTTTTTTTTAATGGCTGAATAGTACCCCACTGTGTATACATACCACATTTTCTTTATTCATCTGTCAATGGACACATAGGTTGCCTCCAAATCTCAGCTATTGTAAACAGTGCTGCAGCAAACATAGGAGTGCACATATTTCTTTGATACACTGATTTCCTTTCTTTTAGGTATATACCCAGTAGTGGGATTGCTGGGTCATATGGTAGCTCTAATTGTAGTTTTCTGAGGAACTTCCAAACTGTTCTCCATAGTGGTTGTACTAATTCCCACCAACAGTTAGCATAATGTTTTAAAGGCTCATTCATGTTGTATGTACCAGAATTTCATTCCTTTTTATGGCTGAATAATTCCATTATATCAGTACATCCCATTTTATTTATCCATTCATCAGTTGATAGGCATATGGTGTTCTTCCACTTTTGGAGTATTAAGAATAATGCTGATTTGAATATTTGTGTACCAGTTTTTATGTGAACATATATTTTTATTTCTTTTGAATACATACCTAGGAGTGGAATTGCTAGATCAAACTGTACTGGGAGCTGAAAGCATTCAAATTCAATCTCAGTAAGGTCTAACATTTCAAGAACAGCTGGGTCTTGCAGTTATGTAACATGTAAAGTGGAATGATTGCCTGATTTCAGTTGATACAGGTAAATCAACAATGAAGGAAGAAAGATTCCTGGATAAGTTTCTCAAAATGCCACTAGGAATTCTTAAATCTCACCAAAAGCTTTCCCAAGATGTCTGTCTTATCTCTGTGTGGTGTGATCAATGGTATTAATTTTCTTCTTTTTGGTCAGTTTTCTATTACTTTTCTATTTGAAATTTCTATTTGAAATCTGCCAAATTTGTTCAAAGTTTTGAACTTCGTCTTCTAAATTTTTGGAAAAATTTTGCAGATTTTGGTAAAAATGAAGCAGAAATTAATTTATGTGATTTGCATCTTTCATGAGCATTATGTTATTGCTTCTTTTGCCCTATTGTAATTTACATATTTTTAAAAAAGCTATTCATGTGTTGCTTTTGGTCCCATGATTCATAATTGCTTTGAGGAATAAATATGTTTGTGGTTATACAGAAGAGATTGCTGAATGAAAAAATTGTGATTCATTTGTATATAAATGTAAAAGCTACTCTAGCTGAGTAATTAATGGTTTATTTAAACAATGGCACTTGACAGGTTCTGTGGCCAAGAACTTCTTCACCAAATCAAAGCTTTCCATTCCAGAACTCTCCTATATATGGTAAGTACAATTAATGCCATATGACATTCATACCATCATCCATAACTCATCCTTTAGTTCCTACCTTTGCATTTTTTAAAGGCTTATGTTTTGAATGATGTTTTTAACAGACTACAGGAGTGAATACAACTCAGATTTTTGTTGCTGTGAAAATTAAATGTTATATGAAAAGTACAATGAACAATGTCTGGCACGTATTAAGCACTATGAGTGTTAACTATTATTTTAAAGTAATTTCCTAATTATTATCCCCATCTCAATCCCTTTTCAGTCTAGGCAGTTGTGGGCACATGAGACTTACCATCCTGTAGATTTCATTTTCAGACTTTTCTGCTAGGTGTGATACAAGTAACCAGAGGAGCTTGACAAACTATTTTTTATATTTTATAAGGCTGAGTGAACAGAAGGTTGAGGAATATTTTGGAGTTAGGTTAGATTTGACTATTCTAGCTGCCTCTGAGCTTTGCAAATTTGGCTGGTGTTTATCAGTTGGGCCCTAATTCAGACTTGCAGCTGTGGTATCCACTGCACCTTTATGCACTCTGGTTCCAAAAGGGCTATGCTGGGATGGTCCAGATGGCTCTATTTGCATTCATGAAAATGCTTGGTGCTGCTGTAAACTCTCGGCTGTGTGTGGGCTAGTTCTTCCCCAAAACTGGGCAGGAGATCGCACTGCTATAAATATATAATTAAAAACATTATAATGTTTATATAAAGCTTTTTGCATGAGGATTTACAGAATTATGATAGGATTTAAAATTGCTTGTCATGTTTTGTGCATCTTATTGGAAAACTACTCCAATAATACTCATGCATGTCAATGTATCTGGGATTCTGAGCTGGATTTAGGTTCTTCAACAATATATACTCTGGCATAATTTTTTTGTTTTTACAAGCCTTATATTAGTTTTGTTTTTGTTTTGTTTTTTGTTTGTTTGTTTGTTTTTTTGGAGATGAGGGCTCACTCTGTCACCCAGGCTGGAGTGCAGTGACATGATTATAGCTCATTGCAGCCTCTGACTCCTAAGCTCAAGCGATCCTCCTACCTCAGCCTCCCAGCTAGCTTTTCATTTTTTTCTAGAGACAGGGTCTTGCTATGTTGACCAGTCTGGTCTTGAACTCCTTGCCTCAGGCAATCCTCCTGCCTTGGTTTCTGAAAACTCTGGGATTACAGGCATGAGCCACCATGCCCGGCCCTTATATTAGATTTTCTGGCTAGGGAAGAATAAAGAAATTATCATTTTGAAAAGAATACCATTTGTTTTGGCAGAATTCCCAGTCTAAACATTGTTGGCATGAGACCTCCTATCTTTTTGTTGAGACACGCCTATGAAAGCTGAATGGTATTCTTTCGATCTGGCGTATGAAGCAGTTTCCTGACCCCTCACTCTGGGGAACAGCTATTTCAGGGCCCCAGTGCATTCGAAATTGGAGGAGGAGGATGTAAATGGTCTAAAGGAAAGTTATGGAGCTTACCTTAGAAATATATTTTCTTTCAAATAGTAATACCTTTCTAGAATAATTTTGTATTTGTCTTATCTCTATGCTTGTCCTAACACAAGTACACTTGTCCCTGTCTACCTAAGAGATGGTTAAGCTTATGGGGTCTTAGATATAATACTTTGGCAAATAAGTTTCTTTTGTGCTGAGTAAATAGGTCTGTGCCTTTTAGTGGGAAATAATGACTGAAGTTAAGCCTGTTTGAGACTCCCCCTTTCTTCCTTTTTGTCTTATCTGGTTCCAGTCAGCTTTAGTTACTAGTTTTATCCTAAAACATAATTCATTCCATTTTTTATTGAGCTTACTTGTGTTTTCCCAGGAGGGAGTTCTCAAGCAAAGAACAGTTTGGTACAAAAATTTACGTGACTTGAAAAGTTCACGGTTTTCCTTTAAAGCTGAAAAACAAAGAGCTTATTTCTGTGCTCCAGGTAAACTGCATAATGGCTAGGACAACTATAAAATGGCTGGGGCCACCCTTCCTCTGACTGTTTTGAACACCATGTCCAGGGCTTTTCACCCCATGCAGCCTGCATTTACTGAATGACTGTGGACTTCTGGGTATCATTTTTATTTCTGTGCCATAGTTTCTTGTCCTATGTCCTCAGTGTTGTAAGACACACCAACTAGGGAACCTGAAGAATTTAAATTTTTATTTATAAAATGCTACTGATGCTGATCCCATCAATCGGCATTTTTCTTCCTCGGAGTGGCCCCCAGAGATTTCAAATGGATTTGGCTAGGAGGGTTTGGGTATCTGGTAGGGCCATCACCACAGAGTCTGGGAGTTTTATTGGCACGTTTGGGCCAAGTAACTTGTTCTGTAAGCCCCATGGTAGGTACTCATGACATTTGTTTCATTTAGGGAGCTTAGTGATGCTGACTGTGATGGAGCCCTGACCCTGCCTGAGTTCTGTGCTGCGTTTCATCTCATTGTGGCTCGGAAGAACGGCTACCCATTGCCTGAGGGCCTCCCTCCAACTCTGCAGCCAGAATACCTGCAGGCAGGTAAGGCCTCACCATCAACTGTAAACCTTAAGTACTTTTCCTCCAGGCTGTGTAAAAAACTTTTGTTTCCTGACTTTTTAATGATTGCCATTCTAACTGGTGTGAGATGATATCTCATAGTGGTTTTGATTTGCATTTCTCTGATGGCCAGTGATGATGAGCATTTCTTCATGTGTTTTTTGGCTGCATAAATGTCTTCTTTTGAGAAGTGTCTGTTCATGTCCTTCGCCCACTTTTTGATGGGGTTGTTTGTTTTTTTCTTGTAAATTTGTTTGAGTTCATTGTAGATTCTGGATATTAGCCCTTTGTCAGATGAGTAGGTTGCGAAAATTTTCTCCCATGTTGTAGGTTGCCTGTTCACTCTGATGGTAGTTTCTTTTGCTGTGCAGAAGCTCTTTAGTTTAATTAGATCCCATTTGTCAATTTTGGCTTTTGTTGCCATTGCTTTTGGTGTTTTGGACATGAAGTCCTTGCCCACGCCTATGTCCTGAATGGTAATGCCTAGGTTTTCTTCTAGGGTTTTTATGGTTTTAGGTCTAACGTTTAAATCTTTAATCCATCTTGAATTGATTTTTGTATAAGGTGTAAGGAAGGGATCCAGTTTCAGCTTTCTACATATGGCTAGCCAGTTTTCCCAGCACCATTTATTAAATAGGGAATCCTTTCCCCATTGCTTGTTTTTCTCAGGTTTGTCAAACTATGCAGCCATAAAAAATGATGAGTTCATGTCCTTTGTAGGGACATGGATGAAATTGGAAACCATCATTCTCAGTAAACTATCGCAAGAACAAAAAACCAAACACCGCATATTCTCACTCATAGGTGGGAATTGAACAATGAGATCACTTGGACACAGGAAGGGGAATATCACACTCTGGGGACTGTGGTGGGGTCGGGGGAGGGGGGAGGGATAGCATTGGGAGATATACCTAATGCTAGATGACACGTTAGTGGGTGCAGCGCACCAGCATGGCACATGTATACATATGTAACTAACCTGCACAATGTGCACATGTACCCTAAAACTTAGAGTATAATAAAAAAATAAAAAATAAAAAAACAAACAAACAAAAAAAAAAAACAAAAAAACTTTTGTTTCTTAAAATGATGTCCAGATACTTTGGGGAGTCCTTGGTATTTACAGTTATTGTTCTTTAACTGCTATTAGACTTTCACATCTCATAATGTGAGGAATAGGGCTGATCTGGGTAAGTGTGTATTACCTGTTTTTCTCATTCTATACCCTCTGGATGGATTTGAACCAAAGTCACTTACCCTTTCATGACAGTTGTGAAATAGGCAAGTACTGAACCTCCCAGCTGGTATAAAATGAAGAGGAAGATCCTGTAGAGCCAAGTGTTAACTTGGCATTTTTAGGCACACCCGAGTGTCTCCGGGTGGCCCTGGGCAATGGAGTGGAATGGAACTCTTATACCTAATTTAAAAGTCAAAAAATTAGCCGGGCGCAGTGGCTCATGCCTGTAATCCCAGCACTTTGGGAGGCCGAGGCGGGCGGATCATGAGGTCAGGAGATCGAGACCATCCTGGCTAACACGGTGAAACCCCATCTCTACTAAAAAATACAAAGAAAAAAATTAGCCGGGTGTGGTGGCGGGTGCCTGTAGTCCCAGCTACTTTGGAGGCTGAGGCAGGAGAATGGCATGAACCCGGGAGGCGGAGCTTGCAGTGAGCCGAGATCGCGCCACTGCACTCCAGCCTGGGAGAAAGAGTGAGACTCTGTCTAAAAAAAAAAAGTCAAAAAATTACATGCAGTGAAATGTGCAAAGTGTTGTCACCTTAAATGTATGCTTGATGAATTTTTGTATATGTATACACCCATGTAACTACAATCAGATGAAGATATAGAATATTCTAGCATATCAGAAGGTTAGAATAGAACTGTTATATTTCTCCTTAATAAAACAGTCTCGCTCAAATTATTGTTTTGGACCCTTTAGATGGGAAAGAGTCATGGTGAGTATAACATATGTATTAATTCCTTTGGGAGAGTAGAAAAATTAATAGTGTGTCTTGCCCTTTTCAAAGGCAAATGGGCACTGGTCTGATTTCCATTATTCATGGAAGTATAGTGCTCATTGAGAGGCCCCAGAAACAGCTGGTGCTTTCAACAACCTTTCTCACTTTTTAGGGAAGGGCTGTTAAAGAAATGAGAGCTTAGTCATGGGTGATTATTAGCAAGAGAGAGCAGTGTCTAAAGAAACTTTAATTACTTATTAGTAGAGTATGAATTTTGTGATTAGATCTGCAAAAGGCCTTAGATTATCTTGTCTAGCCCCTTCCTCATGATGACACCAGATTCAAAGTGGCAAATGTCTTATCTAAGTTTGTCTCGGGGCCTCTGACTCTCTTAAATAAAAAGTCTGTCATTTTCTGTGTTAAATAGTGAGAGGAGAGGAACTCAACCAAAGGGCAGAGGCCAAGTTTGTGGCTGCTGCTAAGTGACAGGTAAACATGTTGGGGGAAGAGTGACCCATTCTGGGATCTTCTTCAAATGTCCTCATAAAATATGTGAAGGGGAGAGTTCAGAGAGCAAAACCTACTAATTTCTGGACTTGGATTTTGCTAACAATACCTGCTTTCTGCCTATTGCAGGCTGTAACTCTAGCCTGCTGCCCTTCCTTAGATGCTTGGAAGACTCTCATGGGTCCCAGGAATTAGCTTGCAATTGAGGAGCATGGGAAACTCCTCTTTTCTCTTTGGTGTCTTTCTGTCTCCATTTCATTCTCTCCCTCGTCTTGTCTTGTCTTGTCTTTTTCTTTTCTTTTCTTTTCTTTCTGTTTCTTCTGAATCAGGGCAAAGAAGCACTGGCATTCTGGGGGCTATCTTGACGCCTACATGGCTCTCATTGCCAAGGCAGTGCGGGGTCATAGAGGAGCCCCTTTTCTTGGGATTGGAGACACATGGGGCTTTTGTCTCTCTCTAAAGGGAATTAATAGCTGGCAAAGGGCCAAGTTCTGTTCTAGGGTTATATTTAATACCTTCGCCGTGTCCTCTTTCAAGCCCTGGAGAGAGTCCTGGGTAACCTCATCTCCCATACCCACACTGAGTTTTCTGTTTGGGGGTCATGACTAGTACTGTTTTATTGTTTTGATGCCATATGGCCATGGAACCTGTGGGACATGCCATGACTCCTTATTTGATAAGTCACTTTTGTAGGTGTCCAAGTGTTTCACAGACTATTTCAAAAGTCACTGACATAACGGCTGGGTGTGGTGGCTCACACCTGTAATCTCAGCACTTTGGGAGTCCAAGGCAGGTGGATCACTGGAGGTCAGGAGTTTGAGACCAGCCTGGCCAACATGGTGAAACCCCATGCACTAAAAATACAAAAATTAAACAGATGTGGTGGCGCACACCTGTAGTCCTAGCTACTAGGGAGGCCAAGGCAGGAGAATCACTTGAACCTGGGAGGCAGAGGTTGCAGTGAGCCAAGATTGTGCCACTGCACTCCAGCCTGGGTGACAGAGCTAGACTCCTTCTCAAAAAAAAAAAAAAAAAAAGTCACTGACATAATTTTTAGACATCTGAAAGCCCTGAGCTAAAAGTATGTTAACAGGAAAGAAGTAATCTCTTGATTCCTTTCCTACTGCCAATGGCTTCTTTTGACCTGCTTATTCAGTAGAGGGGAATCTATAAAAAAGAGTGCCAATGAGCCCCATGTTTCTTCCTGGACTTTTATGGAGACTGTCAGCATGCATTTATACAGGAACAAGGGAAGAATCCATCATATACACTTCAATTAAACAAAAATTGCACATCATTTCTAGGGCTTGTGGGATTAATCTTAAATAATAATTATATAGTTCTAACAGAAAACATGAAAGAACCCATAAAACTCTATCAAACTCAGTGACGGTATATTTTAAAATGCTTTATCACCTATGTTTATCATTGTATGAAGCTTAAGAAAATGGCCAGAACCACCTAGGTCTCCTCTGTGCTTTTTTTGCTTTTCTTTGCAAAATATGAGTGATCCTATTCATTTTTTTGTTCATTTTAATGGCATCTCATTTAGTGTTTTTCTTTTTTCTTTCTTTCTTTCTTTTTTTTTTTTTTTGAGACGGAGTCTTGCTCTGTTGCCCAGGCTGGAGTGCAGTGGTGCAATCTCGGCTCACTGCAAGCTCCACCTCCTGGGTTCATGCCATTCTCCTGCCTCAGCTTCCAAAGTAGCTGGGACTACAGGCACATGCCACCATGCCCGGCTAATTTTTTGTATTTTTAGTAGAGATGGGGCTTCACCATGTTAGCCAAGATGGTCTTGATCTCCTGACCTCATGATCCACCCGCCTCGGCCTCCGAAAGTGCTGGACAACACGCCCGGCCTAGTGTTTTTTTTTTTTTTTTTAAAGCTTAACTCTTACCTTTTTCCAACTTTTTTCTAATTGATCTATATTCAGTCTTTAAAAAATCTAATCCAGTTTTTGATAAGATTGGTGAAGAGTATAAATTTGGTTGATATCTTCATGCATTCATAACTAGACAAGCTTGTTTTCTAAAATAATAATTTTTTTTTTGAGATGGAGTCTCGCTCTGTCACCCAGACTTGAGTGCAGTGGCATGATCTTGGCTCACTGCAATCTCTGCCTCCCGGGTTCAAGCAATTCTCCTGCCTCAGCCTCTCGAGTAGCTGGAACTACAGGTGCCTGCTACCATGCCTGACAGATTTTTGTATTTTAGTAGAGACGGGGTTTCACCATGTTGACCAGGCTGGTCCTGAATTTCTGGCCTCAAGTGATCCACCCACCTCGGCCTCCCAAAGTGCTGGGATTACAGGCATGAACCACCCACCACACCTGGCCTGTTTTCTAAAATAATGGAACAGGAATTGTATCTGATGCCATTTTACTTGCAATTATGGAAATAGTCCCTTTTCCCTAATAGTAAAACTTCAAGGACAGAGTTGTATTAGTTGGTGGCTTACCCGCTAGCCTTTTGATAGTTTCATCAAAAGTCTCCTTTTGATAGTTTCATCAAGAGTCTCCTTTTGATAGTTTCATCAAGAGTCTCCTTTTGATAGTTTCATCAAAAGTCTCCTTTTGATAGTTTCAGCTGGGTGGGGTGGCTCACGCCTGTAATCCCAGCACTCTGGGAAGCTGAGGCAGGAGGATCAATTGAGGTCAGGATTTTGAGACCAGCCTGGGCAGCATGGTGAAACCCTGTCTCCACCAAAAAATACAAAAATTAGCCAGGTGCGGTGGCGTGCACCTGTGGTCCCCAGCTACTCGGGTGGCTGAGGCAGGAGAATTGCTTGAACCTGGGAGGCAGAGGTTGCAGTGAGCCGAGATTGCGTCACTGCACTCCAGCCTGGGTGACAGAGTGAGATTCCATTTCAAAAATAAAATAAAATAAAAATAAAAAAATAAAAAAAGTCACCTTTTGATAGGTGATTGGGTGGGTTCTGGTAGAAATTTTTGCCATAGAGTTTGTTAAAAAATACCTATGGAGTACTTACTGCGTGAGAGGTACCACATTGTTCACTGTGGTCAGAATGCTGTATGACAGAGCTCCTACTCCCATGAACTTGTGGGCAGTTGATACGTGCCATGAAGGGGAAGTACAGGTGCAGCAAGAGGGTGCATGATCTTAGGGAAGATTTCCTTAAACGTTTGGGCTGAGATGTGAAGGCTGAGCTAAGGACTACATAGGTGAAGAAGAGAGAAGCTTAGGTTCTGGGAAGGGGGAACAGCAGGTATGCTGGGGAGGCTCTGAGAGGGGGCTTGGAGCATAGGAGGAGTGGGAATTTCAGGCCACAGTGGCTGGCGTGCACAGAACCGGGGTAGAGAGGCTGGGTTGAAGCTGAGGAAGAAGGTGGGGAACATATGACGGGCAATAATGTCACCTTATTTTAGGCAGATAAGTGACACAATCAGATTTGCTATGTGAAATGATCATGCAGGTTACTGTCCAGAGAACAGGTTTTGAGGGGCACGGGTAGAAACCAGAAGACTAAGTTGTGGTAGCTGGCCAGTCAGGAGCAGCGGGGTGCTTGCAATGGGGAGGTGACAGTGATATGGAGAGATGTGGACACCTTGGAGAGAGATTTAGCAGGTAATTGACAAAATTATAGTTTTGGAAAGTGTTAGCTTTCTTCACAGGAAGATCCGCTCATGATAAAGCATCAGTCATATAATACCAGTCAGAGCCTTGATTGATAGACTAGAAAGAGAAATCGGTGAAATTCAGACCAGAGTAAGCAAATGAACAAATTAAGGTGCTTGTACTCAACTCCATGTGGTGCTGATACTCAGACCAGTACTTCCTTACTTACTTACTGTATGTATGTATGCATGTATGTATTTATTTAAATTAGATAGACACGTAGGTAGGTAGGTAGGTAGATACAAAGACAGATGAAACAGGGTCTCACTATGTTGCCCAGGCTGGTCTCAAACTCCTGGGCTCGAGCAATCCTCCTGCCTTGGCCTCCCAAAGTGCTGTCATTACAGGTGTGAGCCACCATGCCTGGCCAATGGCCAGTACTTTACTGCAGAAGGATATTGGCATTTCAGTCCCTGATGGGAGTGGGAGGGTGGGGAAGGATTAAAAACAATGCCAATCCACTTTTCACATTTGATTCAAATTTTTTTAAACCTTGCATTACAATTTTATTTCCTAATAGCTTGTTGTGACAAATTTGATTTGTAGCTTCTGTTTATTATCTGCCACAGTCTGCTTTTCCTCTTTGGAATATTGACAAATTTTCTAGCTGTTGAGATATTTCTTTCCTAATTACTTTGTGACAAAGTAGTGAAGCAGAATCCGCTTCTAAGACATAGCCTGGTGTGAAGTAATTAGCTTACCAAGTAGCCTGATCTTTCCTCGTGTGAATTCACTCAACTACCGAAATAACAGCCAGTGTCACTATTGCATATTGAAAGAAACCCTTAATGTGATTCTTTTTTTCTTTGTTGTAAATCAGCAAGAATTTATGCTCTTATTTTTATCATTCCTGCCAACCAAGGAGATAAATATTTCGTAAAATCATGTTGGGTGCACATCATTATAAGATCTTGCCTATTTCTAACAATAGTTAAATGATGTATTTCCTTAGTTAATGTCCCTATACATTAGAAACTACACTAGTAACATAGTTAAGACTTACATATTGTGATAGTGATGGTTATTGTGGAAAATTACTATGCTATAACATGAAGTGTTCAGAGCACATACCCTTCAGCCAGACTGCTGAGAGTTCAAGTCCCTGCTCTTCCATTTATCAGCTGTATGACCTTGAGTAAGTTGCCCTGTTCTCAGTTTCATCACATGTGAAATGGGGATAATAGAAGTACTGGGTTGTCCATATAAAGAACTGAAAGTACTACCTCAGCATGATGAATGCCATATGTGGTCTATCAGAGCTAGCTGATTTTGTTGTTATATTTAACAAGCACAGAAAAGCTGATGGGAAACACTGATTACTATGGCTATAGGAAATATTCTGATATATTCTTTTTGTTTCTTCTTAGCTTTTCCTAAGCCCAAATGGGACTGTCAATTATTTGATTCTTATTCTGAGTCACTGCCGGCAAATCAACAACCTCGTGACTTGAATCGGATGGAGGTAAAAGATCTTCATATGCTAATAAATAAGGATGTGTATGGAGCTAAATCCATTGGCCTATGTTCTTTACAAATTCTGGAAAATGAACTTTTTTTTTGTTTGAAAATGAGCTTTTATAACATTTCCTTTTCATACTTGGTAATTATTAATACTTTGATGCTCAGCCTTTCAGATCTAGACACCAGATGTATCTATAATTTTTTTCCCTTTTCTCCCTAAAACTGGATGTGGTAAAGTAAGTAACATAATCTCTAGACCTTCTAGATGTGAAATGTAGATATAGCCAAACTAAGACAGAAAATTCTAGCCAAGTTATTTACTTTAACCAAGCTTTAATTCCCTAGTAAACAATTTTGATTCTATTTTTATCAGTTGGGCATTAATAAGCTATACTGAATCAGAACTGTTTTGAGAAGAGGTTTGAGAACTTTATATGAGGGCCCCAAATCACATTCGGAACTCCCTCAGGGTTTTTAGCTTTTGAACCAAATGAGGACTGATTTGGATGATCCCCAGAAGGAACTTGGAGAATTCCCCCAGTGTTGGGCCATGGATGGAAGGGCTTAGCCAAGTGCTTAGGAAGCCTTAGCTATGGATCAATAAATAGGAGTTGTTATAGTTATTGTTGTCATCACCATTGTCATTATCATCATCATCACCATTATGATTACTGTGATGACAATTTAGGATACCTGCTTTTCCCTTCCTTAAAAGATCTGGAAATGTTTAATAAATGGAGCTTTATTCACAGACTCCATAATAGTCAGAGACTATTAGAGTCCTCTGACCCTAGTTGAAACCACTGCAAGATGATAGAAGTCAAAGTCAGGGAACAGGGACATTTCTTTAATTTCTTGTGACTGTGCATGATGATTTATTCTCTCACATGAGGCCCTCATGCCTGTAGCATGTGTTATGGATGGCACCGTCTGCTCCCCTGTGAGCCAGTCAAGCCTGCCTTTCCAGTGCCCCTCTGACTAACATCTCTCTGCCATTTTGCTTCTCTTTCTTTGAGTTGTGTCCTCCATGGTACTTTCCTCAGATTTCTACTCATGGGAAAAAGACATAAAGAAAAGTCACTTCAGGAGGAATGACAGATGTGCATTTGAAGAATTTTGGTTAAAATTTTTTTTTTCTGCAGAATGCTTATGACAAAGAGAGAGATAAAATAGTTTGCCACTTTTCATGGCCCTCAGTTTACTTTGGGGCTTCTAGCAGTGTTTAAAGAGCTTTGTTTATCAAGCCAGGATGGATACATCTATGGCTCTCTGACTATGTGTGTGTGTGTGTGTGATGGGCCCCCTGCTTGCATAAAATGATGAAGTTATTAGTTGGTCTTCTTTAAAACGGCCATAAAATCTGTTACACATGCACACGTCTGTTTTACTGTTACACACACACACACACACACACACACACAGTCTCTCTCGCTTGCTCTTTCTCTCTCTCTAATGTCCTGGATGGCGTTACATATATTCACCTTTGTGGATTTTATATGCAGCTAGTTTTATATACTTTTGCATACTTTAAGTGGCCTCCTTGGGGAGGGGAGATTAAAAACTACCTAGTCTTTTTTTTTTTTTTGCCCTATCCAAAGAAGAAAGCAAAACAACAACAAAAAATCCCCTCTTTTCCAACCAAATTGTTATTTTTGAGGATGCTATGGTTTTAGACAATGAATGCAGTAAACAGAATTCAAGGACAAAGTAATAGGGTTTATTGATGGTTTGTTCATTTAAGAAGTACGGGTCAGATTGCAATAATGATTCAATATTTCATGTTCTTCTAAACTATTACTGATTGTTCTTTCTACTAGTCTTTTAATCTATCATGAATGCATGGAGTTTAATTAGATTTTGGAACCAGCCCTGTGATCGATGACTCCAGTATAGGTGGTTGTGTTCTGAACAAAGCTGCAGCTGATTTAGGTCTCACGTCATGAGAAATTGGCTTAGTGATACATCTTTTTCTAAAGACAGCAGAGCTGTTAGCCATGTACTTATTTCCATTAAGAATTACAGATGATAATTTCAAGTATATTTCTTTTTATGAGTGTCTCTTACATTACTGGATTTCTTTCTTTTTCTAAACAGCTTTATTGATAGAGACTTTACATACCATACCCATTTAAAGTATACAATTCAGTAATTTTTATTATATTAACAGTTGTTCCACCATCTCTACAGTTTAATTTTAGAAGAACATCATCAGCCCAAAGAGAAACCCAATACTCATGAGCAGTCACTTCCTATTCCACTGTCTCTGCCAGCCTCTGATAATCACTAGTCTATTTTCTGTCTCTAGATTTGCCTATTCTGGACATTTCATATAAATGGAAGCATATAGTATGTAGTGTTTTGTGACCGTATTCTTTCACTTAGTATAATGTTTTCAAGGTTCACTCAGATCATAACATGTATCAGTGCTTCATTCCTTTTTAATGCTGAATAATATTGCATTGTATGGATATGCTACATTTTGTTTGTCCATTCATCAGTTGATGGACATTTGCATTGCTTCCACTTTTGGCTATTGTAAATAATGCTGCTATGAACATAGATGTACAAGTTTTTGTGTGGGTGTGTGTTTTCGGTTCTCTCGAGTGTATACCTAGGAGTGGAGTTGTTGGATTGTATCATAACTTAACTTTCTGAGGAACCACCAAACTGCTTTCCAAAGCAACTATACTATTTTACATTCTTCCACTAGCAGTGTATGAGGGTTCCAATTTTCCCACATCCTTGTTAACACTTATTGTCTGCCTTTTTGATTTTAGACACCCTAGTGGAATGAAGTGGTATCTCATTGTGGTTTTGATTTGAGTTTCCTAATGATTAATGACGTTGAGCATCTTTTTGTGTGCTTATTAGCCATTTGTATATCTTCTTTCGCCAAGTGTCTCGTCCTTTGTCCATTTTAAAATTGCATTACTTGTCTATTGAATTGTAAGTGTTCTTGTGCTTTTGGCATCATATCTAAGAAACCATTGCCTAATATTAAATCACGAAGATGTACTTCCATGTTTTCTTCTAAGAGTTTTGTTTGTTTGTTTTTTTGTTTTGTTTTGTTTTTTGAGACGGAATCTCGCTCTGTCACCAGGCCAGAGTGCAGTGGCGTGATCTCAGCTCATTGCAACCTCTGCCTCCCGGGTTCAAGCAATTCTCCTGCCTCAGCCTCCTGAGTAGCTGGGACTACAGGTGCGTGCCACCAAGCCCAGATAATTTTTCTATTTTTAGTGGAGACGGGGTTTCACCATGTTGGCCAGGATGGTCTTGATCTCTTGACATTGTGATCCACCCACCTCGGCCTCCCATAGTGCTGGGATTACAGGCGTGAACCACTGAGCCTGGCCTCTTCTGAGAGTTTTATAGTTTTAGACCTTTACATTTAGGTGTGTGATTTTGAGTTAATTTTTGTGTATGTTCTGAGGAAGAGGTCCAACTTTATTTTTTTGTATGTGGATTTCTAGTCGTCCCAGCACCATTTATTGAAAAGATGTTTTTTTCCCCATTGAATTGTCTTGCACCCTTGTTGGAAATCAACTGACCATAGATGTAAGGGTTTATTTCTGGGTTTTCAGTTCTATTCTATTGATCTATATGTTTATGATTATGCCAGTACCACAGTGTCTTGATAATTTTAGATTTGTAGTAAGTTTTGAAATCAAGAAGTGTGAATCCTTTAACTTTTTTCTTCTTTTTCAAGAATATTTTGCTATTCTGACTTCCTTGCATTTCCATATGAAATTTAGGACAAGCTTGCCAAATTCTGACAAAGATTGCATTGAATTTGTAGATCAGTTTGGAGAGTATGGCCACCTTACCAATATTAAGTCTTCTAACTCATGAACATGAGATGTCTTTCCATTTATTTAGATATTTAATTTCTTTCAACAATTTTTTGAGATTTCTTTTTATCTACATTGCCTACTTCTAAATTATGTTATTCTCCAAAGGGGCCTGATTTATAATGCAGGTGGGAAAAGACAATGAAAGAAATGCACTGTTATGATACATTGTCTGTTCTATTGGAGATAGTAGACTTTGAATAGAAAATTATATCTGGATACTTCGTTTTAATGAGTAAATCCCAGCACTATGTGAGGCCGAGGTGGGCAGATCACGAGGTCAGGAGATTGAGACCATCCTGGCTAACACGGTGAAACCCTGTCTTTGTTAAAAATACAAAAAATTAGCCGGGCGTGGTGGCATATGCCTGTAGTCCCAGCTACTCAGGAGGCTGAGGCAGGAGAATCACTTGAACCTGGGAGGTGGAGGTTGCAGTGAGCCAAGATTGTGCCACTGCACTCCAGCCTGGGCAACAGAGCAGGACTCCATCTCAAAAAAAAGAATTACCTGAGTGAAGACTGTTAAATCTTAGACCAGTTTTCTACTGAGTAATACTTCAGTCTCTTTCTTCAGAACAGTTTAAAAACAAAAGTATTGCTTATCTCTCTGGGGTTGTTTAGGTTCTGAGAGGTAAACCAATTAACTTTTTGGAACACCAGATGGCTCCAGGCATTTACTCTCCTTCCTTCAAGATAAATGTTACAATTTATCTTTATTTAATTTGTGACTATGTTTTAAATATAAACAATATCAAAAGACATATGTTGACAAGTCTTCCTCCCATCTACCAACTCACCTTTCAATTCTTACATATCTTTCCAGAGTTTGTGTATATAAATAAAGCAAATGTGAATATATATTATTCTTGAACTTAATCTTATAGGCATTAGAGTGCATATTCTTTTCCAGCTTTGAGGTATAATTGACAAAAAATATATATTTATGATGTTTTCATCTATGTATATATTGTGAAATGATTACTGCAATCAAGCTAGTTAACATACCTGTCACCTCTCACATAGTTACCTTTTTTTGGTGTGGTGAGAACATTTAACATCAACTCCCTTAGCAGTTTTCAAGTATACCATACATTGTTATTAACTATAGTTAGAATGTGTGTTAAATTGAGAATTTACAAGAAGTAAATTTACAGTAAGTAGATTTTAAACGGTTTAAAACTAATTCATACTTGATAGATTTGGGTATTCATATTAGTGTGAGGACTTCCCCCCTGTTTGCATTAGGAGAAAATTTTAATCTGCTCATCAGTAAAATTCTTTTATCCCACAACAAGAAGGCTGGTTTAATCAGGTTTAGACACCATCTGCATGACAGATCTTGGCAAACACCCACATTGTGGGGCCACTTGTCAGAACTTCTTTGTGTTTGTGAAAAAATACATAAAGAACAGGTTTGTTCTTGGCCAAATGGACCAGAGTTGCTATGCAATTCTGTGGCTGAATCCCAGTCTGAATTCAGATTTAATACATGTGCCTTAATCTGAATCATTTTTTTCCTCTGTGTATGTAAAATTTCAATACAAATTAACATATACCTCACTAGGAACCTAAAAAAAATAAGGTAGTATTAAATGCAGGGTTTACTGCAGATGGAAATGGTGGCAAGAAATAATAGCTTTTAAGACATTTTCGGCTGGGCGCGGTGGCTCACGCCTATAATCTTAGCACTTTGGGAGGCTGAGGCGGGTGGATCACGAGGTCAGGAGATGGAGACCATCCTGGCTAACACAGTGAAAGCCCTTCTCTACTAAAAAATACAAAAAATTAGCCAGGCGTGGTGGCGGGTGCCTGTAGTCCCAGCTACTCGGGAGGCTGAGGCAGGAGAATGGTGTGAACCCGGGAGGTGGAGCTTGCAGTGAGCCGAGATCGCGCCACTGCACTCCAGCCTGGGCGACAGTGCGAGACTCTGTCTCAAAAAAAAAAAATTTTTTTTCATCATATGTGCGCATCACTTAATTTCTGTTCCAACCAGTTTAATTCATTTACTTTTCTTTTTCAAAGAAGACATCTGTTAAAGACATGGCTGACCTTCCTGTCCCTAACCAGGATGTAACTAGTGATGACAAACAAGGTAGGAGAAGAATGAGTTTTCTTCTTTAACCAGCGTTCTACCTGTTACCTTATCTACTCCTCTTGGAATGGTGGCTTCTAGAGCATATGAGGGTGGTTCTCAGCATGTAAACACATTTGGATAGACTAAGTAGTTCAAATCATTGTCATAAAACAATAGTTCACAAAGTGGTAGCAAGAGCTTGAGTGTCCAGAGTCTTCCAACTCATTGGCCCCTTAGTCATTGCTGACCCTCAGCCTACTCTTAACACCTTACACTGGAATCTGATCGTAGCAATTAGGAAATGACAGGAAGCTGAACGAATTGAGAACATGTTGTGTTTGCGGATGTGATCCCAGACATCAGTGTAAATGCACATTTGCATACAGCTCTAATCCATGAGGAAGTTCTCTTCTGGACACAGCTTCTGTCCTTAGTGTTTATCTGTTTCTTGGCTTTGTGAGTGTGGGAGTGTGACATGGAGCCCAGCTACAATTTTCCTATCTTACTGGGCAGCTGAGAAGCAGTGCAGCACAGCATTCCGTGTTAGAGCTACTCCCAGGGAAGAGTTGGCTTGGGAATATCTAGAAGTGTGGGAGGGACCCTCTCCCCCACCTCCTATACTTTGTATAGTGCTTTATAATCTACCAGGTCCTTGCTCATATACTGTCTTATTCAGTCCTCACAAAACTGAATGGAGGCTGGTAAGTTTTATCACCTGAAATTTAGAGATGAGTAAACTGAAATTCAGACACTATGAATCATTTGCCTAGTTATTAAGAAAAAGATTTGGGACAAGAACCAAGATTTTTTCTAAGCCTCAAGCCAGTATTCTGCCTGTTATTTGATATTGATTTACTACCCATGAATGAGAGGCTTATTTGAAGGGACTAAAAATCAGTGAAGCTATTTCAGGTTTTATTGTTAAGGCCTGCCATTGATTAGGCATTGTATGGGGGCTTAACATGAAAAATAAGTTTTCCATTAAGTGACAGTAATTGCATGTTCTCTATTTAAATACTTGCTTGGGAGAGACAGGTAGAACTGGACATTGTCTGCAGTAGCGTGTACTCTGACCATTCTCCTAACTGCACAGTGGAATAACTGGGCAAACTGTAAAAATATTGAAGCCTGGATTTCACTCCCAGGGATTCTCATGTCATCAGTCTGGGTGTCAGGAATGAAAGAGGGAGAAACTCCCAATACTTCCTGGTAATACTTCTCCTATCTGCTTGAGGTGCTGTCTCTGGAAAGTTGAAAATACATCTTTGCTCTTTGTAGAAGGAGAACCTATTTCCATACTCCAGGAGGTCTTTATTGTTTTAGTAAATGCTATAGCAACTTTTAGAGGTTTGTGAGACCTGTTTTTGTAAGTGATGACTAGCGATTCTTTGTTTGAATCCAATTTGCCTCAGAAATAACATTTTATAGTTTTAATTTTTTTTCCTCTTTTCTCTTTCTTTTTGCTTAAAAAACAAAACACAACTAGCTTTGAAAAGTACTATCAATGAAGCCTTACCAAAGGACGTGTCTGAGGATCCAGGTAGGAGAAAACCATTTTTGTATACTTTATATATAATTATTTTAAAATAAAAAAACAGCAAGTCAGTGAGTAGAAGATTGATACCTCTGTGATAGTGTGTCTGTTTCTCTCTATTTATTTGTCTTGTATTTTATTACAAGGAAACCTTTTGGCTTTTTACCCTTTCTCTCTTTTCAGGTATGAGAACGGGGTGATATCTTTTCAAGTTTTTAAGTTTCACTGAAAGGATCACGAAGGATCACTCCGTGTGAATATAGGGTCTTGTTACTAAGTGCAAAATTGAGAAGGCTTGAGGTTGAGATGATTTCAACAAGCCATTTTGGGTTTTGTGTAGAGTAAGGAACTTATAGGGTAGATCAATTGGAGGCCCAGAGTTGGTATTTTCCATTTCCAAAGCAGAAATCTCAAATATTTTTATTATGCTTCACCACCAGGAAGGCAACTATATGTGCTTATATATGGAGTGGATTCCAAGGAGAAAAATAAAAGTTGTCCAGTTTTTTGGAGAGTCAGACCTGTGTCTGTGGAGTCATGGAGAATGGCTGCCCCTGTGTCCGCAGCTCTCTGTTGATGGAGCCATCATTGAACCAAGTTGAATCTAGTTAAAAACAAAGTGGCTACAGAAGACATTACTATTTGGAGCTCTAGTTATAAGGACATGAAAAAAGTTGTTGCTTTCTCTTTTGCTGTTTTATTTCTTGTATATTTTTAATAAGTCAATCATGTTTGTTGTGATAAGCTAGCTATCATCCTAGGCTTATTTGTTGAACATTGGAACAGAGGAATCAATATAATGTTGAGGCTTATGCTGTGGTACAATATTTTCCAAATGTCAAGTTCATTCAGAGTTTCAAAGAGAGATGGGTGGAGGGAGAGGAAGGAGTTGGGGGAGTGGGAGAAAAATATGGTAGGGGGAAGGAGAGAGAGAGAGAACATGAGAATGAGAATAAATATGAATGAATGTGGATGATGAATTTCAATTATGGAAGCCTGAGAAGGTGTATTTTTAGGCAGCTCCCCAGTTGGTTCTGGTACATAGCCTATTTTGGGAACCACCAGCTCTGGAAGGTGATGCTACAAAATAGAAAATTAAGGTTATAGATCAACCATGACTCCAAAAGTGATGGGAATTCCCAAGCTTAATTTTGACTCTTGAAACAGATTTGAATTCATTCCTTATTGGGTGAAATGCTCTGTTAATGTAGGCCAACGCCTGGGGTCAGTTCTTTCTAGCTCTTATTTCTGGAGCTAAAGTGGATGCATTCCAGTTTTTGTAAACTTCATGTTGTAGTATTAGTAAAAGCTGTTTAAATTTGGAGTGTTAAATTGGTGCTTCTCCAACAGCCTTTGAGGATCATAACTTTTCCTACTTTTTTTTTTTTTTTTAAGGGATTTTAGCACAAGATCAAGTGTCCTCTGGGGCATGAGCTTTAGATCTCATTTTTAACATTCCTTCATTGACTAGGACATGGCATCACCAAATAAAACTTGTCAGGTGTGCCACAGCATGAGAAGTATGTCGGAATTGATTTCTCGTTGTGCCTGGCAGCATGCTATGTGTTTTCTGATTTGTTCTTCCCACTACTGCCCCTCTCTGGGTATGAGGGAGTTCCTCATCTTAAACATAGTTAATCCCTCCTTTTCTGGGAAATGTTTGGATTCCCAGTGGGAGACACAAGCGTTTCAAGGTGGTGATTTAGAATTCTGGATGGCTGTCCTTGCCATGTGGACCTCAGTTCAGTTGCTGCTTTTTGGAGGGTTAATCTCTAGGCCTGCTCCTCTTTCCATTCCCATTTCCTGGAAAGATGACATGCCTTGAGTGTTCTAGGAAGGTGGCAGTCCTTTTCCCTCTTTCCAGCTACACGAGAAGCTATGATCCACTTGTTGTAATTGCTGAGAGTGTCTATGTTAGTGGAGCCTTAAGAGATTTTTTAAACCAATATCCCATTCCAACCTAATTCAGCAGAGCACCATGCACAATGGTGGTCTTTTTCTTGATGTTTCTGGCCCATGTTGAGGTGTTTTCAGCTGGTTCACCCTCACAGTGCTGTCTTTAGACTGTTGTTGGTGATTCTAGCAGCTGCTCCATTGCCAACTATCACCCCATGTTTTTATTGGAGTAGAGCAGTTCTGTCCTTCCATTACCTGCTCCTACCTGCACCTCCTTTGCTGTCCTAGAAGAAACTAAATTTAGAAACCAGATTTCCAGGCTTAAAAAATTAGGAGCCTTTATTTATGCACTCTACAATAGTAATATTTTGCAATTCTAAAGTACGTTCAGTTTTTAAATTACTTTCACCTTATCTGTCCCTGTGAGAAAGAAACTGCATTTTTATTGCCTTTGTTTTCTAGGTGAGGAGACTGAGGTTCAGGGAAGTAACAGCTAGTTAGTGTCATGGCCAGGAGGAGGGCCTTAGTCTCAGGACTCCTGGCCTGGTCTCTAGTCCTGTCTCTCCACTACTCATCCACACCCTCACCCCATCTGTCTGTCTGTCTATCTCTTACCAGCAGGGCTCACCCCTCCTTCCACACCCATCCCTACCAGCAAAAAGACAAAGATAATGGCACTTGACAAAGGAATTAACAGTCACCATGGTCTGATTTGGGGAACAGTATTTTATCATGGCGGGGACCTCTCCTACCCATGTATTTCTTGAAAGCAGTGGGGCCTGAGGGAGAAGAGGGCCACGGAGCCAGCTGCAGGCAGCCTGCGTAGAGGGCTTCCCCAGCTCTGTGGTGAGTCTGGTCCACTCTGTCCACCCAGCCCCAAGGCAGCCTCCTGAGCTGGGAGAGAGGCTTCCTGAGGTCGCTTTCTTTGCTGCCTGGGGTTTGTAGGAGGGAGGGAGGTCTTTTTCTGTCTATATCCAGGTGTGGGTGCACGATAATGGGCAAAAGGGGACTCAAACTCCTTGGGCTTTCCAGGCTTTCCTGCACTCTGGCAGCGTTTCAGCTGTTTGAAGTTGGAAGATCTCTGTGTTCTCACTACAACAAGCCAAAATGCTTGGGTTGGGAGAAGTGTATCTCTTGTGCAGCTGACCAGTAGTTTGCTTTGTGCCTTGTTAGCATTTATGAGGATTTTCACCTCCCCTCTCTGTCCTGTTATCTAACCCAAGGATTTTAATGATCATCATAAATTCAGGCTGCTTCATACCAAGGAGGGTTTTTATCTTTGGAGCAATGTAAAAGAGGATGAGATAATGCAGTGAGACATTTTCTTTTTGGAAGAATTCATGCAGACAAAGAAATTACATTCTTCTTGTTCTGTGTTACTAGCACCTTTTCTATGATTTTTTATGACATTTTATGATGAAAAATTTGCAATGTTTGTAACACCTGAGCATAGCTACTGGTTCCTAAAGTTGTCTTCCATAGAGGATTGAAAGCATAAAAAGAGGATCAGTGTTTTTGTAAATGTTTCTAATTACTCCTCACAACTTGTGATGGGGAAGAAGGCTGTATGGGCGTTGGTAGTGAGCAAGTTAGTTTATGATTTAAATTTGATGAGGAAAAGTCATATGGCTGGGAAAAGATTCAGCGATATTGTTCATAATTCTCTGTATGATTTGGTCACAGACATGTGGGACACAAGGATATTTTCTTACAGGAGAAGCTGTATAGCTCATTTCCACTTACTTGTGAGAGCTTTGTTTTTTTGTGGCCATGCTGCTCTGGTAGTGTATTTTTTTTTTTTTAAAACGTGTAGTTAGATAGACTTCTTCCTATCCTTCAGGGTAGACTAGTTCAAAATCTATTACTAGACTATCATGATAGAACAAGAAACCCTGAAGTGTGAATCCATCATTATATAAAAAGACAACCCCCTTTCAAGGGGGTTGTCTTTTTATACTGGAATGTCTTCATTAATTAACTTGGATTTGAGAATGGCCTCTCAAATAGTGCTTGACCAAAGGAAAAATATGCTGGTTTTTCTTTCCTTTTAATCGTTTCTTTAGATTTTGAAATAAAACAAGGAAATCATGAAAATGTGGGAGCCGTCCAGTTCTCCACATGGGCACTTTTACCTCACATTTACCTGTTGATGTGTTCTGTACTAGCCCAGGTGCTGCATATAAACTTGTTTAACTGCAGAAATGAAACCCAAGCAATATCTTTGTTTCAGCAACTCCCAAGGATTCCAACAGTCTCAAAGCAAGACCAAGATCCAGGTAGTGTTCGTTTAATTTCTGCTTTAATGCCCTTTGTGCCGTGCCCCTGCCTAGAAATAAGAACCACAAACCAAAACCCAACCCATGATTTCCTCTTCCTTTAGATGTAAAGCTTAGGATATGAGCCATTTCGCTCGTGCATGGCCTGATGGGAACATGCAGTAATGCTGGGAGCCTTGGTTTCTGTGGTCATTAGTGCTAGAAGGTGACCATGAATGCCCTACGGCCCCTCAACGTGAAGTGGATTGTGTGAGACAACCCAGTTGTTGCAAGATGATAACTTATAGGGGGAAGTAGCTTTGGAAAGAGGAAAATATGGGTAAGGTAACAGACACGAAAATTTGCTATCATGACAAGGTGAACACCAAAAAGTAAAAAGTCTGGGTAATAAAATCTACAGTAGGGAAAGAAAATGCTTCTGATAACTTCAGTGAAGCTTGCAGTTTCAGGTAAGCGATGTTTATGGTCTGTTTGAGCCTATCTTAGTGCCCCTGTAAGCTTCACATTTTTTAAGAGGCTAGTACAAGAGAGAAAGCCAGTAAGGCAGAGCTGTGGTTGATGTGAGACTCAGAAGAGAGGTGCAGAGGGGAAATACAGAGACACTAATAGAATTAATCCATTAAGGAAGGGAAATGGTATTGGTACTGTATTTCACTGGTAGAACTGCAGTGTAAGATAGGATAACGAGGATACCATGTGTGTGTTTTCTGTTTTGCTTTGGCTGTTAGTGACATTTTTCCCTCCTTTGCCTACTAGACACAATCCTGAAAAAGTAAATTTAAGTCTGATCATATTTTATATGCTTGAAATACTGATATTTAAGGAACCTCATCTCTTTGTAAGTCAAAGAGTTATCCTTTAGTTTATATGTGCATTTTCCAAATTGGGGTTTTGTTTCCTTGTTTATGTAAGATACAGATATCTATATTTTTATATTTATGTGTATTTAAAAACAATAGAGTAATTCATTTAGGTAGGAAGAAAAGGTGTAGGCATTCTTTCTGTGGTCAACACATTTACTCATCCTTTGTAAAAGGATGAATGGATCTTTTACAAACTAGTCTGTACTAGTTGTGGGATATGCTTTCATAGTAGGAATTGCCTTTGAATTGCAGAAATCTGTTATGTGTACTATGTTAACCATAAATCGAACCTCAAAGTTTTAGCTTCTGCTGACTTCCTCTCTCCCTGAAAGCCAGTGAAATTATAAAATCTCATAGCCACACGTTCTGTTATTAATGTGTCTGGCTAAATTTTACATATTATCCTTTCAGAGATTGCGCTTTTGGTCTAATTTGGAGGATTTTATTTTCATTACTTCTCACTGGGAAGAAGAGAATTGAATTGTTTTTATCCTCCTTTTTGAAATAATAAAGTTTTGTAGAAATATAAGGGAAAGAGGGAAAATCACCATTTTAACACCACTGCATTCATCATTTTGTTAACTCCCTGCACATTTATGTTTTAATTGGTTGCAGCAGTCATGGTTATACAATCTCACTTATTTTATATTCAGTAACTTTCCATATGAAGATATAAACATACAGGTTATATATGAAAATAAAATGAAAATGAGGAATGTGCGCTGTGGGATTGTGTGCTTAACAGTGTGCACGCATACACATTATTTACACACACATTATTTCTTTTTTGAGTGAAAGATGTCACTAAAGCTATATGTGGCATAGAAAGCTCTTTTCATTTCTAGCTAGGGTCTCTAATTGTCTTTTTTAAGTGAAGTGTTCCCATTTAAGAACCTTGTCCTTCCGTATCAGTTCCCTTTGATTCTTGTTGAAAGAGCCAGAGCATTCTTCCCTGCTAGTTTCTGCCTGTTGCTGCCTTGCCTGTCTTGCCAGTTATGTTACAGGGACCACCCCAGAACACGTCACATGCCATTATGGTGGCTTTATTAAAGTTACAACCTTGTAAGACAGACAGAACCCTCAACTACCACAAAGAATCCTTGAGAAATTTATTCAGGAAAATAAAAACTCACAATGTCAAAAACAGCTCTGTCAAGAACTGAAGGGGTTTAATAGTAACTGATATATTCTAACTTCATAAATGCCACTCTAATAGCTAAGTACGAAGAAGGTTTTCAGAGGTTAATTTGTCTCTCTAGGATGTACCTCTGACTCAGAGGTCGTTTTCTGCTTTGACATGAAGCTAGTTGAGAAGCTAAATAAAACAGATGTATACATCTACATCTTAGGGCCTTTTCGTGATCATCGTATTGGGAACCCGTCCTTAAACCTATTCCTAAGCAGTGTATGGAGTTGAATTTTATTTGGAAAGTAAGTAGGTCTCCAATAAATATTCTAGTTGCTATCACCAAAGTATTCCCCCGCCAACTCATAGGCAGTATGAGAACATTTTAAAAATGGGATATAGAAACAGAGATTGGAGTTTGAATCGAACTGTGTAACTTTCTATCTGACCTTTTGCAAGTTATTTAGTTCCTTTTTAAAAAGATGATATTACCAGAGTTACAATCTCAGAAGTTGCCTAGTTAATTATGCCTTGCTATAGATTGAGGAAGAAGGTTGAAAATGAGACTTTTGCTTTCTCAGGGAAAGACAAGCTAGACCCCTCAATCTGATTGATGTGTGTTTTCCTTTCCCAGCTTCGTTTGTGGCATATTCCCCTGAACATTGAATTCTTACCCTCAGCTTATCTGTCCCAATTCCACATGAGCCTGTCATCACATTTGCAAGTGAACAGGAGAAAAGTTCTCTGATCAGTTTATACCATGAAATACCATGAAGCCCTTCTGTTAGAACATGGAAATGCCTAAGCTGAGGGGCTCCATATTATTCTTATTAACAATTCCAATAGAAATGGATTTGAATTTACACAAAGTTTTTTTTGGGGGGTTGATTCAGATCTAAGGTATAATAAGAACAAAGAGGTTGAAAAGATCCCAATTCATAGTTGGATTTGGACAATTATTGTACATAGTGGCATTCAATGGGTAATAGAATTTATGGCTGCTTTGGTAGCTCATCGGTTCTTTGTAGTCACTTTGACTTCGTGGGTATTTTCCATTTCACCCCAACTTCAGAGAGTAAAGCTTTGCTATTTCGCTTCTGACCTTCCCTTATTTTGCTACAGATCTTACTCTAGCACCTCCATAGAAGAGGCCATGAAAAGGGGCGAGGACCCTCCCACCCCGCCACCTCGGCCACAGAAAACCCATTCCAGAGCCTCCTCCTTGGATCTGAATAAAGTCTTCCAGCCCAGTGTGCCAGGTGAAGTGCCCCTTGCCCCCTGAGCCCTTCCATTTCCTGTTGGAGCCAGCGGATGTGTGTCTGCCACAGTGGCCTCTGTGAGTCCGGAGAAAGAGCAGACCTGGCAGTTTCGCATTCCGTGAAGGTCTTCACGTGGCTATGGTATTCTTGGGAGAGAAAGCAATTCTAGACACATATGTAGCACATGTGTCTGGAGCCTTGCCCACACTTGTTATGGATCAAGAATTAGGAAATTCTCTACCAAGAGGATAAAAATGCTTCACTCCCATGCAGCCTGCTGAGTGTGTGGCTGGGGTCTTACTCTCTGCATCATTGGTAATTTGTGAACAAGATAGATCGCTGTCTGTCATTTCCTCAGATGCCTGTGTGGTCTTCTATGAAAGATCTTGGAGATTAAGGCCTAGCCAGAACCTTCTCCTGCATTTTACACTTATGGAGAAGATCCTGTGTCCTGTAGGATTTAATGCTGAGGGGACTCTGAATCTGACTGATGGTTGGGTGGTTGGTGGAGGGTCCTAGGGCAAGGGCTCCTTCAGGTGGGCTGCTCTGGGCTTCTGGGGATGGGATGTTCTTGAGCCCGCAGTTGTGTAGTGGGGCTGGAGGTGGGGGAGGCCCAGAGGGGCCCTGTCTGCTCCCTTGGCTTCCTGTGAAGTAGAAGATACCCTCCTAAGGAACCTAAGGAATAGAAGATGGGAGGCATGCCTTTGCTTTAGTGAAGGTGATAGGATACGGTGCTGTCCCAAGTGTTATTTTGGGAGCAGCAAGGGCCTTTCCACTGACTCATGCAGGCAAGCTATAAATACAATGATTTCCTGGAACTTTTTCTCCATCTATGTGCATTTTAAATCAGGCCAGCCTCAGATGCTAGTGATTTGCAGATTATTATCTTTTCTGCTAAAGCAAGAAAAGACTTTCCTTGGCTCACACATTAGCATGACCTCTGTGTCTGGGCAGAGCTCAGCATGTTTTATTTGTTCTAATAAAGTATTCTCCTCACAGTAAAGTTATAGATTGTTTTTTAATATACTAAAATCTGGAACTCTCTATCAAATTTAATTCTGTGCCATGAGTTCATCAGACAAAAATTTGCCTTGAATTTCCTCTCATACTTTGATCTGAATTCTGGCATAAATTTCATAGTGACTGGTATGTAGGGTGGGAGTAACCACAGGTGATGATGCTATAAAAATTTCACATGGCTGGCGGATTATGACCTGGAAGATTTTCCTATGGATGCGAGAAAATTAAAACAATCTGGGAAGCTATCTCAGTACCTTTACCTTGCAAGAAGGGAGGCTGGAAATGCTCACAGGTCTCTCTCAGGTTGTGTGACCCAGTAAGGAGATGCCAGCTGTACTGGAGAATTCACATGCTGTGGTTTTTACGACACTGCATCACATAGTGGAAGAGACAAAACTGGGTTTGGAGCTCAGCTCAGCTGCTTATTCACTGTTTGATTTTCAGCAAGTAGCTTAATGTTTATGCATCTCAGATTCCTAATCTGTACAGTAGAGCCAATACTCCATGGAGTTGTAAGGTTTTGGTGAGATAATAAACATAATCCAAATATGGGTTGAATATTCCTTATCCAAAATACTTGGGGTCACAAGTGTTTCAGGCTTTGGATATTTTTGGATTTTGGAATATTTGCATTATATGCTTACCAATTGAGCATATAATAAAAAAATCTGAAATGCTTCAATGACCATTTCCTTTGAGTGTCATGTTGGCACTAAAAAGTTTAGGGTTTTATAGCATTTTGGATTTTGGATTTTTGGGATTAGGGATACTCAACCTGTAGTACTGTATTTGGCCCACAGGCCTTAGTAAGCATGTAAGGCCCATATTCCCGTGGCCTGCAAGTATCAAGAATTTAATGCCTGAAATGGCAAGCCTCCACCGAGGAGGATAACACCCCGACTTCCTTGACCCCTAGCAGACAATTCTGTGATTCCTCCTACCCAGTTTCTCAGAAGGCTCGCAAAAGGACTGAACCCCAGTTGCCTGCCGTAGTACACCATTCATTGATGTACTTTTTCTTGTTTTGCTTCCCTCCTGCCCTGTCTCACTTTCCCCTCACTCGAATAATATACCTGTTCTCAAGTTCATATGTCAGGGGCTTCTTTAGAGAAAACCTGAATTAAGACAGCTTTCTTTGATATCTCTGTGTCAATGTGACTTCAAGATGAAAAGTATTTTGGTTTGATAATGCCCTGACGATCTCCCTTGTGGTAGGGCCTGATAAATCTAAGATTTAGACAAATAATAGCTAGGTGGGTGATGTCTCTGTTCATAGCCTAATTCCATTGTCTTTTCAGTACAAATTTATACAGATGAAATTTTAATGAGCAGTTTAAATTTATCACATGAAGAATAGAACATTTCTGCAGTATGAAAAGCAGGTGGTATAATTGCATCTACTTTATTTATTTTCATGTTGGTTAATTCTCACAGAAAAGTATAAGGGTCTGTCTAAATTATATAAAATTTTAGTGTATTGCATATTGCTAGAAATTATCGAAATGCTGACAAACTAGAAATGCATGAAATAGAGCTTAAACCTACCAGAAGAGTCTACTCACTGAGAATCATGGTGTACATTTAGGCATCCCTTTGCTGCACTTATCTTTATGTATCACTTTAGATAAATGGGATCACACTATGCTTGCTGTTCTGTATCCTGATCTTTCCAATTAACCATCTTTCTATTTCATATAGAGGATTGCACCGTTCCCTTTAAGGTGTGCATGATATGGATATACCATGGTTGACTGTGCTTTGATGGAGAGATCTCTCCCTTCTTCTCTCTGCCTTTTCTCTTCCCCATACTTTCCTCTTAAGCTCACCCACCACCCCACGACCCCAGCCCCCGTTCCTTTCTCACCCTTGCAAACAAACCTCTCTCTCTCTCCACCCCGACCCCCGTGTCCTCTTCATACCCCTCTGTTTCTCTTTTTGTCCTTCTCCCCCATCACTCCTTCACAGGTATGAGCCTCCCCTCACTCTCCCCTTGCCAAGCTCCCCCACACCACCACCTTGTTCTTATAATATAAACGAGGCAGAGGTTATTAATAATTTCATGTCCGTATCTTTGTTTCATCATCTAATTATTTTCTTAGGTTAAATCCTGCTGGTTGGAGTTGCAGGGTCAAAGGCTGTAGATGTTTAAAGTGTAGCTATATGTTGCCAAAGGGTGAGGTGGAACACCTGTCAACTTGCTCCATCATCAACACTGTCTGAAAGTGTTTCCTCACAATCTTGCCAACACTGCTTCATGTTCATCTTTTTAATCATTACCTGTGTAATAGGCAGTTTCATGTCCCTGATTCCTAGTGAGGCTGAGAATCTTTTTGTATTGTTATTGGCCATAAATATTCCTTCTCTTATGATTTGCCTGCTCAGAAGGCTTGGCCAGCTTCTGTTGCTACATCTCTCTTTGCCTAACCACGGGGACCACTTCTTTCTTCTTCATTTTGCCTACGTTCTGGACCTCCCTCCTGTCAGGCACTTGGGAATGTGAGGGTGGCCATGGGGAAGCCTACCTCACCTGCTGCTGTGCTGTTCCTTGTCCCTCCAGCCCCGCCCCCCATATCCCCTCCTTCTGCCAACTTTATCACTTAAGACAGACTGCCTGGGTCACCCTGTTTATGACAATAGAAGAATAAGGAAAGGTAAAGAAAAGAGGGGAAAATAATGTGAGATGAAGCAAGATGTGGACTTGAGTTGAAAGGGAAAGATAAAATGAAGCCCTTGTTTAATAAAATGAGACTCAGGATTGTGAAAAGCAGTGATTGAAGCTAAGGTGCTGATACAGAGTGGCTTAAAGTGGAGTGATAGTGTGGAAAGGAAATAGGATGGAGAGAAGATGCAAAGAAAAATGAAAGGAAAATGAAGGGAAAGATGGGATGGTTGTTACATAGGAGTGATGATGTTTATCCAAAGGAATAAGCAGGAAATAGAATAAAAAATTGTAGAACCAATGGAAGGAGAGTCCACAGACTCTTGGTGTAGGATTCAAGCAGCATTTAAAGGAATAGCTTAGAAGTAGGTGGCATTAATGCCTTTACATTTATGAAAATAGGTAACATGATATGGGGAAAAAGAACAAAGGGCTGATTTAGAATGTAAATCTATAAAAATGAATAAGGCCAACTTTGGAAATATAGAACAGTTGGCTTCAACTTTGGTGTCTGTAAAGAGAGTGTGAATGTGTGATTTATAGTAGCCTAGATGATTCCAGGGCTCTCTAGGTACTGGCATCAGACCCGAGGCATGTGTTTTCATAAGGAGAAGCGGATACACTATGATCGCTGTGTGTAACAGGGAGATCACCATTTGTAATAGCTGACCCAGTTCTTGGAGCCATTGCCTCACAGTCCCACACAGCTGCTGTGTTTGAGAGATAGCAAAAATGTGCAAGAAAGTCTAAGTCAGTGACAATGCAAGTATGCAAAACCTAGAGGCAGTCAGACCTGGAATTTGCTCAGTGATGTTTGGATTTTATGTCTCTATATTTATAGCTATGAAACATCTTTTATTACTGAGATTCCTGTAAGAAAAATCACACTAAGCTGGTACCTAACCTCCTTTTCCTCAATGAAACAGTTATTTTCATGAGGTAATTTTTTTTTCATAAAAAGGGGTTTCTTCTGTCCACGGAGTCAGTAAGAACTACCCCTCTCTTCTACTCTTGATTCAGACCTGCCTCTTCTCAAAGCCATGCCTGAGGTTTGTAGCCTGAGGTTTCCATGGTGACAGTAAAAAGCCTTAGCTCTGCCTTGTTCCAGTCATTGAGCATCTGCCTGGCAGAAGGGGCAGAGATGGTGTGGAGGAGACATAGCCATTCCTTTAAAGTTTCAGACCGGGCATTTTCATCATTTCCACTCAAATCTAGCTGGGGGACCTAGGCCCATGGATAGACCTAGTTGCCAGGCAGCTGGGAAATGTAGTCCTTGGCAGGGCAGCCATTTCCCAGAAATACGTTTCTTACTGCAAAAAAGGAGAAGGGGATGTTGATGGTCAGTTGTTTTTTTTTAAAACCACATCCCATATGGCCAAATACATTGAGATTCACACATTAAAACCATTGTGATGGCTGAACAGAACACATCCAGGGCTAGTGTCTGTCCATGGGTAGCTAATTTCCTATCTCTGCTTTAGATATACTGATAATAACAACTCATTCCATGGTTAAGAGACTATGGTACATCCATCCTATGGAATTGTATGAAGCTGTTAAAAAGAACAGGCACGTATACTACATGGAGAGCTATCTCGGATAAATTAAGTGACAAAAGTATGATGCAGAATGTGTATGTTTATAAATGTGTAGACAATTTCAGGATGATGCTAAAGAAACTGGTAATGATAGTTGCTTCTGGGCAAGGGGAACAGTATGACTGAGGACAGGACTGGGAAACAAGCTTACTTTCTGTTGAATGCCTATTTGTATCTTTTTAATTTTGGCTCATGTACAGATGTCACCTATTATAAAAAATTTGCTTTTCACTCTTTAGCTGCAATGATGGTATCTGAAAGTACCAGAGATGTCTTTCCTGCCTGAGGTTACCTATCTCAATCTTCCCTACGATTCTGTATTCAGGGTATCTTTATGACCATCTGCTACCACCTCCTGGAATGCAGCTGAAATGACAGAAATGTTCCGAGCACTTTTTTTTTTTTTTTTTTTTTTTGAGATGAAGTCTCGTTCTGTCACCCAGGCTGGAGTGCAGTGGCGTGATCTCAGCTCACTGCAAGCTCCGTCTCCCGGGTTCATGCCCATTCTCCTGCCTCGGCCTCCCAAATAGCTGGGGACTACAGGCACCTGCCACCACGCCCTGCTAATTTTTTGTATTTTTAGTAGAGACGGGGTTTCACCGTGTTAGCCAGGATGGTCTCAATCTCCTGACCTCATGATCCACCCGCCTCAGCCTCCCAAAGTGCTGGGATTACAGGCATGAGCCACTGCGCCCAGCCCCGAGCACTCTTTTAAGCTCTGATGCGTTCTTCAGATTCCATTTCAGTGCCTTTCCAACACTGAGGAGTAGTTCTGGAGGACCTCCCAAAGATTACATTGTGAGATGTATAGTTGGGTAAAACGTCATGGTAAGGGCTCTGTCTTAACTTGGAAGTGGCTGTGTTTATTGAGTGGCGAATTGAGAAGTCTTTCCTCGGTTTTCTATAAATGAATATTTGTTTCTGTAACTTAAGAAGTAGGTAAACTCCTTGGGAGTAAGAGATGTTCCTAATACCAAACTTACCTTTCAGGTTCTCTAAAAGATGAATTTGGCCACAAAAGCAGCTCTGACCTTATATATTTCCTTACTGTATTTTTCCTGTGAGTGCTACTTGTTTCTTTTAAAATCTGGTAGGACTATGGGATTCCTGACCCACCCCAAACCTTTGGGCCCACAGTGCACAGCTATCCAAGGGTTCAATTTGGCAGTCTGGGCAGTTTTTTTGTTTTGTTTTGTTTTTTTGTTTTTTTTAAATGAAAGCGTTATTGAGATGTAACCCATATACTATAAAATTCACCTTTTTAAAGTGCACAATTCAGTGATATTTAGTATATTCATAGTGTTATATATAACTATCAGCACTATGTAATTTCAGAATATTTTCATCCCCCTCAAAAGAAACCCCATACCTATTAGCAATCATTCCCATTCCCCCCTTTTCTTCCTCTATCCCTTGGCAACCACTAACTTACTTTCTGTTTCTATGGATTTGCCCATTCCGGAATTCTGTATTAATAGAATCATATAATATGTGGTCTTTTGTGACTGGCTTCATTCACTTAGTATAATGTTCTCAAGGTTCATCCATGTTGTAGCATGAATCAATACTTCATTCCTTTTATGGCTGAATAATCTTTCATTGTATGGATAAACCACATTTTGGATATTTGGGTTGTTTCCACTTTTTGACTATTGTGAATAACTCTGCTATAGACATTCATGTCCAAGTTTTTGTGTAAACATATTTTTTCTTTCTCTTGAGTATATAGGTAGGGCTGGAATTTCTGGTTCATATGGTAACTAACTCTATGTTGAACATTTTGAGGAGCTATTGAAGTATTTTCCAGAGCAGCCAAACCAATTTATTTCATTAGCAATTTATGAGGATTCCAATTGTGTTTCTTCACGTCCTCAAAACACTTGTTATTGCCTTTTTAATTTTAGCCATCCTAGTGGGCATGAAGTGGTATTGTGATTTTGATTTGCATTTTCTAATGGCTAATGATGTTATACATCTTTTCATGTACTTATTGGTCATATTTATGTTGTCTTTGGAGAATGTTCAGAATCTTTGCTCATTTAAAAATTGGGTTGTCTTTTTATTGTTGATTTGTAAATGTTCTTTATATATTTTGCATAAAAGTTCCTTTACAGATATTTGATTTACAAATATTTTCCTTCGTTCTGTGGGTTGTCCTTTCATCTTTTTGATGGTGTCCTTTGAATCATAAAAGATTTTAATTTTGATGAGGTCTAATTTATGTATTTTGTTGCTTGTGCTTTTGCTGTCATATCTAAAAAACCATTGCTTAACTCAAGGTCACAAACACTCCTCTTTTCTTCTAAAAGTCTTATAGTTTTAGGTCTTACATTTACGTCTTCGTTCTGTTTTGAGTTAATTTTTTTATATGGCATGAGTTAGGAGTCCAAATTCATTTTTCTGCATGTGGATATACAGTTGTCCCAGTACCATTTGTTGAAAAGACTATTAATTATCCATTTAATTTTCTTGGCACCTTTGTTGAAAATCAATTAACCATAAACATAAGGATTTATTTCTGGACTCTCAGTTCTGTTCTGTTGGTCTATAGGTCTATCCTTATGCCAGTACCACAGTGTCTTGATAATTGTAGATTTATAGTAAGTTTTGAAATTGCGAAGCGTGAGTCCTCCTGCTTTATTCTTTTTCAGGATTGTTTTGGTTATTCTGAGTCCCTTGCATTTCCACATGAAATTTATGATCAGCTTGTCAATTTCTGTAAAAACAAAAAAGCCAGCTGGGATTTTGGTATGGCTTGCATTGAATTTGTATATCAGTTTGGTTAGTATTGCGGTTTTAATAACATTAAGTTGTCCAATGCATGAACACAGGATGTTTTTCCATTTATTTAGATCTTTAAGTGTCTTTCAACAATGTTTCAGTATACAAGTCTTGCATTTCTTTTGTTAAATGTATTCCTAAAAGTTTTATTCTTTTTGATATACATTATACATTATTTCTTGGAGATATCCATGTCAGTACTGATAATTTTGTATTTCTTTTATATATCATCTATATGCTGGCTGCTCTGTTAAAAACCGTATTATGAAAAATTTCAAATTTATGCAAAAGTTGAGAACCTCCACCCCCATATTATTTTGAAGCAAATCCCAAATATCATATAATTGTATATATAAACTCTTTGTATATCTCTCTAAGAGATAAGGTCTTAAAATACTTGAGCACAATACCTTTGTCATACATAACAAAATTAACAATAATTCTTTAATATCATTTAATATTTGGCCAGTGTTCCTATTTCCTGAATTGTCTCAAGTTTGTCTTTTTATACTAGTTTGTTCCATTCAGAATTCAATCGAGGGCTACATGCACATTGCACTTGTTTTGGCATATTTTAAGTCTCTTAACTGATAGGTTCTTCTCTCAGTCTTTTTTTTCCTCTTTGCTTTTCATTTATTCATAAAAAGTCATCTACCTTGTAGACTTTTTCACATTCTGTATTTTGCTGATTGTTTGTTCTTCCATCCCATGTATTTCCTATAAACTAATAGGTAGGTCTAGGCTTGATTAGAGTTAGTTTAGATTTTTGACAAGAATACTACCTAAAGATGCTGTGTACTTCTTACTGCACCACATTAAGAGATCTCTAGTGTCTAATGCCTTTATTTTTGTGGTGTTTGATTGATTAATGGGTTTACGTAGTATTGGCCTGATCCATGTGTTATGATAAAGATCCCAGCGACCTTTCAAATAATGGTTTTATCAGCTATTGATCATCATTGCCTACATCCAGTGGTGTGTCAGTGAATGTTTAACAACCGGCCACTTGCCAATTTTTATGGTGTAAACACTCCTGCCATGGCTAATTTCATTCCTACTGATGTGTTACTGAATGTGGAGTTTGGAACAGATGCACACAGTTGGCTCTCACAAGCTGGCATGAGCTTTTTCCAGCAAACCACTGCTTAGATCCATTATTTCATTGGTAGTTGCAAAATGGCGATACTCTATTTTTTCTACCTTTATTAATTGGGACTATGGTTTATTTAAGCATTTTCCTATTGTTGGACATTTAATTTGTGACTATTATGAAGCTTGTGAGCTGAAGGAGATCATAAAACATAATTCTCAGTACATCAGTAAATTCTTTATATACATCTGAATTTATAGAATTGTATGAAAACTGAAATAGACTTCAGTAATGGTGACCAGAAAAGTGTCTTATTCAACCAGTATTTAATGAGCATTTACTGGGTACTTGGCACTTTGGAGGATCCCAAGAGGGATATGGATATGCCCCCAAACTCTGCTAATCAATGTCACAGTTGTGTGTGATTGTTAGAAGGGTTTAGAGTTTGGGTGGTTGCTAACTAGAATGATCAGTGGATTTGTGGGCAGGGGGTGCACAGGGCTGGTGAGCTAAACTTTGAAGGATATGACTTTTCAGTCAAATCCTATTCTTTTTTGACATCTGTCTTGATTTACTTCTTATGACTAGTTTCCTGGGTGTCTACTATAGTAGCCTCAAATCTGGCTTGCTTGCTTTGTTCTTTCCTTCATAAAGCAACAGGATTAATTTTCTGCAGCACACCTATGATCACTTCCCTACTCAAAACTCTTCAGGACCTACTATGTAATCACCAAATTTCTGGTGGAACTGAACCCGAAGCCATGTGATTATATTAGCTCAGTAAGGGACACAGTACTGTGGCCTGGAGTGCCTGGGGAGGAGTGTATTACAGGAAGGAAGTAGAGACTAGAAGATTCAAGTTGGCTGGCTGGCCAAGAAAAATGGAGACTGGTGGAGAAGGAGTTTGTAGACGGTGTCTTTGGGAAGTCTTAGGAGAACATCCCATTAGGGTGGTAGGGTTAAGCCAGATTGCAAAAGATTGTGGCATAAGCAAGGAACTTTGGTGTGGAGAAGTTGTCATCACAAAGTCATTTTGAAATGTCGAAGGTTTAGCAGTTGTTCTGACTGTATGTCACATTTTAAAAAATAATGGTAGTGGCCAGGTGCAGTGGCTCATGCCTGTAATCTCAGCACCCTGGGAGGCCGAGGTGGGTGGATCACCTGAGGTCAGGGGTTCAAAACCAGCCTGGCCAACATGGAGAAACCCCATCTCTACTAAAAATACAAAAATTAGCCAGGCGTGGTGATGTGTGCCTCTAATCCCAGCTATTCGGGAGGCTTAGGCTTGAGCCTGGGAGGTGGAGGTTTCAGTGAGCCGAGATCGTGCCACTGCACTGCAGCCTGGGCAAGGACAGAGTGAGACTCTGTCGATAGATAGATAGATAGATAGATAGATAGATAGATAGATAGATAGATAGATAGATAAAGATACATAAGATAGATAGATAGAGGTAGAAGAGAGCCAGTTCCAAGATGATAGACTGTTTTTATAGATTGCCTTCCTCCTAACACACATTTGTATTCTCTCTCTCTCCCCCACCGCATTATTCAGCGCTAATGAAAGTGTGATGGAAACAGCTGCTAGTGAATGAATACTAACTAATCCTGAAAAAAAGATGTGTACTTCTTGAAATTTTAGTTTGATTTACCTGAAAACATATACAGAAACACAACTAGTGATTTCAACCAACCCTAGAGTTTTAATAGTAAAATGCTTAGGAGGAATGCATTTGTGTAAATGTAATATGAGAGAGGAAACCAGACACCCATCTTTGACCAAGATTGAATCTCATGCATTTTTGTCACTTAAGTCTGCCCATGTCTCCATCCAGGACCTAGTTAACCCTTATTGCGTATCCTATGGTACAGGAAAAATGAGTTATTAGTAAACATGGATAAATTTTAGAATCATGAAGTGTCAATGCTAAAAGAGAACTTGAATGTCATCTTGGCCAACTCTCACATATTACCAACAAGGAGACTAAGATCCAGGCAATATAATGGCTTTGTTCTCCATCAGAATCTTTCTTTCCTTTTTTTTTTTTTTTTTTAAGATGGAGTCTCTCTCTGTTGCCCAGGCTGGAGTGCAGTGGCGTGGTCTCGGCTCACTGCAAGCTCTGCAGGTTCACGCTGTTCTCCTGCCTCAGCCTCCCGAGTAGCTGGGACTACAGGTGCCCACCACCACGCCTGGCTAATTTTTTGTATTTTTAGTAGAGACGGGGTTTCACCATGTTAGCTAGGATGGTCTCAATCTCCTGACCTCGTGATCCACCTGCCTCGGCCTCCCAAAATGCTTGGATTACAGGTGTGAGCCACCACATCCTGCCCAGAATCTTTCGAAGTTGGGAAATCTTTGTTTAGATCTTTGTTGCAGCAGATTTGGTATCAAAGAAAGCTATCTACATTAAATTAATTTGGAGGGCACACCCTACTACTTTTCTACGGGCAATAACACTAATTAATATCTAAAGTTAAAGGATGTATTAAAGAATGAATATGGTAACCTTTGCAAGGCACTCTTCAATGTGTTTTTTTCTGTGTTTCCTTCTATGTGATTTAAAATGTTAGTAGATTTCTCTGAGGTACTTCAGGGAGATAGGAAAGGAGCTTTTGCCCTCATAGATACTTGGAAATAATATATCTATTTTCTTTTTTTAATTTCAAAAATGAAATTATTATTAAAAGCTCTAAATATAGCAAGAATATAAGACAAATAGTATACTGAACATCCAGCTTCAACAATTAATCAACTGTGTCCCATCTTGTTTCATATCTGTCTTCCCCCACATTATTAATTATACTTTTTTCTACCCTTAGCTTAAAAAAAACTTTATTGAGGTATATAGATCATAAAGTTTATCCATTTTAAGTGTAAAATTTAATGATTTCTAGTAAATTTATCAAATAGTGCAACTTTCACCATAATCCAGTTTTAGGTCATTTTCAGCACTCCAATAATACTGCACATACCTGTTTACAGTTAATCCCCATGCCCAGCCCCAGGCAACCACTAACCTATTTTGTGTTTCTGCAGATTTTCCTTTTCTGAATATTTCATATAACCGAATATACAATATGAGGTCTTTTCTGTCTGACTTTGTTTACTTAGCATGATGTTTTTGAGGTTCATTCATGTTGTATCATGTATCAGTACTTAATTCCTTTTTATTGCTGAATAGTATTCCATTATATAGCTATATCACATTTTGTTTATCCAGTCTTCAGTTTGACAGACATTTGAGTTGTTTCTGCTTTTTGTCTGTTATGAATAATGCTGCCATTAATATTTGAATACAAGTCTTTGTGTGAACATATGTTTCATTTCTCTTAGCTAGATATATAGGGGTGGAATTGCTGGGTATGTGGTAAATTTATGTTTAACTTTTTAAGAAATGGACAAATTGTTTTCTAAAGTATCTGCACCATTTTACATTCACATCAGAAATGTATGAGGGTTACTATTTCTTTATATCCTCACCCACACTTATTATTATCTTTTTGATTATCCTACATCCTAGTGTGTGTGAAGTGATATCTCACTGTGGTTTTGATTTGTATTCCCCTGATGATTAATGATGTTGAGCATCTTTTCATGTGCTTATTAGTTATTCCTGTATTTTATTTGATGAGATATTGTGTTAGTCTGTTTTCACGCTGCTGATAAAGACATACCCAAAACTGGGCAATTTACAAAAGAAAGGTTTAGTTGGACTTACAGTTCCACGTGGCCGGGGAAGCCTCACAATCATGGCAGAAGGCTAAAGGCATGTCTCACATGGTGGCAGACAGGAGAAGAGAGCTTGTACAGGGAAATTCCCATTTTTAAAACCATCAGATCTTGTGAGACCCATTCACTATCACGAGAACACCATGGGAAAGACCTGCCCCCATGGTTCAATCATCTCCCACTGGGTCCTTCCCACAACACATGGGAATTATGGGAGATACAAGATGAGATTTGGGTGGGGACACAGAGCCAAACCATGTCAGATGTCTACTCAAATCATGCTCATTAAAAAATTGGGTGTTTGTCTTATTGTTGAGTTGTATATTCTGTAATTCTTTATATATTCTGGATACAAATCCTTTATCGGATAGATGATTTGCAAATATTTTCCACAGTCTGTGACTTGTCTTTTTGTTTTCTTAATGATATGTTTTGAAGTACAGAAGTTTTGAGTTTTGACAAAGTGTAATGTTAAATTTTTTCCTTTTGGATTGTGCTTTTGATGTCATATCTGAGAAGTCTGCCTAACCCAAGGTCTTGAAGATTTTTTCTTGTTGTAAAATTTTTATAGTTTTAGCTCTTACGTTAAGATCTTGAATCCATTTTGATTTAATTTTTGTATAAGGTGTGAGGTAAGGATCTAAGTTAATCTCTTCGTATATGAATATCCAGTTATCCCAGCACTATTTGTCAAAAAATACTCTCCTTTTCCTGTTGCCTTGGCACCTTTGTTGAGAATCACTTGTCTGTTAAATATAAGGGCTTATTTTTGGACACTGCATTCTGTTCTGTTGATTTATATGTTTATTTTTATGCTAGCACTATACTGAATGTTTTTTAACACAGGGGAGTCATACATAATCTTGCAAAGAGGTAATCCCACGACTCAGAAGTCTTTAAGTATTTGCTACAATGGCATATTTTTTAGATAGTATATAGTAGCTTATTTACTTCATTTGTGGTTTGTAGCATGTTCAGAAGGATCCTTTGAGCTCCTTGAGGTTGCAGTACTTCTTTGCTTTGAAGCCTTCTGTCATGTTTATTCCCTGAATGTAGAATACCCTCTGTCTAGCTGTTTATCCTCCATCTCTGCATTTTTCTGCTCTACCTGCCCTGTAGGTTCAAAATGTGGTACTGATTACTGCTCGATAGTAGCCTTGTGTCCTTGGCAAGGTCATTTTATTTCTCCAGGTCTTAATTTTCTCATCTGTAAAGTGAAAGAATCAGATTTTATCTCACTACTTTTCTAAACTCTGTCGTTAATATTTTCCTTGTTGAACAGTTACAAGGATGTGTAAGTTAATCTCTTTTAACTGGTGAAAAAGTATATTCTGTTCCATAGAGAATTAAATGAGCTTGTATTTCGGGGGGTGGTGTGTGGTCATCAGGGGATAGAGGCAGGTATTTCTGGAAAGGTGTTCTTGGCAAACATTTTGTTACATACACTGGTGTATATGACATACATGTCCATCACTGTATGCTGGGTGATCAAGAGATATGTATAAGGTCATACATGCTTTTATGATTAGAAAGGAGAGAAAGAATGAACAATTTCTGTTACAAAGAAATAGCCATTTTTATGAACTTGCCAAGAAGAGGAATGGTCCTTACTGATGAAATCCTTAAAGCTTTGCATGTGGCTCTTTACTTGATTGATATTTAAAAGTATAGGTCCCACTGGGAGGCTCCTTTCAACATTTTCCATTCCTTGAGTGTTTTTCCCCCCTTTGGTATTCGAATGCTTTTATTTTCTTCACATAAAATATTCCTAGTTAGGGGGGATGGGAGCCCCTTTCCACAGCTGAAGTTATTCCAAGTTTTGTTCCCCCTGAAGAATCGGCTCTCTGTTCCTGAAGCTTTCAATGGCCACATCTGCTGCTTTATTTCCACTCAATAAGTTGGAATATATTTTCATTTAGTTATTGATTAGGGGCTATGTAAAAATCTGAAGGAAATTAGTAAATAGTAATGTTTATGAATAACATTTTACCTAGAAATTTCTAAGCGTAATGAAATAAGAGGATAAAAATTGTTAGAGGTTGGAGTTTTGGATGAAGGTACCAGGAAGCAGAGATCCAATAAATCAGTATCAGAATCTGCATGTCTTTCAATAAACTTAAGAAATTGTTTTAAACACTAGGAATTATTAGTCTGTCTTCTGAATTTAGGATTAAATGACAGTTTCTTTTCCTGAAGTTTTTAATGTGGTTTTCAGGATTGGGGTATTTATTATTTTCCTTTGGATTACACTTATAAAAATTTTTGGCTGGACAAAGCCTTGCTGATACCTAGTATCCCACTTTATTAACTATAACACTTGACGAATAAACCTGCAATTGCTTGACGAATATGGTCACTTTTTAAAGTATGTGGGAACAACATTCTTCTCTCGTCTTCTTGCCTTCTTTTCCCTCCCAGGAAAGCAGTTGTTACTATTAACAAGTATATTGTCATCTTTTGCAACTGCACACTAGATTATTCAGCTATTTTTTTTCTTTTTTTTTTCCTTTGCCTTCCACCATGCGATCAAAGTATTTTTTAAATTTCACTTTGCATGAAGGTGTACTTTTTCTTTTGACTGATTAGGGCATACTGGATAAAATATTTGGATCCAATTTTAAGTCAAGAGCAGACTGAAAATATTGTAAGAGAAGATTTTTAAAATTAAATTTAATTCCAATTTTCAACCACTGTGTGAGTACCTACTAAACATAAGGCAGTGTGTTTAGGTGCTGTGGGAGACAAAAAGATGAATTAGACAGAATTGATAGAATGTAGCTAGATTAATATCTCCCACCATTAAAGGAAAGGAACACAGAATTATAAATGCAAGGAAGAGATTTTTCAGCAGCAACCGAACAAGGAAAAATGCATGAGTTAATGCTATATATATATATATATATATATATATATATATAATTTTTTTTTTGGAAAGAGTGGCAACTGAGGGAAACCTGAGGCTTTGGGTGCACTTCTGACTCTGCCTGCTTCCTTGCAGAAGCTGTGTGTGTGAGTAGGCAAATCTTGAGAGTTCTCATCGAGACCCTAGGTCTAGAGCAAAGTGAAATGAATGAGTACTCGTAATTTTCCTTTTTCTTGACTAAGTGGAAATGACTTCAGGAAAGAGAGTTGGAAAAGTAAATAATCATAGCTGATATCCTGATATTGTAGAGGGGAAGGCCCAGAGCTTCATGCTGAACTGGGGACAAACTGAAGTCTGAGAAGTTCCTCCAAGGCCATTGATAGAACTCCAAGACTTAGGAGAATGCACTCTGCTGCAGGGTTTTAAAATGTTGATTATTTTGGTATTTCCTTCGTAATTCTAAATAGCATATTTGTGTAACTTCTTGTAGACTTCAATTTTTGCCATCATCTTCCCTCCCCCATTATCTTTCTCCTCCACCCTTCCAATATAGTTATATTATAATTTTGGTTAGATTAATATTTAGTGTTTATATTATTATTGTTATAGCCATGTAAGACATATAGTAAATTACTTTTTTTTTTTACTTGCACAGGTTTTTGTTTGCCTTGGAGTGAATAATCAACTTGTTTCTTTTCAAAGTACTTGCCCTTGATTCAACCACAGACGTCTTCAATTTTCCAGAGTTCCTCTTATGAAATTCTCACACCTCAGGTGTTCTGTCAGTTTCAGCTTTTTGAAGCAATAGAAACTGATTGTCTTCAATGCCTGGTACATAGTTTTCATCATGGGATCTCTCTACACTGTCATCCAAGGATTCCCTTCCTCTTTTTCCCATGTTGGATTTCTTTTATTACTGTATCCTGTGTCTTTCTCTTTCTTTGTTTACTTTCTTGTTTTGGTGAAGCACATCCTTCAGCAGCTTCCTTAGAAAGGGTGCATGGAGCTCAATTTGAGACCCTGAATGTCTAAAAATGTATTTAATTATATCATCATGCAGGCTGCTAGTCTTGGATATACAATCATCAGTTGGAAATAAGTTTTCTTTAGAATTTTGATGGAATTGTGCCAATGGATTCTAGCTTCTAATGATATATGAAGAAGTCTAAAACCATTTGGACATCTGATCCTTTGTATATGACTTGCTCTCTTCTCCTATGCCCTGCTGAAAACTTGTAAATTATTTTGACTCTAGTACTTTGAAATATCATGATATACCTTGTCATGAGTCTGTTTTCTTCCATTGTCCTGGATATTCAGTGAGTCCTTTAAATTTAGAAATTCATATTCTTCATTTCTGGGAAATTTTATTGAACCATTTAATTGATTATTTTTCCTGCTGTTTTCTCTGTTTCTCTTTGTGGATCTTTTATTTGGCTACTACCCTATTTTCTGGAAGATTTCCTCAGATTATTTTTGACCTTTCTATTCTCTTTCTGCTATCTTTTAATTTCCAAGTATTCTTTTTGTTTTGTTTTGTTTTCTGAATGTTCTTTGTAAATAGCATCCCATTATTTCATCTTAGCAAATAGCATTTCTTATGTCTTACTGAGACTTTCTCTGGTGACTCTAGTTAAAATTTCATCTGTCACTCTCTACCCCATTGTCTCTTTTCTCAGTAGAATATGAGCTTCATAAGGGTATAGCTTTTTTTTTCCCTGTTTTTCCCATGGATATTTTCCCAATACCTTGAACAATACCTCCCACATAGTTAGTGTTTAAATGTTTCTGGAATAAACTTAATGATCATTCTGATGATATTAATAATATATATTTTAACGTTTTCTCCTAGTAAAGGTCTAGTCTGTTTCTTTGAGGTCATTTCTTCCTGTTTTTATTGATCCCTACCTTAGGTTAGAACATTTTCTGCAGATATCTGGTAATACTTAGTCATCCACTTATATTTAATAATGAAGGATAAAAAGTTGCTTGGAATATATGAGCAAATTGATGGAAGTTGCCAGCTATTGGCTTCATGGTAGAATGGTCTGGCCAGGCCATCCTGTTGGAGATCCCTTGATATCAACTCTTTAGATGTCTCTTCCTGGCTGATCTGATTCTCTGGAACACATTCTCCTAATCTCTAGAAGGAAGCAGCAGTCTGGGAGCAGAAGGGAAGAAGGCTGGAAGAATCTCAGCATCCAAAGTGCATATTTTTACTGAATCTGTCTGTTTTCAGCATGGCCCTCATGCCTTCATCTGGGCCTGGTGCCTTCCCTGAAAAGAAAACTATATCTAGCATTTTGCTGGAGTGAGAAACATGCTGAAACTGTGCAGAATGTGGGAGAAAAAACTGCTCCTAAACTGCTTCAATCAGTCTTTTTTTTTTTTTTTAATGAGGATGGAACATAATCCTATAGATTTTAAGATAGTTTAAAGAACTATTTGTTGATCACTTACTGTATTTTGAGTTATCAGGTGAGACAGATATAAGGCATAGCTACTACAGCAGAGGGGACTGTAAGAGTAGGGCCCCTGAAGCCAAAAACAGCATGAAGAATAGCTAGAACCAGATCCTGAAGGGTCTTGTCAAAGTATGCCCTTTTCCTGAAGGGTAGGAAATAAATCCACTATTAGTTCATTGCTTTAGGTTTTTATTGCTTTCCTCATTTTACCCCTACATTCAGAGGTGTTTGATGCCACCAATTCCTGAGAACTGGGGGGCTTCTGTGGTACAAATTTGTTACTCCCTGCTTTCTCAGATCTGTCTAGTCAGCTATTAGTTGCTCATCTGTTTTCCCAGTTCCAAATTTAAACAAGAGCATTTAAACAGTTCTCTTCATTTTTGTGTTAATGAGTTAAGAGTGAGATTAGTTACATGTATTTGAACTGCTGTCTATACTCAAAAGTCTTTGGATAGGACATTTAATAAAACGTTGGGTCATACACAAGAAACAAGGAATTTTACACAGTATCAAGCCAAGATTTTAGTTTAAAGTGGTCCCAGGTTGATAGTACCCTCAGATTTCTGGCAGAAGCGATAGAGGGAAGAGGAATTCACTTTCCACATGCCTCAAAGTTTTCCTGTCGGTAAAGTTCCAAGGAATTTGAGTTTAGAGTCACAGGTTGCTAAGCACACTAGGAAATGAAGCACAATGAGCAAGAACAAACAGGAAATACAAAGCCCTCAGATACTGAAATTATATAAATATGTTGAAAGAAAAGAGGAAGAGGCCGGGCGCGGTGGCTCACGCCTGTAATCCCAGCACTTTGGGAGGCCGAGGCGGGCGGATCACGAGGTCAGGAGATCGAGACCATCCCGGCTAAAACGGTGAAACCCCGTCTCTACTAAAAATACAAAAAAATTAGCCGGGCGTAGTGGCGGGCGCCTGTCGTCCCAGCTACTTGGGAGGCTGAGGCAGGAGAATGGCGTGAACCCGGGAGGCGGAGCTTGCAGTGAGCCGAGATCCCGCCACTGCACTCCAGCCTGGGCGACAGAGCGAGACTCCGTCTCAAAAAAAAAAAAAAAAAAAAAAAGAAAAGAAAAGAGGAAGAAAATGAATGGCCAAGAAATTATAAAAATGAAAAAAACATTTTCAAAAAAGACCAAATAGAACTTCTAGAAAAGAACAATTCTGTAACATAAACTCGAAGACTGGATTTTGTTAGACATTAAGAACGACTAAAGAGGGAATTGGTTACTTGGACAGTAGATCGTAGAAAATTGTCTAGAACACAGTACAGTTAGAAAGCTCTTGAAGGAGAGGGGAGAGAAAAATGGTAGAAATACAACATTTAAAGAATCACTGAGAATTGACCAAAATTAATGGGTTGCTACATGGTTCAGAAATTCCAGTGAAGCTCAAGCAAGTGATAAAATGATGGTAGAGAAATACATGTGCAGACATAGGATAAAGTTTGATATTTCAGAGTACCCAAAACAAAGAGGAGATCTTAAAAGCAACCAGAGAGAAGATGGGCCATCTAACAAAAGAGTGATTTGACTGAGAGCTGGCTTCTTAATAGCAATAGTAGAAACCAGAAGGCAGTGGAATGTTACCGTCAATGTGCTGGGAGAAAATAGCTGTCAATTTAGAATTCTATACCCAATTAAATCCTCTTTCAAGAGGGGAAAAATGACTTTTCAATCAAATAAACTAAGTTTGCTACTAATAGACTTCTCAATTAAGGAAATTCTAAAAGACATACTTTAGACATCATAAAATAAACTGTAATGGAAATTAGGAAGCTTTTAGCACTGAGTGATAATATCACAAATAAAAACCTATGATATTCTACTAAAGAGGTACTTGGAAAAAATTTATAACCCTAAATGCTTACATTAGAAAATAAAAGCTACAAATTAGTGAACTAAGCAACCAATTTAAGATAGAAAAAGAACAAGATATGCCCAAAGAAAGTAAATGGAAGAAGATAAGCAGCATTAATAAAACAGAAAGCAAACATACAATACAGAGGCTCAAAAAAGTTAAAAGTTGGTTTTTTGAAAAGAGTAACAAAACTGACAAATGCCAGCTGAGATTAGTGAAGGAAAACTGGAGTATGAGGAATGGGAAAAGACAATTACACATGCAGAGATTAAAATAATAATAAGAGGGGGGTATGGACACCATTATGCTAATAAATTTGAAATTTTAGGCAATGAATAAATGCCTAGAAAAATATCATTTATCAGAATCGACTTAAGAATTAGAAAGTCTGAAAAGTCCTATAACAATTCAAGAAGCAGAATCATAGTTTAAAATCTTGTTTAAAGAAAACTCCGGGCTCAGGTGGCTCTCCTGGGAAAATTTTTATTTGATATTCAAGAAAAAATTTCCAATCTTATACAACCTATTTAAGAGTATAAACAGGGCATGGTAGGGGTTTGGGGGTGGTGCTCTCCACCTGAATGAAGCATAATAGAGGACCATATGAGAAAGGAAATCACTTGCAGGTCTCACTCATGAAGATAGTTGCAAAAATCCTAAACAAAATATCAGCTAACCAAATCTAGCAGATATAAAAAACTTACCAAGTTGAGATTATCCCAGGTCTGCAAGGGTGTTTTAATATTAGACAATCCAGAATGTAATTTACCACATTAACAAATTATAAGGAAAAAATAATACCATAATCTCAATGGCTAGAGTTACAGCTCTGATTAAAATCCAACAACAAATTATCCTGAAAAGAAGTCTCAAAATAAGGATAGGAATTTTCATAATAATCTATTTTTTTCAGGGATTATATATCTATAGTTTTATTAAGACAAAAACTGAGAGTGTGGTGTGAAGTTTACATTCAAACAAAGTTTTCAAAGAAATCTAACACATGCCTAAAAAGATTTTACAATGTAGCTCTAGATCCAAGTCTAGATAATATCAAGAACTGATGGATCTCATGACTCAAGACAGAGCATTTTGGGTATCAGTTACTTCTTAGGATTTGTTAAAAAATGGTTTTGTGTGTGTGTGTGTGTGTGTGTTTTAAAGTGAACCACTGCCCAGTATGAAAGTTTAATCTCCTGAGACCAAGGCTTTTGAAATCACTCAACTCTTGAGTCAATTCAGTGAAACTTGTGCTGTCAGTGACTGAACTCTGCCACCAATGGTTTCAGAGTTCAAAGCTCAAAAGAGAATGGCTCCAAAAGTTGTCCCAACTAAGAGCATGGGCCCTTTACTTCCCTCCTGTCTTATCTCCTCTACCACCCTCTTTCCCTTCCCCAACACCTCAGCCAGTGGCTAGGATGAACAAGCTGATATTTATAACTTTATTATTGGAAAAGAAAGGGTCTTCTAATTTCAGGAATTAGCACCTCTGAGGCAGAATGATCTGCTTGTACTGTATACTCTCCAATAAAAGACCTTCCTTCCTCAGTCAATTTCCATCTCCAAAATGGCAACTCTGGTAACTTATTAACTGGCTTAGTCCTTTGTGAGACTAAGTACATTAAGTTTAGGCAGGGAACACCATGGCTTATAGATTTCAGACATTCACAGCTTTTAAAGTCTCTCACAGTCCGTATTTATGGTGCCAGTGACATTTTTTTCAAAGGTAAAATATTCTGGACATAGAAGCAAATCATTAGTTTTCTGTTCTTTGCATTGCTTCACCATGTCCCCTATCAGGCCCCAAATTTTAATCAAAATGATGCTACCCATCTCCCTTTCCACCCTCCCCATTCCTCCCTCTCCCACATAATACACCAGTAATAGCCAAAAACTACACATTTGCTACGCTGTAAAAATGTAGAGTTAACACTATTGGGAAGAAAGTTGTGCGTTGCGGAGATGCTCTTTGATTATCTACAGTATTTTTTTGCTCTCCCACACACCCAGTTCTGCAAGTTTTGTCCTTCATAAAGGGCCCTTTGCTTTTTCTCAGCAAAGTGCAGAAAAGGTTGCCTTGAAGCACTTATCCCCCTTCCCCTCCACTGGGACGGGTGTGCAAACTATACAGCTTGGAATGGCTTTAAAACACTTGGGCTGCTGCAGGGCACAGAAACGATACTGGCTCTTCAAAGGGCATCTTCTCAAGCTACCTCTATGGTGTCAAGACAAGTAGAACTTCTTTCCTTCCCACCTGAAACCCACAGTCAGATGTGATAGAGGCTGGTACTCAGGAGAGTTAATTCTTGTCATCATCCTCTTTGGGGTAGGAATGCCACGTCAGCCTTTCCTCATAGAAGGATATGACAACCCGTGGGCATTTGACATTGACTTCCTTGGCAGGGACGAGGTCAGCCTCATCAGAATTTTTCCCTTTCATCAGGAACATGAGCTCTCCACTGGAGTCTGTAGCTCCAATAATCTGCTCCGGCTCCAAACCCTGAGCAAAGCCTCGTGGCTTTTCTGACTCTTCTTTCTTCTTCTTTGGTTTGCTCTCCTCTCCCTTATCTTCAGAATCAGAATCAGCTTTGTGCTTGCCTCCCTCTGATTTGTCTATCTCATGTGCTGTTTTCTGTGACGGCAGAAACTCATGAGGTCAGGGCAATCCAAGTTCTCTTCTGACTCCCATGTGTTGTCCTCATCTGAGAATCCCTTCCACTTTAGGAGGTACTCCACTTTGCCCTTTACCAATCGACGGTAGAGAACTTTTTCCACCACATATTCCTGTTCCTCCTCTTCTAGCACCTCCTCCACTTTCTTCTTGTTTTGTTTTTTCTCCATAGCGTGTGTGTAAAGGGTGATGCTGCTCAGAGCAGTGCCCAGGAGCCGGAAAGGAATCGGTGCTGCGCTATTGGCGCATTGGGTCGGCCAGGGCAGTGGCGCTCAGAAAAGCAGCAAGGGTAGCTGCAAAGGAGCCCCTTGCTGAAATGGTGTACCGCAGGCCTCGGCTAATGGCCCTCCTCTCAGCCGAACAAAAGAGCCCTGCACTCTGTGCTGCCCACTGCCCACTGCCTGCACCGCCTTCATAATCTATTAAAGGGTATCTACAACATACCTACAGCAAACACCAACACCATACCTTATGGTGAGCTAGTAAATGCTCCCCTTTGAGATCAAGAGAAGACAAGAATGCCCATTATCACCATTTAAATTCAACTTTTACAGTAGATAATTCTAACTAGGTAAGACTGGAAAAATAAAAAACGTGGCAAAGGTACTGAAAAGAGGAAACAAAGCTGCTCTTAGTATTTGTTTAATATGGTTGGGCACAGTGGCTCATACCTGTAATCCCAACACTTTAGGAGGCCGAGGTGGGAGGATTGCTTGAGCCCAGGAGTTTGAGACTGCAGTGTTAATGATCATGCCACTGCACTCCAGCCTGGGCAACAGAGTGATATCCTGTCAAGTATAATATTTTTGATATAAATGTGGGGGCTTCCCCCCAAAAAATGCTCTCAGAATTTAATGAGGAAAATAACCTATGCCAACTCTTGTTTTTTTTTCTTTTTCTTTTTCTTTCTTTTTTTTTTTTTTTGAGATGGAGTCTGGCTCTGTCACCCAGGCTGGAGTGCAGTGGTGTGATCTCGGCTCACTGAAAGCTCCACCTCTCGGGTTCACGCCATTCTCCTGCCTCAGCCTCCCAAATAGCTGGGACTACAGGCGCCCGCCACCATGCCTGGCTAATTTTTTTTTGTTTTTGTATTTTTAGTAGAGATGGGGTTTCACTGTGTTAGCCAGGATGGTCTCGATCTCCTGACCTCATGATCTGCCCGCCTTGGCCTCCCAAAGTGCTGGGATTACAAGCGTGAGCCATCGCGCCAGGCCTCTATGCCAACTCTTACAATGAGAGATTCAGAATGAACAACGGACACATACCTGTGATACTGTTTTGTTGCTTGAAGCTCAATTGTGAGAAATTAAAACAATTCCATATTAAATGGCCTCAGTCTTTTACCCTATTTCTTCTTCATATTTGGGGCAATTTCTGATAAACCACAATAAATGATGTTGTAGGTGACATGCTTTTATCTAAAAGTGTATTCAGAAATAGACCCACACATCATCTTTTACAAGAGCAGGGCATTTGTCTTTAAAAAAAATTAAATCATACAAAAGAACTTAATGAGATCCGAATCAGGATCTAAATACTGTTTCTAATAACTCTCAAGGCAGTGAGTAGGGACAGTCAGCCACAGGGCTCACCTGGTTGGTTCCTCTCTCTCAGGGGTCACTGTCTTTTGTTGCCTGATTTTCTAGTGCCTTGAAAACTGTTGTTTCATATTTTTTTTTCTATGTGTTTTTGGTTGTTTTAAATGGGTGGGTAAATCTCTCTGTTACTTCATCTTGGCTGGAAGCACAAGTCAATTTAATTAAATGGCTCATCATTTCTTGTATAGTCCTCTTTTTTGTTAATAAGGAGTTGTTTTAACACACGTTAATACAATTGCTTGGCCTTTCCCTTAAAGTTTGCGTAGATTTATTTTATTTTATTTTATGTTATGTTATGTTATGTTATGTTATGTTATGTTATGTTATGTTATGTTATTTTATTTTATTTATGAATGAGACAGGGTCTCACTCTGTTGCCTAGGCTGGAGTGCAGTGGCACAATCATGGCTCACGGAAGCCTCAACTCCTGGGTTCAAGTGATCCTTCCGTCTCAGCCTCCCAAGTAGCTGGGACTACAGGTGTGCACTACCACGCCTGGCTAGTTTTTGTATTTTTTGTAGATAAGGGGTTTATCCATGTTGCCTATGCCAGTCTCAAACTCCTGAGCTCAAGGGATCCGCCTACCTTGGCCTCCCAAAGTGCTAGGACTACAGCATGAGGCACCATGCCTGGCTTGTTTCATTTGTTTTGAAAGTAACTGTTAATTTTAAAGGTCCAATCTGTGAGGATCTAAAGAGTAGGAGCCCTGAGATGAATAATTCCTGAAGGCTTTCAGCATTCTCTCCTGCTGTGTGCTTTGTTATTGACAGCTGTTCAAGGTCTCACCACCTCTGGAGTTTTAACCCACCGATGTGTTTCATAAATTTTAATGAAAGACAGATAGAGAGAAATCATAGATAGGCCAACATGATTGTACCATATCCATGCACTGGCTCAAAATGAAAATCTCTGTGATATTACCCTGAGTTACATTTGTGGAACACACCAAACTCCGTCTTCTAGCTTGTCTGATCCAGCTAGCTAAGGGAAATCAAAAGTAATTTGCAAAATCTTTTATGTTCTTTTATGTTCTTGGTACATTGCTCTGATTTATTTTTTAAGGCACAGAAAATTGTCCAAATGCATAGTACAAATTTGCAAATAAACTACATATAGTTATTTGGACGATGGTGTTTTTCTAAGGAGTTTTGTAAAGAATGTGGTTTAACTTGCCAGTGTGTAATGCTAAACTTATTTCTTGTGTGTTATTATGAACTTTATTTATAATTTCATAGCAGCTGTTTATTTTCATTGCTAAGGTACAATTCAGATGTTCTTGGCTTAACTCAGTATTCTCTATCTCACAAAATTTAAAATTAGACTGATACTTTGTAAAGATTCTTCAGATGTGGCCAGATTATTTTAGGAACAGCTTTAGTTATCCCTGATAATAAATATTAGGGAGAGAAAAAGAAATTGAGGTCTTTGAAGAATCCCTAAATATCATTTCAGTCTATCACTGTCAGCCTCCCTCACTGCTTTCAGATCCATTCCCAGGAGCATTTACAGGGTGGCCAAGCTTCCTCATTTGGGTTCCAGCTCTCTTAGTTTCTGTAGCCTACTCATTGAGCTAATGAGCAGTGTAGTGGCTGAGAGCTAGGGAGAAATATGAGAGAAATCAAAGAAGACCCTTTCTGACTTTTGCCCTAGATTGTTTGAAACGAAATAACATTAGAATAATGAGGAATTGACCACCTTTCCCTTGCTGCGTTTTAGGTGTCTTTTCTGTACCATTTTATTATGTCGTCTTAATCATAACAGCCTACATAAATACTTGAGTTTGGGTTAGGATGACAATGAAAAAGGGATTAGAAATAACGTGTACTCTTTTTTCTTAAGCCTTCAGAAGGACTGTAAAAACTTAAAGATGTTAAATGCAAATGCCATTGCCATTCCAAGTTAACAAGCATAAGAGTTTTTTGTTGTTTATTTTTGGGGGGTGATCCTTAATAGTATGTGTTTTTCTTTTCAGCTACCAAGTCAGGATTGTTACCCCCACCACCTGCGCTCCCTCCAAGACCTTGTCCATCACAGGTAGGAGACATATTTGATTTATGTAAACTGTTCGGTGGTAGGGAAGTTGTCCTATCGCTGTGCTTCTTTGCAAGGGTTGATCGCCACAGATCTGGTCCATGAGATTCCCAAGCTGATACCCTGTGAAGAGAGCAGAGAGTGGTTTAATTTATTCTCATCCAGCCAGCTCCCCAGCCTCATGTGGAAGAGAGAAAGTTTCCTCAATAAGCCACCAAGCATACATATACTAGTTCACTCTTGGCTGTCCAGGGGTGCGTCTGTTTTCATCCCCAGAGAAGGGTAGAAGAAGGGGCCTCTCTCTAATTGGAGGTGGAGACATGGTTTTTCTGTATAGTATGTGCAATCTGGGTGCCTATATTTTCGTCAGTACTTTAGGAGCTATGTTAATTCTACATAAATGAAAAATAAATGGTTATCAACATGGGGTTAGTGCCGTGGTTTTGGCCTATGGTGCTTTCTGTAGGATGGTATTTTTCCTCAGAACAAAAAGCTGAGATAGCAGGAGGGGGAGAACATGTCACCAAGATCTGTTTCACCCCTAAATTAATTCTGCCTTATTTACATGTGCCACTATGGCCTTATTCATCAACACTTTGCAGAGCTGAAAATGAGAAGCAAACAGTGGAGTGTGGTATATGGTGCTACAGATCTTTCCTTTTGTTAATTGCTGCTGAAGAAACTTTCTATCTTTAAAGACCCTTTCTGATTTTTGGCAGAAAATTTTGGGAAATTTCTCTGTACACAGTCCCTGTTTCTACTTCATTGTTCTGGGTGGTTCAGAGCTATCCTTCCATACGGGGACATCTCAGGACTCATGAGTCACTGAAACCACTTTTAACACATGCTTGTCCTTCTTTCAGTGAATGAAATGGTTTTTAGCATCCACTCAACCTTGAGATGCAAATACTATGAGATATTGGCTTCCTGCTTTAGTGCGAAGGGTAATAAAAAGCCCATTTCTTCCTGACCTGCATATAAACCAGCGAGAACTCCTTTCCAGGATGTAACATTGGCCTTAAGAGATATTGGTTGAACCGTCAACAAGTATTTATTGAGTCCCTGCTGTATATCTAATGCCAAACCTTAGTTTTGCCCTAAGCCTTTCATTGGCTGTAATTTCTTCTCATTCAAATTATTAGCTGTGTCTGTTGAGCATCTCCAATAAATCAGGCATTGTGCTAAGTGCTTTCAGTGCATTATTTAATCCTCACAAAACCCCTCTGAGGTAGATACAGGTACTAATATTATCCCTTTTTTTTTTTTAACAGATAAGGAAGTTGAAGTATATGGGGGCTAAGCAAGTTACCCAAGGTGGCATAGCTAGTAAATAGTAGAGCCAGCTCCCAAATTGCAATCTGTCTCCTAAAGGCTCCTCCTGTCACCATCACTGGAGTCTGAGTGTCTATGTGTACAGCCAGACAGCAGATCCATTACACTTGCAATGGAGGCTTTCATCACAGGCCCCTAAGGAGGACCTTGATGAGATGAGGCTCCTGCTCCACACCAACAGCAAACCTGGACTTGGTCACAACAAAATGAGCAGGCATTTGCTAGCTGCTAGTTCAAGCCTGGGGCTTGAGAGCCACCTGGTTGAATGCATGGAAGACCTGTCTGAATTGACTTTTGTAACCAACCTTCTAGCTTTCTCTTCCTGCACAAATGCCAGTAGTTACTACCCGGTCCCAAAATATGCTGCTGCTATCAGCAGTCTTCATCTGAGCTGCTTGAGGTGGGCTTCTTGCCTGCTTTTGGAGCTTAGTCACCAAAGATCTGACTGGGGGATCTGGGAATTCTCTAGTCACTGTTAATGAATGAGTCTGCTTCTTTGTCTACCAGATTTCCCATCACAATATAAACAGTGAGCCCAGTACTCAGCCTATCAGCTGCCTAACTATGGAGATTTCAGATTTCAGGAACAGGTGTGTAAGAAATGGAGGCAGAAGATCCACATTCCATTTCTCTCCCCTATTCCCTCCTTTCACCCACTGTAAGTGGGACACACATATTCAGATATATGAAGTCCTGGGCAATAAACACATGGTTATATTTAGTTTTTGTGCCATGTCAAGTTGGTATTGACCCTATGAGCGTCTTACTAACCACTTTGTATGGGACACCTATATATTCTAGTCTTTCCCAAACTGCTTGTGATAAAACAGTCTCTGGGAGATATTAATAGGGCTCTGTGGTACAGATTTGCAGACTGCTGCCCCTCTACCCCTCTGGGAGAGTCGCTGTGCAAGTGAGCTCACTAAAGGCTTTGGAGGCCTACAGTAAGTAAAGCTAGTAAATTTTGTTAAAGCCAGCAATTTCCTAGCTTCTGTGACCATTGATATCTTTATTTATAAAATACCTGTTAGGATACAAAATCAGTGTGCAAAAAGCACAAGCATTCCTTTACACCAAGAATAGGCAAGCAGAGAGCCAAATCATGAATGAACTCCCATTCACAATCACTACAAAGAGAATAAAATACTTAGAATACAGCTAACAAGGGATGTGAAGGACCTCTTCAGGGAGAACTACAAACCACTGCTAAAGGAAATTAGAGAGGACACAAACAAATGGAAAAACATTCCATCCTTATGGATAGGAAGAATCAATATCGTGAAAATGGCCATACTGCCTGAAGTAACTTTTTTTTTTTTTTTTGAGACGGAGTGTCGCACTATCGCCCAGGCTGGAGTGCAGTGGGGTGATCTCAGCTCACTGCAAGCTCTGCCTCCCGGGTGCACGCCATTCTCCTGTCTCAGCCTCCCGAGTAGCTGGGACTACAGGTGCCTGCCACCACGCCCGGTTAATTTTCTGTATTTTTTAGTAGAGACGGGATTTAACTGTGTTAGCCGGGATGATCTCGATCTCCTGACCTCGTGATCCACCTGCCTCGGCCTTCCAAAGTGCTGGGATTACAGGCATGAGCCACCATGCCCGGCTGCCCAAAGTAATTTATAGATTCAATGATATTCCCATCAAACTACCATTGACATTCTTCACAGAATTAGAAAAAACTGTTTTCAATTTCATATGGAATCAAAGAAGACCCCATATAACCAAGACAATCCTAAGCCAAAAGAACAAAGCTGGAGGCATCATGCTACCTGACTTCAAACTATACTACAAGGCTACAGTAACCAAAAGAGCATGGTACTGGTATCAAAATAGACATATAGACTAGTGGAGCATAACAGAGACCTCAGAAATAACACCACACATCTACAACCATCTGATCTTTGACAAACCTGACAAAAACAAGCAATGGGGAAAGGATCAAAGGTCAAAATAAAGGGCTCTATTTTAAAGTGAAATCAGGTTCTGATAAATTTATCATTTGCCCTAGATAACATTGTTTTAAGTTTATCAAGGTTGAATATTCAAGTGGAATGCTTGTTTTGTGTAATGTATTTTTCCTTTGTTAACTTTGGCAGTACCTTTTACTGTATGTTCCCTAGTTATAGAATCGGTTCATAGATTGCTCAGAGCTACTCATATCTCTGGATTCATGTATTATGAAGAAACAATTCTGTTTCAGACCAGCTTGTGTTGATTGAATCTCAAGTTTTGGAAGTTCTCTTGTGAGGATTTCTTAAATTTGAAAACTACTATTCTCAAGTAGTTAGGGACCATAGGCACACACTACCAAACCTGGCTTTCCAGGTTTTAAGTATGTAAGAAAAATGAGTTTGTACATTTGCAATATGCATACAGAGATATATAAAGATTGTTTCTACATACACCAAAAGCATATATTCTTTTATCAAATGAGAGAGATGAAGTATAGGTTTTCAGCATAACATGCAGTTTAGCTGGCTCATACTTATTCAAGCACCACTGTGATATGAACATCTGGATTAAGTTATACAAATGGGGCCCTGGAGTTAGGAAAAGGAATAAGTTAAAAGAAACATCTTTTTATTTTTCATACTATAGGTAAGATCAAGAAGAACCTAGTGACTATATACAAAATTAAGTAGTTTGTGTTTCACATTTTCCTGTGGCAAGACTAGAGACTAGGGCATGGTCTTTTGGCTCAGCTCAGAAGAGGTGACTTTTTTTTGAAAAAAGACTTATTTATAGCATAAATAACCAAAAAGCAATTAAAGTAAACTATTTCATATAGAGCAGTGCATTCTTTTGTTTGTTTTTGTTTTGTTTTCTTAAGACGGTCTCGCTGTGTCACCCAGACTGGAGTGCAGTGGCATGTTCAGGGCTTACTGCAGCCTTGACCTCCCAGGCTCAAGTGATCTTCCCACCTCAGCCTAAAGTGTTGGGGATTACAGGCGTGTGCTACTGTGCCCGGCCTAGAGCAGTGTTAAAGTGAGAGTTAAATGTATTAGCCCACTGTTTGTATCATTTTAATAAATCCAGTAAATTGCCATCTGTAGAGTTTGTGTTTATTCTTTTTTTTTTTTTTGAGATGGAGTTTCGCTCTTGTTGCCCAGGCTGGAGTGCAATGGCGCGATCTTGGCTCACCGCAACCTCCACCTCCCCGGTTCAAGCGATTCTCCTGCCTCAGCCTTCCGAGTAGCTGGGATAACAGGCATGCACCACCACGCCCGGCTAATTCTGTATTTTTAGTAGAGATGGGGGTTTCACCATGTTGGCCAGGCTGGTCTCGAACTCCTGACCTCGTGATCTGCCCACTTCAGCCTCCCAAAGTGCTGGGATTACAGGCATGAGCCACCGTGCCCGGCGAGTTTGTGTTTATTCTGTAGGTCAGTTCTCTGCCAAGGGACTGTTTGGTACTTCAGTAGCTAAGTCCTTTTAATAGTGTTGATCTCATGACAGTTTTCTTATGGCAATTGTGATAGAGCCACAGCTTCAGTGTAACTATAATAAAGAAAAGATTTTGGGGGTGCAAGACATTATCTTTTAAGTTTTCTATTAGCACCACATTTGATAAATTGGGGTTCCCTGCAGACTAATGTGCTCAGAATTTTCCTATTTCTGCCACTAATTTCTCACCTTATATGTAACAAAGTTTTCCTCACTAGCAATGTAATGAGTACTAAAAATAGCACTGGAAGGTGAAAGCACTGTGGGAGAAGCATTTGATGAATACCTTTAAGCTTAGAGAGACCAAGAAGACTCATGGAAGGGGTGAGATGACCAATGAAATTAGTTTTAAAGAAACAACAGAACTTTTTTTTTTTTTTTAGCTGGCTAAAAGATACAGAGCTTTACTGCAGATTTAAAAAAAAAAAAAAAACCCAAATGCAGAGAAACAGGCTTGCAAGAGGTCCTGGTATGTTTGAGGAGCTGCCTGAGATTTGGAAAGCCAGATTGTAGGGAAAATGGCTGTAGTGTTCTGGAAGTGGCCATGGGGAGCAAGCCTCCTGCTCACTTCCAGTTCCAGTTCTGGTAGGGATGTGGGAGAGAAACAGCCCCTACCAAAGGAGTTCTGTCTGGGGAGCAGAAACTGACGGGAGGACAGGGTTTTAGCCTAGTGGTTCTCACCCTTGGCTGCACAGTGGAATCATCTGGGGGAGCTTTGAACGTGCTGAGGCCTGGAGCCCCTCCCAGAGATTTTGGCATGGGGTGCTGAGGTCCGGCCACTGGGAGGTTTAAAAACCTCTCCAGGTGATTCTGAAGTGCAGCCAGAGTTGAGAAGCACTGAATTAGGGCAAGAGGAAGGAATGCTCAGAGAAGAGGTTGAGAATATAGGGAATTTTATTGATGAGTTCTTATAGGGCACAATGAAAGGGGTTCTGGAGTTGGGGAGGCATGAGGTCAGCTTAGGGGATGTACTCAGACCCTATGGGGACAAGAACTCAGATCACAAGGGGCCTGGGAGTCAAGGGATTCTTGTGGTGACTGATGTGAACAGGGCTAGAGGATGTGACAGGAAGGTCCTGCTGGAAGAACTAGTCACTGTGTGCCTCAGGTCCTGTGTGTACTACTGTGAGAGGCTAGCCATGAACACAGATGGCCTCAAGAGGAAACCAGAACAACTGTGGTCCATTGAGTTAATTCTTCATCTAACTTCATAATCTGGCTAGAATCAGGTCCTGAAAGTGATATTGAACCCAATAGGAATATGGCAGTCATGCTACTCTTTTTCAAAGACTAATTTTTTAGACACAACTTTTTATAAAATACTACATTTGTTTTATTTGGAAGTAAAAACTGCAGCTCACTTAAACTTAAATGGCAGTTCGTAGGCCCTGAATTTGTGAAATATTCAACACCATTTTAAATACTCTATCCTTTTAATTAATATCCTGTCATTTAAATTATTCTTTCCACAAGTTAATACACAGTTGGTGATTCAAAATAGTAAATTCTTCTGGGAGAAATTAAGAGTTTTAGACCACACATACTTTTTTGGGGCAGGGGAAGGAATTCCTGGTGATTATGTAAGTCTCTTACAGGGCTATCTAATCCATTTTTAAGTGTTAATTTTATTAAAGCATAACATACATACTGAATCTATTTTTAATACATACTAAATCAATTTTTAAGATAGTAAAATGAAGTATAGGTTGAGTACCCTTTGTCTGAAGTGCTTGGGACCAGAAGTGGTTTAGATTTCACTTTTTTTTTTTTTTTTTTGGGAATATCTACGTTACACTTACCTAGTTGACCATCTCAAATCTGAAAATCCAAAATCCTAAATGCTCCAGTGAGCATTTCCTTTGAGTGTCATGTTGGTACTCAAAAAGTTTTGGGAGGCCGAGGTGGGTGGATCACCTGAGGTCAGAAGTTCGAGACCAGCCTGGCCAACATGGTGAAACCTCATCTCTACTCAAAAAAAAAAAAACAAAAATTAGCCGGGCGGGGTGGCAGGCGCCTGTAGTCCCAGCTACTCAGGAGGCTGAGGCAGGAGAATCTCTTGAACCTGCAAGGCGGAGGTTGCAGTGAGCCAAGACCACGACATTGCACTCCAGCCTGGGCAACAAGAGTGAAACTCTGTCTCAAACAAACAAACAAACAAACAAACAATAAAAAAAGAAGAGGCCAGGCTTAGTGGCTCACGCCTGTAATCCCAACACTTTGGGAGGCTGAAGTGGGCAGATCACCTAAGGTCAGGAGTTCGAGACCAGCCTGACCAACATGGTGAAACCCCATCTCTACTAAAAATACAAAAATTAGCCTGGCGTGATGGTACGTGCCTGTAATCCCAGCTACTCGGGAGGCTGAGGCAGGAGAATTGCTTGAACCCAGGAGGTTGAGGTTGCAGGGAGCCGAGATTGAGCCACTGCACTCCAGCGTGGGTGACAGAGCAAGACTCTGTCTCAACAACAACAACAGAAGTTTTGGGTTTTGGAGCATTTTGGATTTTGTATTTTCGGATTTTGGATACTTAACCTGTATTATATTGTTGTCAGCTTTCAAATATCTATAAGAAAATAGCAAGAAACATTATTTAATGTGAACAATAGAGAAATGTCACTGCTTTTAAAATTGCATGTTTTTTTTATCAAATTAAAACTCCGTGAATAAACACCAAACATCATGAAATCTCTTGCTGTAATATATTCAAATGACCTCATGTAATATATAAGTCATTGAATCACCTTAAGATACTGCCTGTTAAAGCATATTTATGAACTTTCAAAGGTATATACAACATCCTAATTTTTACTCATCAAAATACGAATTTAATATGTATCAAGATAGTTTCTATTCATGCATGTATTAGAAAATCAGAAATTATTCCAAAGTGAATTTATAAACGTATATCACTTAAGATGCCACCTTCATTTTCTTCCAAAGTGTTACTTTGTTCTGTCCTACAGTGTATGCTGTAGATTAGCTGAAAATCACAACATGTTAATGAGTATTTCAGTGATTAAGGAAAGAAGATATAAACCAAGGCTGTACCTTCATTTGTGATGATGAAAGAACATACTGAAAGCTGTACCACACTGTGCTGAATGTAGTAATATGAATGTGTCTGTCTGTGGTCTTATCCTTAGTCCTGCTACTGTGTAGCTCTCTGGCTTTGTGGGAATTAAGTAAGTTAGTCTCATGGACCTATCGCCCCTTCTATAAAGTAAGAAGATTGGACTAGAGGGATCCTACTAGTGCTAAGATGTCTGATTCTATTTTGTATTCTCTGTTCAAGAATTTTTTTTGTAATATAGATAAAACTTCATGAAACACAGTTGAGGGACAAGATAGGTTGGACTAATTTTCTCTGCTCCTCCCTGCTAAGTACAACTAAAACCCCCAGAAATACTATAATGGAAAGAGGATTTTTTTTTTTTGAGACAGGGTCTCGCTCTGTTGTCCAGGCTGGAGTGCAGTGGTGTGATCATGGCTTACTGCACCCTCAACCTCCTGGGCTGAAGGGACTCAGCCTCCTGGGTAGCTGGGACTATAGGTCCTTGCTGCCACACCGAGCTAATGTTTTTATTTTTTGTAGAGACAGGGTCTTCCTATATTGCCCAGGCTGGTCTCAAATTCCTGAGCTCAAGTAATCCTCCCACCTCAGCCTCCCAAAGCCTTGGGATTACAGGTGTGAGCCATCATGCCTGGCCAGAACAGACTTTGAAAGGTTTAAAGAGGAAAGAGGACTGGCATGACAGTGAACTAGAGACTTCAAGTAGACAGAAGACCAATAAGGAAATAGAAAGCTTGAACAATACCATGGTTCAACTTGATATAACATAACTATAGAACACCCAGCATCAGCACAATAGACATTTTTCTCAAGTGCACTTGGAATATTCTTCAGGATAGACCATATGTTAGGCCACAAAACAAGTCTCAATAAATTTCAAAAGATTGAAATTATATTAAACATCTTCTCTGATGTCAATGGAATGAAACTAGAAATCAATAACAGAAGTAAAATGGAAGATTCACTAATATGTAGAAATTAACATACTCTTAAAAACACAAAGAAGAAATTATAAGTGAAATTAGAAAATACCTTGAGATGAGCGAAAACAAAATCATATCAAAACCTATGGGATGCAGTGATAGCAGTACTCGGCGGGAAAGTTTTAGCTATAAACACTTAACATTAAAAAAGAAGAGATCCAAAATCAACAGTTAGCTTTACACCTTAAGAAACTGGAAGAAGGCTGGGCACAGTGGCTCACGCCTGTAATCCCAGCACTTTGGGAAACCAAGACGGGTGGATCACGAGGTCAGGAGATCAAGACCATCCTGGCTAACACGGGAAACTCCGTCTCTACTAAAAATACAAAAAAAATGTTATTCTGGGCATGGTGGCGGGCGCCTGTAGTCCCAGTTACTCGGGAGGCTGAGGCAGGAGAATGGTGTGAACCCAGGAGGCGGAGCTTGCAGTGAGCCAAGATTGCACCACTGCACTCCAGCCCGGGCGACAGAGCAAGACTCTGTCTCAAAAAAAAAAAAAAAAAAAAAAAAAGAAACTGGAAGAAAAAGAGCACACTAGATCCAAAGCTAGCAGGACAGAAATAATAAAGAGTAGAGTGGAGATAAACAAAATAGAGAACAGAAAAACAACAGAGAAAATAGTTGAAAAGTTGATTTTTTGCAAAGATCAACGAAATTGACAAAACTTTAGCTAGACTGACCAAGAGTATAATTAAGCATGTGTTAACCTCTGGTCAAAATAAAGGGCTCTATTTTAAAGTGAAATCAGGTTCTGATAAATTTATCATTTGCCCTAGATAACATTGTTTTAAATTTATCGAGGTTGAATATTCAAGTGGAATGCTTGTTTTGTGTAATGTATTTTTCCTTTGTTAACTTTGGCAGTACCTTTTACTGTATGTTCCCTAGTTGTAGAATCGGTTCATAGATTGCTCAGAGCTACTCATATCTCTAGATTCATGTATCATGAAGAAACAATTCTGTTTCGGACCAACCTGTGTTGATTGAATCTCAAGAGTTTTGGAAGTTCTCTTATGAGGATTTCTTAAATTTGAAAACTATTCTCAAATAGTTCGCACTGAATGACAAATTCAAAAGGCAAAGGAAATGGCCATAGTGATAAGTGCAAGGAGAAGAGAGGGTGAGAATTAGTAATGAAATACCAGCATTGGAATGGAGGAGAAAAGTGTAAGCCTGTCCCCCTTCCTTCTTTTTGAAAGAAGTACTCAGCATTTTGCTCTTTATCAATAAGTGTCTTTAGAATTAATCCTAGTAACTAATTCAAAAGAAAGGAAAAGTTCTATGATGACATTTATTTTAGTATTATAAAAATAAGAACAATACAGACCACCTTAATATCTAGGAAGAAGGCACTGGTCAAGGGTAATGTATATCTGCCTGATTAGAATATTAGGCATCTATTAAAATGATTACATGACAAAACAGTAGAAAAGAGGGGTAACAGCTGAATACAGAGGTGTTTCCTGATTGTACCACATAAGTATATGGTAGACCTTTGATGGTAAGGTTTTCTCATCTCTGAGGATGACCTTGAAGGTCCATGGTGCATGGTAATTGGCCCCTTTCCAGTGGTCGGATTTCGAATTACTTTTACATTAGCCACTGTTCCCTCCCCAGTAGGGTTTTGAGATTCTTAGCTGCTTAGTGAATTTCTACTAACTCTTTTTAGGGGTCTAAAGGGATCGCTTAGGTGACTCATTTATAATTTACCTATCTTGTCTTATAACTTGTTTTTATAAGTTTTTATATTTTGGGAGATGATGTATGTGTAGTATTTATGTGAATTGGGATATCTGTGAAGGTCTCCAGATGGTTCAGTCCTAAATGTCAAGTGCCTACTGTTAAATACTTGGAGAAGACTGCTAAGTAATTGGTAGAAGTTTAAATGGCTGTTTTGGTGGGGAAGTTATGCAGTTTTTCTTTTAAAAATTTTGTCTTAAAATTAAGGATTGGGGAAAAGAAAAAAAAGTCCTCTGATATGACAACTAGAATAAAAAGTCATTTGAAGATTTACCAGAATAAAATGACCTTTGGAAACTACTTTTAGAGACCAGCTCTCAGAAATAGTGATAAGACATATATTGCATAATTACATTGTTACGATGACTCTAGCAATTGTGAGGTTCAAAGAAATAGTGTACTGAAGTATTATCATCTAGTCATTTTTTAAATCTATGTTCTTTGGATAGTAAACTCTTATTGCCCTCACTCTTAAATAGTAATTCTGCTGTGTACAGAATTTTAGACTGAAAGTAATTTTTCCTCAGTATTTTGAATGCATTACCTCCTCTTCTAGCATTTATTGCTGCCACTGCTCCGGATTGTACTGTCAATCTATTTTTTATTCCTTTGGTGCAGCTTTGTCTTTCCTCTGGGATTGCTTTTAAAAGTTTATTTTTACTTTCTGAAGGGGTGGGTTGCCCCTCCACACCTGTGGGTGTTTCTCGTTAGGTGGAACGTGAGACTTGGAAAAGAAAAAGACACAGAGACAAAGTATAGAGAAAGAAATAAGGGGGCCCAGGGGACCAGCGTTCAGCATATGGAGGATCCTGCCAGCCTCTGAGTTCCCTTAGTATTTATTGATCATTTTTGGGTGTTTCTCAGAGAGGGGGATGTGGCAGGGTCATAGGATAATAGTGGAGAGAAGGTCAGCAGATAAACACGTGAACAAAGGTCTCTGCATCATAGACAAGGTAAAGAATTAAGTGCTGTGCTTTAGATATGCATACACATAAACATCTCAATGCGTTAGAGAGCAGTATTGTTGCCCGCATGTCCCACCTCCAGCCCTAAGGCGGTTTTCCCCTATCTCAGTAGATGGAACATACAATCGGGTTTTATACCGAGACATTCCATTGCCCAGGGACGGGCAGGAGACAGATGCCTTCCTCTTGTCTCAATTGCAAGAGGCATGCCTTCCTCTTATACTAATCCTCCTCAGCACAGACCCTTTACGGGTGTCGAGCTGGGGGACGGTCAGGTCTTTCTCTTCCCACGAGGCCATATTTCAGACTATCACATGGGGAGAAACCTTGGACAATACCTGGCTTTCCTAGGCAGAGGTCCCTGCGGCCTTCCGCAGTGTTTGTGTCCCTGGGTACTTGAGATTAGGGAGTGGTGATGACTCTTAACTAGCATGCTGCCTTCAAGCATCTGTTTAACAAAGCACATCTTGCACCGCCCTTAATCCGTTTAACCCTGAGTTGACACAGCACGTGTTTCAGAGAGCACGGGGTTGGGGGTAAGGTTATAGATTAACAGCATCTCAAGGCAGAAGAATTTTTCTCAGTACAGAACAAAATGGAGTCTCCTATGTCTACTTCTTTCGACACAGACACAGTAACAATCTGATCTCTCTTGCTTTTCCCCACACTTTCAGTGTTCTGTTTTGATGGCGCTGCGATGGGTTTAAGCGTAGATTTAAATTTGTTTATGCCAGGTGACACTTGGCATGCATTTTCCTTCTGGAAAATCATCTTTAATTTTAGGACATTTAGTGATATCTCTGTGGGTTTTGCTTCTCTACTTATTTCTTCTGTTTTCTTCTGGAACTAACTATATTTCTGTCAACACATTTAAAAAAAACTCTAGTAATGTGTCTTTCATCTTTTTTTTTTCTTTTTTGAGACAGGGTCTTGCTCTGTCACCCAGGCTGTGCAATGGGATGATCCATGGCTCACTGCAGCCTCAACCTCCTGGGCTGAAGCTGTCCTCCCACTTCAGCCTCCTGAGTAGCTGGGACTACAGGCGCATGCCACCACACCTGGCTAATTTTTTGTATTTTTTGTAGAGATGGGGTTTTTTCATGTTACCCAAGCTGGTCTTGAACTCCTGGGCCCAAGCAGTCCTCCCATCTCAACCTCCCAAAGTGCTGGGATGTACAGATGTGAGCACCGCACCTTGTCACTTTCATCTATTTATGTTGTGATCTTTCTGGGCTTGCTCTGGATGAAATCTTCATCTTCCAAATTAAAAATCCTCTGCATAACTATATAGCCTAGAATTTTTCCTATTCTGTTATTAAGCCTCTATCACTATTCTTTGATTCTAGGTTTTATAATCCATTCTTTTTTATAACAACCTGTTCTTGTTTTACTTTTCCCTATTTTTGTTTTATACCCATCTATTCTTTTTTAGGATCTATTCTCCACTTTTAACTTTGAGGATTCTAAAATACTTACTTTAAAGTTATTTTTAACTTGTTCTATTTTTGTTTTTGTCAGGAGCGAATTTGCCTTTTTTATTTGGCTGTTCTACCATGCTTTTTGGAATTTTGTTTTGTAGGCTTATTTTGAGTTGGAGTTCAATCTCATTCTCAGTTCTCTGAGCTCCTCACTTTCTGCCAGTTCAGTGGCTGTCTCTACCAACTATTCCTGGCATCCATGGCCTCCAGTCAAGAGCTGATTCTTATACTTGAAATACAGTACTTCCATCTGGTGCAGGTGTCAGGGGTCTTGTAGATGGCACCCAATGGTGCTTAGCCCAGAACCAGGCTTCAGTGTTATATCTGCTTCAGTTCCTTTCCTAAGTAGGCAACCCAGAGCTTCTCCACAGGCTTCATCTTGGTTTTGCAGCTTCACAGGTAGCAAAGTGATACCTTAGCCTCTGGCATCAGGGAATGAGCTTGGTACCAGTCCCCTGCCTCATGCGGGACATTTATTTATTTTTATTTTTTATTATTATTATACTTTAAGTTTTAGGGTACATGTGCACAACGTGCAGGTTTGTTACATATGTATACATGTGCCATGTTGGTGTGCTGCACCCATTAACTCGTCATTTAGCATTAGGTATATCTCCTAATGCTATCCCTCCCCTCTTCCCCCACCCCACAACAGTCCCCAGTGTGTGATGTTCCCCTTCCTGTGTCCATGTGTTCTCATTGTTCAATTCCCACCTATGAGTGAGAACATGCAGTGTTTGGTTTTTTGTCCTTGCGATAGTTTGCTGAGAATGATAGTTAACAGCTTCATCCATGTCCCTACAAAGGACATGAACTCATCATTTTTTATGGCTGCATAGTATTCCATGGTGTATATGTGCCACATTTTCTTAATCCAGTCTATCATTGTTGGACATTTGGGTTGGTTCCAAGTCTTTGCTATTGTGAATAGTGCCGCAATAAACATACGTGTGCATGTGTCTTTATAGCAGCATGATTTATAATCCTCTGGGTATATACCCAGTAATGGGATGACTGGGTCAACTGGTATTTCTAGTTCTAGATCCCTGAGGAATCGCCACAATGACTTCCACAATGGTTGAACTAGTTTACAGTCCCACCAACAGTGTAAAAGTGTTCCTATTTCTCCACATCCTCTCCAGCACCTGTTGTTTCCTGACTTTTTTTTTTTTTTTTTTTTTTTTTTTTTGAGACGGAGTCTCGCTCTGTCGCCCAGGCTGGAGTGCAGTGGCGGGATCTCGGCTCACTGCAAGCTCCGCCTCCCGGGTTCACGCCATTCTCCTGCCTCAGCCTCCCAAGTAGCTGGGACTACAGGCGCCTGCCACTACGCCCGGCTAATTTTTTGTATTTTTAGTAGAGACGGGGTTTCACCATTTTAGCCGGGATGGTCTCGATCTCCTGACCTCGTGATCCGCCCGCCTCGGCCTCCCAAAGTGCTGGGATTACAGGCGTGAGCCACCGCGCCCGGCCGTTTCCTGACTTTTTAATGATTCATGTGGGACATTTAAATCCCTGTTATTAGGAACTCTCAGCTGCCTCTGTCTGCTTCTGCACCCTCTGCCTGCTTCTGCACCCTCTGCCTGACCTACCACTTTGTGATTTGGCCCCACAGAGACCTTTATCTTGCTTCTGAGTGGGACTGAGTCTTTTAAATTTTAACAGTTCATGCTAACACTCTCACATCTGTCATTGCATATCATTTTATGTAAGGGGAAGTTGAGATTCAGAGAGCAGAAGTTAACTACTTGGGCCTCGCAGTTGGTAAGTAAGCCAGCCTGCTGTAGAAGAAAAGGGCTGGAAAAGGTTTCTGGGGAAGTGCTAGAAATTTAATAAGCATGTAGAGAGAGAAAAATCATTCATTATACATCACAAAAATTAACTGTAGATCTGCTAAGTAAAAGTTGATTAAATTTCTACACTCTGTGCCCACCAATAATTTTCTAAATGTGAACTCTTTCCTACATTAATCTCAAATGCTTATTTTTAAAGTGCCTTCCCCAGTGCAGACTTACATTCATCTTAGCCAAAATGGCCTTCACATTTGGTCTGTGGGACATATTTGATGTAGCAAAAGGCCAAGGGTAACCCTTATTCTACCCCCTAAAAGGGAACAGAAAGAGAACTTTTGCATAATAAATAATTATTTATGCATTTCAAAATTGATTTTAAGAGTACACAAACCATAGAGGCTTTGCGATTCTTCATGTATTTTATTAATTTATCAAGCACTTCAACAGAGTGCCCGATGCTCTTCTAGATGCTTTACAAATATTAACTCATTTAAGCCTCACAACAACCACGTGCAGTGGGTTCTATTGCTATCCTAACATTGCAGATAAGTAAACAAGGCACAGAGAACCTCAGCAACTTGCTTGAGGTCAGTGACAGAAAGAAAGAGTTAAGGCTATGATTCCTACCTTGGCTATTTAGCCCCAGTGTACCAGCTCCTACTATACTACTATGCTGTGCTGTGAAACCACGTCTCACAATTATTTTATTAACAATCAAACTGACACACTATCTTTGTCAGGGACACATTTTATTTCATGGAACTAGTTAAAAATTAGCTTTAACTCACTTCTGGTGACTTGTTTTCTTTCTTAGGTTCTTCCTCATTATATTATGCCCATGCTATTGTTATATAAAGCTCACTCTGCTGGTATCATTCTTCTGGAAGATGCCATAAATTCATCTAATCATTTCATCAGATGTTAACGGAATGTGCTCACTGTAGGCCCACAGTTTGCTGAGAACTATAGGAGCACAAAGATTGTGATGTGATCCTTATCCTGTAGTTCCTTTATCCTGCGTCACCCTCTCACAGCAGTCATGCCCAACACTATCTATTCTATAGTCTCTCATGGTTCTTACAACTGAGTCATTTTCTGTGTGTCTCATTTAAACCCATTTCTTAATGCTTTATTGACACAGGTTGTAAGCAATAAACTGGTCACCATGTTTCTAATAACTACCAATATAGCCCAGTTTTCCCCTGGGGGGCTCAGTTATGGTGGTTTTCTAGGTTTCTGAGCAATGGAATCCTCATTTCTCTTCTCTGCTGTCCCCTATCGCACTGTGACTTTTTTTTTTTTTTTTTTTTTTTTTTGAGAAAGAGTCTTGCTCCGTTGCCCAGGCTAGAGTGCAGTGGCGCGATTCTGGCTCGCTGCAACCTCCGCCTCCCAGGTTCAAGCAATTCTCCTGCCTTAGCCTCCCGAGTAGCTGGGATTACAGGCACATGCCACCACGTCCGGCTAATTTTTGTATTTTTAGTAGAGATAGGGTTTCACCATGTTGGCCAGGCTGGTCTGGAACTCCTGACCTTGTGATCCACCTGCCTTGGCCTCCCAAAGTGTTGGGATTACAGGCGTGAGCCACTGTGCACGGCCCACACTGTGACTTTAAGGAAGCACTCCTGAGGGGGTCAGGGGAGGAGCAGATGTGGATTGGGAGGATGCCCAAATGTGCTACTGTGCTAATGGGAAAGGACAATGGAGGACAACCAGGGGTTGGGCTCAGGGAGGCAGCTTGACAGAGGATTTAAGAGCATGGGCTTGGGGTTTCAAATCCTATCTGCCTCTTACTGGCTTTGTGACTTTGGGCAAGTTAGTCTCTCTGTGCCTCAATTTCATCATCTGTAAAATGGGGATCATGGTAGTATCCATTTTCATAGGGTTATGATGATTAAATGAGTGAAGATCTCTAAAGCACTTAGAATGATGCCTGGTGCCATAGTCAACCCTCAATAACATTTAGCTGTTATAATTATCATCACCACAGGCCTAGTGAAACAGAGGTGGGGTCTAGTTGGCAAACACAGAACAGACTCCAGATAGCTAGAAATTAGTTGCAACCAGCCCAGAATGAGTGCTGAAGTGGCTCGCTAAAGCACTTGCAGTCAAAGCACATTGTTACCCTCATCTGTGACCTTTCATGGGCTGTCTCTCTGCCTATGTCAGGGGTTGGCAAACTATAGCCTACAGGCCAAATCCAGATGGTCACCTGTTTCTATAAATAATGGAAATGTGAAGGAGAATCAATTGGCAAGAGGCACGCATAGCGCATCTTCAACCTTTTCCATCGGGGAACATGAGTCTTGAGAATCCTGCCATAGATCAAAAGAATGGCAATGAGAAGAACCAGTGGACAGGTGGATAGGCCTCCCCATCAGCCTTTAACCCTCCTGCTCTTATCTCAAGGATCATATGCCCGTGTCTGTGGTTTCTGATTTTTCCTTGAGGACCTTTGACCGAGATGATCTGTCTTTCAGACTTTACTAGCAAAATTCTGAGCAGTATCTTTTATACAACTGGCAGCTTCAAAGGCTTGCAGTGGGTAGGCCTCCCCAACTCTGTTTCGCAAGATAATTAAAAGAAGCCAGACTCCTTCATCCTTGAAGGAGAGGAAGAAGAAAACAAGCCTGTCCAGAGAAAATGGGGTGAAGGAATTTTTCTCCCCAACTTCCTCCTAAATACCCTGCTCTGCCCATCAAATTTTGTAAGTATCACCCAGTGGTGTGTTGGTAAACCTTCTCCCCTGCGGGGTGGGGGAAAGCCCCAATTTGCAGCCGTTGTTGCTGTCTGTGTTGTGAATGCTCCCACCATGCTGACTGCAAGTGGAGCTGGGAAGAGATGTGTACCATCGGCTCACTAACACTAGCATGCTCTGTGGTAGACAGCTTCCCTTGCCTCTGAATCCTTGTGTCAGGATTCTACGTGCCAGGCAACAAGAGCTTTTTTTCTTTATGTATCATGCCAGTGATTTTAGTCTAGGGCACTGTTTTAGCCCAATCCCAGAATGTGCTATTAGAAATGGGGCCATATTTTTGAAGTTGCTAGGGGCAAAACTTCCCTCTTGTTTATGTTTAACTTGTGCCACTAGGTGGCACTTTAAGGACATTACAGGAAATCGGCTCTACTGGATTTTTAAAACTTTTTTTTTTTTGAGACGGAGTCTCACTCTGTCGCCCAGGCTGGAGTGCAGTGGCATGATCTCAGCTCACTGCAACCTCCGCTTCCCGGGTTCAAGCAATTTAGCTCACTGCAACCTCCACTTCCCGGGTTCAAGTAATTTTCCTGCCTCAGCCTTCCGAGTAGCTGGGACTACAGGCATGTGCCACCACACCCAGATAATTTTTGTATTTTAGTAGAGATGGGGTTTTGCCATGTTGGCCAGGCTGGTCTCAAACTCCTGACCTGAGTTGATCTGCCCACCTCGGCCTCCCAAAGTGCTAGGATTACAGGCGTGAGCCACTGTGCCTGGCCCAAAACACTTTTTATTGAAGTATAATTGCATATAGAAAAGCAAGCTGCACATTTAATGTGCAACTCAATTTTCACAAGCAGAACACATGCATATAATCAGCACCCAAATCAAGAAACAGAATATTACTAGCACCCCAGAAGCCCTCCTTGTGCTGTTTTCCAGTCGCTATCTCTTATTCTTAGGGTTACCACTATTCTGACTTCTAACAGCATAAATTAGTTTGACTTGTGTTCTACTTTATATAAGTGGAATTATGCGGTATATACTCTGTGTCTGGCTTTTTATTAAATGATGTTTGTGTGATTTATTCATACTGTTGTGTGTAATTGAGATCATTGCTGTATAGTATTCCATTGTATGTGCAAATATAACACTGTTTTCTACTATTGATGGACATTTTTGTACTTTTCAGATTTGGGCAATTATGAATAGTGCTGCTGTGAACACTCGTATCCAAGTTGTTGAGTGGATGAGTGTTTTCATTTCTCTTGGATATATACCTAAGAGTAGAATTTCTAGGTCATGGTGTAGGCATATGTTCAGCTTTAGTAGGTACTGCCAAACAGTTTTACGAAGTGTTTGTACTGATTTACACTCCATTAATGGTGTTCCCACTCCAGTTCCATGTCCTCATCAATGCTGAATTTATTTTATGGATGGTTCCTAACTCTTAACATAATTTTTATAGCTCCCTTTCTGGCCAGCTATTTCTAATTGAAAAATTTTAAAGCCACATTATTCTGATGGACATGGCTCATGCAGGAAGGGCTATGTCAACCCAAAAGGGGACATTTATCACAGTCTAAGTGTGAACTATCAGTAAGTCGGAAAGGATGTTACTCTAATACTCCATCACACTGATACACAGAGCAAAGAAACCAGGAAAGGAATTCAGATTGTAAGTGTGATAAAATATCGGTTCATAGGCCAGGGCTCTGAGGCATTTTGAAATTTGTATATACATTTGTTATTATTGCCAGGCCTATATATGTCAGAGATTGGGGCCCAACAGAAAGAATTTCTAAAGGCCTCATAATGAAGTGCCTTTCAATTGTGCTGCTGGTGGGTGCCTGTTTTACTAAGGGTCTCTTTGGTTTGGCAAGAGGCATGCATGGGGCATCTTTCTTCAACCTCATCCCTGGGGAGCGTGAGTCTCTAGAGAATCCTGCTTTAGATCACCTTACCTGTGAGGCTCATGTTGTTGACTCTGCAGATGGTGTTATAATATGGCTTTAGGTATGTGATATAGAGAGTACAGTTCAGACTTGACTCAGATTTCTGTTCCATTACTAGAAATTGGACATAGAAGAACAAAACCCAGGTCATGGTCAAAATATTTGTCTTTTAGACCAAAATAAAGTGCTCATAGTCCTTTAGTTGTAACAGTAAGTCTGTCTCATGGATGTTGTCCATAATCTAATGGGTTCCAAGAATCCCCAAGGCATTCTGCCATGTGACTCTTGAATCCAGCAACTAGTTGCCCATTATAGTCACTGGTACCCACTTTCACCAAAGTTGTTCCTGAGCCCCTCTGTCAGTGTTTTCCTGAGTGTCTCCAGTGTTGGATTGGTCTACCGAGGGGGGTGCCCACCAGAGATGTTCACTGCACACTGCCTGAGATATCCATGTTAAAGCAGCCGTGAAACATGAAAGTCTGACCGGGCTTTTATTTTTAAAATTTTCTCCCCCCAATATTAGTAGCGGTAATATCCAGTGGCACAGATTTAGACTGTGGATAGCCTGCTTTGTGGGATCTGCTTATATTCTAAATTGGAGCCAGCATTTTCTCAGCCTAGGTTTTCATCTGTTTGGCAAGGAGGAAAATGCCCTTATGTTGGATTGGCTGCTGCTTGCAGTAGGAGGAACTATGCCTGGGAAACCAATCATAATTTTAATCCTAATGATAATAGTAGCTGCTGTTGTCAAACAGTTACTGTGTAATTGTGCTTAGCACACTAGACAGATATTTTGCTTAATCTTCACAATATTGTGAGTTAGGTGAATTATCCCACTTTGCAGATGAAGAAATTGCAGCTCAGAGAGACTAAGCATGTGACCAGCTCACACAATGAGCAACTGCAAAGCCTGGGTTTGACTCCAGAGCCTATATCCTGTAACTGTTCTGTGCTCTGTGGGTGCAGTTACCAAGGAATGAATTACTGACCTCTTCTCCAGTGGAACATGAAACAGTATTGGGTTCATTGCTGGCTTATTCCACACATTGATTAGAGGACCTGTTGTTTGCTGGCATGCAGCTTAGGTATCAAGAAAATGATAGGGAAGCAAGACAGATCCTGCCCTCCAGGTGCTTACCATTCGTTTATCATGTTCTGTCTCTCACAGGTGACTTGAGTCATGGATTTTGGTAATCATTCTTGCTGAGAATTCAGTCTCTTGGACCTTCTTGAGGCTCTATTTACCCCTCTCTCTGAGCCTGGTTGGGGAATGATGGGGTGGAACAGTGGTGTGCTGGGCCATTGGTTCTACATCTTCTGTGACTGGGTTTAGCAAATGGCTTTCTGTTGTGTTCTTGCCTAGCGGAGATGGGGGACAGGTGAAAACTAGGCACCAAATGACATTTAGAATACTGACAGAATGCTGGAAAGGCCCTGGAGGCAGCAGCAGGATTGTCTTCTTGTCTGCCTAGAATTTAGCTGCTGCCTTTGTGATCCCCATTCTTGGAATCCACCTGGATCCTTGGATGATAAAGCCTGAGTTCGTTTTTCTGACCTGCCAATATTGCAAACCTAAAAAAAAAAAAGTTACCTATTATCCACACCTTGGCAAAGTTCTACAGATGGACTTCTTTTTTTTTTTTTTTTTTGAGACAGAGTCTTGCTCTGTCACCCAGGCTGGAATGTGGAGTGCAGTAGCGAGATTTCAGCTCACTGCAACCTCCGCCTCCCGGGTTCAAGTGATTTTCGTGCCTCAGCCTCCTGAATAGCTGGGATTACAGGAGCGTGTCACTACGCCCAGCTAATTTTTGTATTTTTAGTAGAGACGGGGTTTCATCATGTTGGTAGGCTGGTCTCAAACTCCTGGTGTCAAGTGATCCACCTCCCAAAGTGCTGGGATTACTAGCGTGAGCCACCATGCCCGGCCAGACTATTTTTTAAGTGGGATTTGACTTTTTTTTTGGTTGCAAATTTGACTTTTAAACAAAATCTTACTGCTGAAGATTTTGCCCAGCTGCAAATATTTATCTATAGAACCATGTGGCATATACCCCCATTCCCTCTATGATGAATGGATGAGAAAACAATTAAGAAGCCTAGTTAGTTTTGCAAGAGCACCTGTGGCCTTGCCCAGACTAGGGCCTTGGAGACTTGGTTTTCTCATCTCTTAAATGAAGAGTTTGGACCATCAGTGGTTCCCAGTTGATCTGGGCTGGCTACATAAAAATCACTTAGGGTGCTTGTTAAAATATAAGTTTCTAATGCCCCATCCCTAAGGGATTCTGATGAGGGAAGTCTGGAATAGCATCTACAAATCTGAATTTATAAAAAGTTCCCCAGATAATTATCCTGCTCTGGTTATATTTGGGAGCCACTGGGCTAGAGGGTCTAGAACAAACATAATTAAGTTAGGGAGAAACTTCTGATGTGCTTGAAGATTTGGGGAATACCTATATGCCTGGAGCAGGTTCCATATGGGCGAACTAACCCAGTTATGTTGCAGAGGTAAATTGGAGCCAGAGGATGGAAGACCTTTAACTGGCTGAGGGATTGTGTTGTGTGCCATAGGCTTTGGGGAGCCAGTGAAGGGCTTTGAGAAAAAGCATTTTGATTAGATGGTGCTTTACCAGATTAATTTCTCAGTGGTGTGCAGGGTGGATCAGAGTGCACTAGAACTGAAGGCTGGAAAAAGACCCAGTGAAGTCTTTGCAGTGGCCCAGGTGATAAGTGTGACGAGTACCTGGACTCAGATGGGACCAGTGGGACCTTTGTAAAGCTAACCTGCCTCAGTGGAACTGGAATCTGAGACATACTGTTTTAAACTCCTTAAAAAATGCATAATTTATTAATGTCATGTTCATCTGCCTAAACTATTATAATTAACTATTTTTATTGTGTTTTTGTCCAAGAGGTTTTAAAGGAGCCCTGTAAATAAATTCATGCAAAGAAGTAGTTGGCAGCAGCAACAGCTGCTACCGCAGGGAGAAGGGACCCCCTTCTGGCCAGGCAGCAACCTCATTCTCACCCTGTCTCCATACTCTAAGCCAAAGCGAGAGGGGAGGGGAGTGCAACAGGGGCCCCTGGAGTTGGATCTGCCAACCACAGTGGAGAATGCACCTCCCCAAGGGTTAGGTGTGGAATATGGCGTTTGGCATTAAGTCAAATAGAATATTCTTCCTTTGTTCCTCTAAAATCCAGTCTATAGTCAATGTTTCTCAAAGTATGTTCCACAGAACATTAGTTCTTCAGGATGTTAATAGAAGTTACATGAGAATAAGGAGATGAAACCAAATAAATTTGGGAACTGATGGGCTACGCAAAGGCAAGTGACTTCCTTTCAGAATTTCAGAGTGTGTAATGTTCTGTGTGCTCAGTGAATCTCCAAGAGGGAGATAGACCAGGCAGTGTTTCCTAAGCTTATCTGTAGATTCTTCTTCCCCCTAGGCCAGGGGCTGACAAATTATGGCTCATAGGCCTCATCTATCCCACCACTTTTTTTTTGTAAATAAAGTTTATTGGAACACAGTTGTGCCCATTCATCGTATTGTCTGTAGCTGCTTTAGCACAACAGGAGAGTTGCAGAGTGGCTACAGAGGTAGTCTGGCCCTCAAAGCCTAAGATATTTACTATCTGCCCATTACAGAAAGGTTTGCTAATCCCTGCTCTAGACAATTCATGGAACTGGTGCTTCCTGGTACCCCCTTTCAGAGATGCTACTAGAAGAAGATATACATGGGTTGTTCTAGCACTGCTTTATGATAAATCTGCCTCATTTTATTCTGTTTCCATACTGCCATCATTCCTGCCTCTTGCTTTAAACTACTTTATCTCTCAACCATTTACCCATTATCCAGGATCCAAACCTGGGTTCCATGTGTCCTTATCTTTTCTTGCACTCACAACATTCCAAAAATGGCCAAGGGTGTCTTCAATTTCCAGTCTGGGTAGCTCTTAAGTCAGCCCGAACCCATTCCTACCAACCTGGCCTACATGACCGTCATCTTTTCTTTTTCAGCATTCGAATTAGGTTCCTTTTCCCCAGATATGAGTTACCTCTAGTCCTTTTTACTCACTGAATCTAGAATAACCTTTGTAAAATACAAATCTAGTCAGATTGATTCCTTACTTAAAATCCTTCAGTGGTCCCTGTGGCCCTCAGGATAAGCTCAGATCCTCAGGATGGATGTGTGTCAGTCTGGTTGGGCAAACAGAAACTACTCCTGGTATTTCGTACTGGAAGAGATTTAATTTAAGGAATTAGTTACTTAAGAAAAGGAGTAGATATTTCCAGGCTTCTGCCTGCTGTGGCATAGAGAAGGGCATGGAAATGGGGGATGGTGTTGAGTGTTTAGCAAATGACCCAGAACAAACCAGGTCTGGGAAACCATGTGTTATCCCCTGCTGCCCTTCTCCAGCTTCAGCTCTCCCATTTTTCTCCTGACTCCTCACCCTTCCTCCACCCTGCAAGTCCCCAAATTCTAGATATATCAGGATGCCTTTTTGTCCCCCCAGAAACTTAAAACAACTGACATTTACGAACTCACAGTCTCTTTGGGTCAGGAACTTGGGAGTGACTTAGCTGGGTGGTTCGGGGTTACATCCTCTCATGAGGCTTCTGTCAAGATGTCTTCCAGGGCTGCAGTCATCTGAAGGCTTAACTGGAGCTGATGATCCACCTCTAAGATGGCTCACTCACAGGGCTGTTGGCAGGAGGCCTCACTTCTTTGCTGTATGGACCCCTTGTTAGGACTGCTTGGGTGTCCTCACAATGTGGCAGCTGACTGTCTCCAGAACAAGTGATATGAGAGTGAGAGATAGAGATAGAAACAGAGACAACAAGGAGGAGCATACTAGAGTGCTTTCAGTCCCCTCTCCTGGGAGTACGTTGCATAGTGTCTCAGGTCAGCTTCCCTAGAAGCAGAACCCTGAGATGAGGATTCTTCAAAAGTGATTTGTTGAAGGAGTGCTCTTTAGGAAAAAACCTAGAAGGAGGAGAGGGAAGAAAAGTAGGGAAGGGGAAGGAGCCAAGCAATGATATAGTCTCAGATAAAATCTGACCTTGGCCTGATCCACACAGGCAGGATTCTGGTACATAATTGCATAATAGAGTTAACCCTGTTTGAGACAGGGGACTGGCCTTTTATATCCTTCTCTAAGTCAGTCATTATAGGCTGCTGGAGGTGGGGGTGGGAGGTAGGCTCCCATTAGTTGAGAATAAGTCTCTAGAGAAGAGGGTGGCTGTGAGTCCTCAGTAGCTAACACTCAGAGCAGCTGGGGGATGGTGTGCCAGCCAGGGAAAGGTGACCCAGGTGGGGCCAACACAGCACCTACTACAGTGGGCCTCCCCGTACCCATGTCCCAAGCACCTACCATGGTCCCTGACATACCAGAGGTACGAAAAAAATATCTGTGTAATTGAATAAATGAATGCATAGAAATGCTTAGCCTCTCTGGACCTGTGTCCATTTCTGGGAAGTCAGCTCAGCAGGGATCATATTGTCCCATCAACCATGGGAATGGTCGAAGACCCAGGACAGTTTGCCACATCATGAGTGGCAGCACTGTCTAAGTCCAGGATTTTCATTGCAAAATTAGAGTGAAAGTATATTTGCCATTTGTGAATAAGGAAGTATTAATATTACAATATTATATATTTTTAAAAGGAACTTTAGCTCACATTTCAGTGAGCTCTTTGCTAAAAGTACATTTTCCTGGTTTGTCACATCCTGACTGGGTACATGTTGTTACACATGGAACCGTGAGGGCAGAACTGCCATTTGTTATATTAATTGTAATCCATATATCTGTTTTTTTCCCACAAGAATCAGTCACTGGATTTCAGTTCAGAAAACCAAAACTGTCGGACAAAGCCATATTATCGTGTTGGCAGAGTTGTTCCCCATGACCCCAAATACACAGAGGAGGAAGAGAACCACTGAGGCCCCTTGTTTTCTTGGATTATCATTCTTCCAAAGTTGGTAACTAAGAAAAGTCTCAAGAAATAGCAAAGAAACCTCCCCACCTTATTCTGCTTTCCACATCCCAAGCCTAACATAAGCCTCAAACTATTTTTATGAAGGAAAGCTTATTGTGAAGAGGGTCTTTTACATGCCTAAATCTCATCTTTAGTTTTTCTTATCACACAGCCGGTTATCTTTGCCCATCTCTTTTCCTGGGATAATGTCTGGCTCTGTCAAGGCTGTGCCTTATTCTGGGACCTTCCTAATGCCTGTGTTCCAGGTCCCTCCTGAGATTCGCTCCTCCGAATGCTTGATAGATGGATCAATTTAGGGGATTGATGGTCAGATTTAGCCTGACATAACACCATGCAGTGGTCTGTTACCAGACATAGAGCTGGAAAACCCAGGCCCTTGCATACAAGTTCAGGAAGGTAAATTTGCAAATGAAAAACATTTTAAGACACATCTCACAGCTGCTTCCTCATCCCCCACCCTATTGTTTGTGTTTTTAGAGATGTTTAAGAGAAAAGGAGGCAATAACAAAGACGCTCTGCTGTGCTTTGGAATCCTCATTTATGTTGAAAAAGGGTCCATTTATCATCTCCTTGGATATTTCCACAAGGAGACTTTGCTCATCTCACCAGGGAATGGAGTGGTAGAGCAAACACTTCTCTGTCCACCTGATGATGGAGGAGAACCAACTAACTGAAAGGCAGAGAGCCTGAAATTATTATCCTCTCTCTGCCTGCCTGCTGCAAGATATTGCTGCATACCTGTGGTCCCTGCAGGAGGCTGCATGCGTAGACTTGGGCCAGAACATATATTACCTTCCAAGCAATAGATTTCTAGGTAAAAGGCAAGAAGGGGCCTCAGGTTCAAGTTGCATTCTTCAGTGGGGTTCACAGGAGGCCCTGCATTCAGGGGGTTACTGGGCCCTCCTTCAGCTGTTAATAAAACTGACTTTTGGCTCATAGAGCTTGGAGTATGCGTCCATTTGTATGAACCTCCAGGGAAAGCAGGGTGAGGGCTTGTGTTCCCTAGACTCCTGGCAGTGAATGGCTCCTGGACAGCTTTGCTTGGTTGTTTCCCAGGTACTTCAAACTCAATCTGCCTAAAGATGAGTTCCCCCTCACTCCTGCTTCTCCTGTGTTTCCCATCTTGGGGATTGACCTTAGTGTTCTTGTGGTAGCCCTGGCTGAAATTATGGATGTTGGAGCATGGGAGGCCCTTTGTGAACTTACTTTTGGGTCTTTCTCACCATTCCCACACATTGCTCTTTTAGCCCAGGCCTCAGCTGAGACATCACCTGCTCCTGAGTCTTTGCCGACCCATGAGACTGGGTGCTTCTGTATTCCCCATACTTGCCCTCCACAGTCCACTGAAGCAAGTTGGCTTTGTCACTTCCCTGTTGCTCCCACTAGACTTCAAGCTTCTCTTAAGCAGGATCTGTATCTTGTTCATCCTTGAGTGCCAGTGCTAGCACAGGGCCTGCCTGTAGTAGCTGCTTAATAAATATGTCTTGAATGAGTAACACTCAGGCCTGAGAATACCTGAGACTGTATGGCATAGTGGTTATAAGCTTAGCTTTGGAAATCAAGGCCTGTGTTCAGACTCTGCTATTTGTGTGATTTTGGGTGAGTTCCTTAACTTCTTGATCTTCAATTTCTTCACCAATAAGATGGGGATAATAACTACTTCCTAGGGCTGTGATGATGAATTGCAATGATCCATGCAAAGCCCTTTGATCAATGTATGACACATAGTAAGTGTTGTGTGCATCATAGTACCTATTAGTAACAACAACAACAATATAGTTATCGTTAATGGAAGGGAGAAAGCTATAAGAACTAGTTGGAACTAGAAGTCAGGAATATTGAGTGCTTGCATAGTGGATTTAGAGGAGATGGGGAATTGCTTGGGATAAAATGTAGGAACAGATGGGATTACCCTGGGAGAGAATGAACAGGGAGGGAAAAATGGGTGGAGCAACTAAAGACAGAACCTTGAGAAATCCTACATTTGAGGGATAAGAGGAGTCAAAACAGGAAAAAGAGTGAATGACTACAGTTAGGAGATTGCAGCTTCTCAGATGCCAGGGGCAGGAGTTTAAAAAAGATAGTCAAAGGTGCTATACTGGGCAGAAGATCAATGAGGAGAAGACGAGAAGAGGTAGCCATAACGTGTTAAATGGGGGTATGTTAGCGCCCTTGGGAACTAGCCATTTCAGTGGAGTCAGAGGAAGAAGCCATGCTCTGAAGGAGGTTAGAGAAGGCCACGTTAGGGATGAAGTGGGCATACTAAGTCAGTTTGTTGTGCTACAATGTGTGTTTCTGTAATGAGGATTATCTGTGGGTCAGTAGATGACTGGTGTCAGTATGATGTAGAAGTCACATTGGTTCATATGTAGGGTTCATTCTCAGCACATGAATGTTTTGGCATCACTGGCTACTAGTGGCTGAAAGCAGACTAACACACCTGAAGGCAGAAGACTGGGGGAAATGGGGGACATAGAGAGCTGCTCATGAGGCGCAGTCACCCTGTGTTCTTCCACTTGACTGATTGGCACCCACTCTGTCTTGAAGTGCTTTGGGGACATTCCTTGCCAATCTTGGTGAGTTTAGTCACTGATTCCATTCCACTCAGCACCCTTGACCCTTCTGATAACTCCTTCGACCACAGTCCCCCTTCCTTTTTTAAGAAGGGCCATATTTACTAGAGTTTTTTTTTTTTTTTTTCCCAAACTGTGTCCAGGTTTATTAAAGATACTTTTTGTGAACAGTCATGGTATTTCAGGCAGGACATGAGCGACAATCATTAACAGTATACAACTTTCAGACTCCCTCCTTCAATGGACTTCCAAAATCAGAAAGCCATGGTAAAACCCAATGAAGTCTTCATTTGGTACCCTGAAGAGGGAAAGTTCAGAGTGAGGGTTGACATTTCACATTCAACGTGCTGTTTAACAACTTTTCATGAGCTGACCCTGACTTTCAGGAAATGAAATGAAAATGGCAGAATTTATCTGAAGATCCACAATCTAGAAACAGAGCACGTGTCTTTCAAGGGTTCTCGCTGGAAAGTCCAGATTGCCAGCCTGACTGGTAACCAGTTATTGGGGGCCAGACCCCAACAGGTATCTGGGTTTGAGGGAGTTAAGTGTATACTGAAGGCAGAGAGGGAGAGGGGGAAATAAAGAGGAATTTGTTTCTCCACACCACAAGGCCTTTGTGCGAAGGTGACTGTGTGTGTCAACGTCAGACAGTCCCTCTTTCTGGGAGCCAAGAAGATGTCTTTAAAACTAGAAGGGAAAGGTGTTTTCTCCACATCAGTCCAGCTTCATAGACATTCTTTTTCTTTTTTTTCTTTCCTGAGACGAAGTCTTGCTCTTGTTGCCCAGGTTGGAGTGCAGTGGCACGATCTTGGCTCACTGCAGCCTCCGCCTCCCGGCTTCAAGTGATTCTCTTGCCTCAGCCTCCTGAGTAGCTGGGATTACAGGAACCCATCATCACGCCTGGCTAGTTTTTGTACTTTTAGTAGAGACGGGGTTTCGCCATGTTGGTCGGGCTGGTCTCAAACTCCTGACCTCAGGTGATCCGCCTGCTTCGGCCTCCCAAAGTGCTGGGATTACAGGCATGAGCCACGGTGCCTGGCCTCAGAGACATTCTATTAGTGACATATACCCCTTCTCCATAAAACAACAATGACGTGTTCCGTGTGCTAACAACATGGCTTAAAATAAAGGCATAAAAACAATTCTGCATTTTTATAAAACTTAATAAAAAAATAATACTTCAAACTGCACAGTCACCAGAAATACACAGTTATCAAAAATGCACACACTTCCCTTGGCATCCCCAGCGCCTTCAACTTTCTGTGCCTGCTCTGTTTTGGCCTCTGCATTTTCTGCAGAGTTATTCCCCTCCTTGCCAGCATGGGCTTTTTCCTTTTTCCCCTTTACCTTCTCTCCCTTCTTTGCAGGGGCCTCTTTAGGCTTGGGCTTCGGAGGAGCAGGTTTGGCAGACAACCTTGCAGATCTTCTCTGTGGTTTGTCCTTACTTTGGTTTTATCTCCTTTAGCGTCCCCTTCAGCCTTTCTCTTGGGCATGGTGGAGGCGACTGCAGTGGAATGTAGGTGCTGGATCTGGGGATGCAGCAGTGCGTGGGCTTTGGTTGGCCTGGGGGATAGTTCTTACCTCTTCTTCTTCACACTGCTCATAGAGTATTTCTTTATTAGAAATTTAACATTTAAAAAATTCAGTGTTTTTAATGATGTTGATTGTTTTTGTTGGTGCTCAAGTTAAAATCTTTGTTTTCAACCCTGTTTTTCCGATAAGCCTTGTTACTTTTAGAGTTTGTTGTTGCGAAGCATTAGTTTTTTAGCAATACATATGTTCAATTACAGAAGAAATTCCCATGATTCCTTTTCCTAAGGTTGAACAATCTGGGAAGGAGGGATGGGAAGGTTAATAGCAGCATCTATGGGAGGTTTTTCCCAAGGATCAGCAGACTTAAGCATTCTTGGCTGCAACTTGGCCTAAATCAGTTTTCCCTTGGTGACTATCTTCCTAAGTGCTCTTTATTGTATATTTAGGTGATTGTGGTTTTGCATTTCTGTCCTCTCTCTGATCTCTTGCTACAGTCTGAACAAGTGTCGGAGGCCGAGTTACTCCCACAGCTGAGCAGAGCCCCATCCCAGGCTGCAGAAAGTAGTCCAGCAAAGAAGGTAAGGTCAGCCTGAGGATGCTGTCAGATGGCGTTGCGAGTCCCACCCCGGGCTTCTTATCTCTATTAGCTGATCTATTGTTTTAAGGTTTCTGTGTCCTGAAATGAATGTCAATGATCCAGATTTCCTAGAATGTGGGTTCTTTGTGAAGATTGGGGTCCTGAAGATTCCTGGGCTTGACCCTTGATGCATTTTGTACATGACAGTACATACTCAACCTCCTTAGCCCCCCAGCTAAACATGGTGGCCTTGTTTATGGCAAGAGCTAAAAGGGCTGTGGGGAGGGACAGATGTCTTTAGCAAAACCCCATCCACCTGCTAAGCCTCTGTGAATACCTCTTGGGGTGGGGTAGTCTCTCCTTTTTGGTCTTTGTACCATGGTTTCCTCTTGCATCGTGGCATTTTCACCTGGCATCTGCCCAGCCATGCCATTGGGTCACCTGTAATTTGCTCAGTAAGTACCCCTCACTCATCATGCTCTCCATTCATCTCCTCACCCTCTTCTTGTCCTTCTCCCAGGCTCTTCTTTCAGAGAGAGTGGGCCTTGGGCTCAGGAGCACAGGTGAGGTAGAGTCCTCCAAAGAAGCAGACCAACTGTGTCCTTCCAGAATACACTGTGGCTCTTTTTCTTGACTTTATGTAGGAATTGGGGATAGGAGAATGATGAGCATATGACTAAGACCTTTAAAAACTTCCAAAGCTTAGGTTTTTTTTTGTTTTTGTTTTTGTTTTTTTTTCCTGAGACAGAGTCTCGCTTTGTTGCCCAGGCTGGAGTGCAGTGGCGCGATCTCGGCTCACTGCAAGCTCCCAGGTTCACGCCATTCTCCTGCCTCAGCCTTCCGAGTAGCTGGGACTACAGGCATCTTCCAGCAGGCCGGCTAATTTTTTGTATTTTTAGTAGAGACGGGGTTTCACCGTGTTAGCCAGGATGGTCTCGATCTCCTGACCTCGTGATCCGACCGTCTCGGCCTCCCAAAGTGCTGGGATTACAGGCATGAGCCACTGCGCCCGGCCAAAATTTAGGTTTAAAAGGCTTCAAAGTGAGGCAGGAGCCTATCTTGTCTTCAGTTAGGAAAGGCCCCATGGTGTGAGATGCACACAGGGTCTGTGTGAGTTTCAGGTGACAAGAAGTAATAGACTTCTTGAAACATTTAAAAAGAAAAAGAAAAAAGGGAAGACCACTGGACTCTGATGCCTGTGTCCCCCCAGTTCTTGCTGAGCCATGGGTCAGTAAATAGAGTACCCTCCTGATCTTGGGGTTGGGGCTAAAGGCATGTGGGACACTGGAAGGAAGAGTGGAGGGAACATTGAAATGTTTAACTTTTTAATTTTTATTTTGTTTTAAATCCACAGGATGTACTGTATTCTCAGCCACCATCAAAGCCCATTCGTAGGAAATTCAGACCAGAAAACCAAGCTACAGAAAACCAAGAGCCTTCCACTGCTGCAAGTGGGCCAGCTTCTGCGGCAACCATGAAACCGCATCCAACAGTCCAAAAGTAAGTAGACCACATAAACAAGAGTGAGGTAGGAATCTCGCTCTGAGATGTCGACGGATATGTAAATGTGTTGACATTTACGTGCGCACCAACAGAAGGATTTCATGGTTGTAAGTTTATCTTGCTCATCTCTGTGATGGGATTCAAGTCTCCCAGTCACATAGAAGGCTTTATAAGCTATAGGACTTAACCTGACCTAAAGGGGCAGGCGAGTCCTAGGCTGTGGTGTTTGGTTTGGTTTGATTTCTTTCCCTTCCTCTCACCTTCTGTTGTTTCCTACTCCTCTTCCTTGTGAGGGCCCAAATTTTCCTGGCAAGATGAAAGTATTGTAAGTGGCAATTTTGCCTCTCTGCCTGTGTTATCTCCTTTTCCTTCAGGGCAAATGGCTAGCTCCTTCACCCACAGACACACTTTCAGTAGGTGTGGTATGTGATTCTTTTAAAATCTCCGTAAAGAGTTTCTGTTGTTGGTCGCCTCAGCACAGAATGGATACATGCAGAACTTCCATTATATTTATCTAACCAGCTGGAACAGGTATTGGAGGGAGGGTGAAGACACCTGTGGACATGGCCAGGGACTGAGACAATGATGCTCTGGACAAACTATCCTTCTCTGTAAAACTTTGGCTTTGAGAAGAGCCATCACTTGCTTCAATTTCTTTGTAGTGAAATTGAGGGAGGTGTTGAGGACAGAAACCTGCTCCTGTCACTTGACTGCAAGTGAGCCTGACCGGTCACTAACATAAATGCTCAAGACCCATCATGACCCTGCTTTTGGGGTCTTGCAGGTCTCAGATGCTGCTGCAGATTTTCTTCTGCTTACACGTTGTAGAATGAAAAGCAGCAGGTTCTGTGGGAGATGTTAGCAACTTGTCTTTGAAGCCAAAGTCCCATTCTGAATCTCTGCAGCCCTCTCCTTCAGAAGATTTTCTTTTTTTCAAATGGACAGGTCCCTGGTGGTATCAGTCCATAAAGGAAGTATATTTTGTTCATCACATTCACCGAGAACTTTGACCATCTTCCAGCCCCTGTTAAGCCTGGAAGGTGAAGAATCCCTATCAGGGACAAAGATGGCTCAATTTTCTTCCATGTTCTACCCCAGCACTCCACTTTAATTTCAGCTTTATGTTCATTTTAGTCAGCAGTGGCTTAACAGTCTCCAGAGTAGATGTCAGGGCATCTGGTGGAGTTCATACAGAGATCTTTTCTTTTTCTCTTTTTTATAACAGCTTTATTGCAATATAATTCACATAGCATACAGTTCATGTTTTTAAATGTACAATTCAGTGGTTCTTAGTTTATTCACAAAGTCATGCAACCATCACCACAATCTAACTTTTGTCATGCCTAAAATAATATATATCCACGCCCATTAGCAATCACTCCCCATTCTCTCCTTCCCCCTCAGCCCCTGGCAACCACGAATCTCCTTTCTGTCTCCATGGCTTTGCATATTCTTGTCATTTCACATAAATGGAATAATGAAACGTGGTCTTTTGTGACTGGCTTCTTTCACTTAGCATAATATTTTCAAGGTTTATCCAAGTTGTAGCATAAATCTGAACTTATCTTTTTATGGCTGAATAATATTCCATTGTATGGATAGACCACATTTTATTCATCCATTCATCAGTCAATGGACATTTTGGTTATTTCTGCTTTTTTGGCTCTTAAGAGTAATGCCACTATACTGTTTGTGTACATGTTTTTGTGTGGACTTACATTTTCATTTCTCTTGGGTCTGTACCTAGGAGTGGAATTGCTAGGTCATGTGGTAACTCTGTCTTTAATATTTCGAAGAACTACCACACTTTTCATAGTGGCTGCACCATTTTATGTTCCCGTTGGCAACGTATGAGGGTTCCAATTTCTCCATTTTGTCAACACTTATCTTTTTTTTTTATTATAGCCATCCTAGTGAGTGTGAAGTGTGATCTCATGGTTTTGATTTGCATTTCTTTTGTGGCTAACGACATTGATCATCTTTTCATGTGCCTATTGGCCATTTGTTTATCTTCTTTGGAGAAATGTGTATTCACACCCTTTGCCCACTTTTAATTGGATTATTAATCTTTTTACTTTTGAGTTATGAATTCTTTATATATTCTGGATACAACTCCCTTGTTAGATATATGAGAAAATTGAGCCCTCTTTGTAAATATTTTCTCTCATTCTGTGGGCTGTCTTTTCACTTTCTATTTTTTATTTTTATTTTTTAGAGACAAAGTCTCACTCTGTCACCCAGGCTGGGGTGCAGTAGCATGATCATGGCTCATTGTAGCCTCGAATTCCTGGGCTCAAGTGATCCTTTCCCCCTCAGCCTCCTGAGTAGCTGGAACTACAGGCATGAGCCACCATTCCCAGCCAATTTCATTTTATTTTTTATAGTGATGGAGTCTTACTATGTTGCCCAGTCTGGTCTCAAACTCCTGGCCTCAAGTGATCATCCTGCCTCAACCTCTCAAAGTGCTGGGATTACAGGCCTGAGCCACTGCACCCAGCCAATTATCAATATTAATCAGATCTGTACAGTGGTCACAGTCCATTCTAGTTCAGTTGCTCTTTTCTAGAACCTATCTCCCAGTAATGGCACATATGGCTGTTTTTCTAGGAGAACATCAGTTGCTCTTTTGCTCTAAGAATTCGGTGTTTCTTGCTGTGGGATGAAAGGTTGTAGATTATCCCTGTGGTAACTGCACTGATTTATCATCCCAACCATGGACGGTTTTGAAAAGTAAAGAGAGTGCTAATGTACTTATGCTGGACAGACAGTTTTAAATGGAGACTGTAATGGGCGCAGTAGGATGCGTGGTCACTCTGGTTATGCGTGTTCTGTGAATTTGTTGTTAATTGGGAAATACTGGTATTAAAACGTTCTGTATTTTTCTCAAGAGCCACAGATATATGCTGGTCCATGCACATACACGAGTGCACATTTATGCACACACACACATATACTTAGGCATTCATGCCTAATAATACATAAGGTAGAGGTAGGTAGTCTGGCTAAGTTAATGTAGAATTTTTGCTAAAAATAATGTTCTTGTATTATTTTCCTTCAGACTTGTTCACAGGGGACACCTGCAGGTCTTCTAAGTGCTATTAATTCTTACACAAAAAGGGCATTCCAGTTAATATGGTTTGTCAGGAAGAAATACTTATTAAAATGTCTTGGAATAAATGGAACACAAATGTTTGAAAAGGCCCATTTCACAGCTTTTATTCAAGTTATAAAATGGGAATTACTTCAGGTGTAAATAATTCATCCCAATAAATTTGTTTCATTTGGTGTCTATCTTCCTGACCGCCTGTGAATATGAGATTTTATTTTTGGAGCCCTGTGTTGTTAACCACTTGTTAGTTTAACACCTCTCATGAATCAGAGTTCTGACCCTCAAGGGTCCAGACCTCTAAGTCCTTTTTCACTGAAGTGTTTGTGCTTTTCTATAGGCAGTCTTCCAAACAGAAGAAGGCCATTCAAACTGCTATCCGCAAAAATAAAGAGGCAAACGCAGTGCTGGCTCGGCTGAACAGTGAGCTCCAGCAGCAGCTCAAGGTAAGGAATGAGTCCCAGATTTGGATGACCAGGCTTTTCCCTGGCTTTTAAAAAGCTTTTTTTTAATTTAATAGGCATATAATAATTGTACATATTTATAGGGTGGGGTACATAGTGATGTCTCCATACCTATCATGTACAGTGATCTGATGTGTCCATTGGCTGACCATTTAGTTCCATCCCTGTTGATAAGACTTGCCTCTTCGTTCTCAAACCCTTTTTGGAAGGTGGAGAATTACTGTATTTAAGTTTCATGGGTTGGTTCTTGCATAGTCAGAGGAAGACTAGTGACTTTAATATGTAGGCTTCATATTGTGTATGAGTTAAAAGGAAAGACAATCTATTACGAAGGCTGTTTGAAGCATTCTTTATTATCCAAAGCTTCTGGGTAAGCCCTTAATTATTTACATCCTCTCTGAAAGAGGATGTAAATACTTATTTCAGTAGAAGGAAGTCACCTTGGTACTATCAAAGCCCAGCCCCTCCTCTGGTGCCTTGCAAATGGTTCCATTTCACCTTCTCAATGACATCACCCCTGTTTCTCTTCATCGTTACTCTCCCCTGTGTTAGTTTCTCGGGGCTGCTATAACAAAATACTACAAATGTGGTGGCTTAAGATAACCAAAAATGATTCTCTCACAGCTCTGGAGGCTAGAACTCTGAAATCAAGATATTGGCAGAGCTATGATCTCTTTGAAGGCTCTAGAAGATGATCCTTCCTTACCTCTTCCCAGCTTCTGATGTTGCTGGCAGCCCTGGGCATTCCTTGGCTTGTAGCTGCGTCACTCCAATCTCTGCCTCTGTTGTCACATGGCCTTCTTCCTGTATCTCTCTGTGTCTGTGTCCAAATTTCTCTTCTTATTGTATCCTCTTATAAGGACACCAATCATTGGATTAGGACCCACCCTAATCTAGCATGACCTCATCTTAACTTGATTACATCTGCAAAGAACCTATTTGCATATAAGGTCACATTTACAGATACTGGGGGTTAGGACTTAAACATATATTTTGAGAGGACATGATTCTACCCACTATATCCCCCAGTTCTCTACTGGATCATTCGCCATCCACATGTAAATATGCTCCAGTATTGTCCATTACACTTGGCCAATTACTGCCTCATTTCTTTGGTCCCCTTCACAGCAAAGTTTCTTAGGAGTGGTTTTATTCATTATCTTTACTTTCAAACCAGTAATTTTCTCTTCCTTCCACTTCAGTTGGCTTCGTCCTCCTCCACTCACACCCGTCTTGTGGCTAAATCCAATAGGGCTGTTTTAATATTATTATTTTTTTTTCAGAAGAATTCTACACAATTGATCATTTCCTCCTCTGAAATGGCTTTTATAACTGGTTTTTGACATACCATACTCTCCTGGTTTTCCTTCTGCTTCACTGGTGCTTCCCATTTTCATTCTCTGCTGTCTCTTCCTTCCCTGACTTAACTTTTATACCCCAACCCCATTTGCCCCAATATTTTAGTATGAAAATTTTCAAACATACAGGAAAGTTGAAAGAATCATAAGTGACTGCTTGTATAGACATCACTTCAGTTCTACAATAACATTTTACTATACTTATTTTTAATCACATATCTACCCATTTATCCTTGTGTCCATCAGTTCATCTTATTTTTGACATATTTTCAAATAAATTGCAGATATCTGTATACTTTCCCTGAATATTTTAGCATGCGTATAATTAGCTAGAGTTCAATATATTTTTACAGTTTTTTCTTATGATGTAAAATGTTTATACAAAATGCATGCACAAATATTATTATTATTATTATTATTATTATTATTATTATTATTATTATTATTATTTGAGATGGAGTCTCGCTCTGTCGCCCACGCTGGAGTGCGGTGGCGTGATCTCTGCTCACTGCAAGCTCCGCCTCCTGGGTTCACACCATTCTTCTGGCTTAGCCTCCTGAGTAGCTGGGACTACAGGCGCCTGCCACCACGCCCGGCCAACTTTTTGTATTTTTAGTAGAGGTGGGGTTTCACTGTGTTAGCCAGGTTGGTCTCGATTTCCTGACCTTGTGATCTGCCCGCCTAGGTCTCCCAGAGTGCTGGGATTACAGGCGTGAGCCACCGCGCCAGCGCACGCACAAACCTTAAGTGTACATTTGCTGAGTTTGTAACAAGTACATGTACTTACGGAATCCAAACCCCCAAAAAGATAGAGAATATTACCATCACCCCAGGAAGCTCCCTCATGCTTTTTCCTAGTCAATTCCTGCCCTACCCACACAGAGGCAATCACTATTCTAATTTTTATACCATAGTTTTGCCTGTTCTATAACTTTATATAAGCGGTGTCTTACAACTTATACTTCTTGTAAAGCTTCTTTCACTAAGTATTATGTTTTTGAGATTCATTTATATTGTTGTGTGTATCAGTAATTCATTCATTTTTATTGATGAGTAGTATCCCATTGGGTGAATATGTTACAGTTTGGTTATCAATTCTATTGACAGACACCTGAGCGGTTTCCAGTTTTTGGCAATTTGGAATAAAACTGCATTTTTTAATAAGTCTCTGTATGGAAATATGTTCTCATTTCTCTTGGATTGGGATTCGTAGGTATCATGGTAAGTGTATGTGATTAGTTTCTGAGAAACTGCTAGATCATTTTCCAAGGTGGTTGTAGCAATCTGTACTCCTACCACTAATGTATGAGAGTTCCAATTGTTCCGCGTCTTTGCCAACATTTGGTGTTATGATTCTTATTAATTTTAGCTAGCCCTGTAGTGATATAGTTTTTATCATCTCCTTGCTGACTAATTATGTTGTCCACTTTTCTTTGTGATTATTTACCTTTCATATCTTACTTTATGAAATATCTTTTCAAATGTTATTTTTCTCCAAAGTAGTCTATAGATTTATTACAAAACCAATAAAAATCCCAGCAGGATTTTTTGTGAGTATAGACAAGCTAATCCCAAAACTTATATGTAAAGGCCAAGGAGCTGGAATTGCTTAAACAAATTTGAAAAGGAAGAACAAAGTTGGAGGAATCACTTTACTGTCAAGCTCCAGTAATCAAGATGCTGATGCACAGGTCAGTGGAATAGGATACAGAGTCCTGAAATAGACCACATGAAAACAGCCATTTGATCTTTGACAAAGGTGCAAAATCGATTCAATGAGAAATAATAGTTTTCAACAAATTGTTTTATAACAATTTGTCATTTGCATTTAAAAAAATAACCTTGATCTAAGCCTCACATCTATACAGAGATTAACTTGAAATGAGTCATAGATGTAAATGTAAAACATAGAGCTATAAAATTTTTAGAAGAAAACAGAAAAATCTTCATGATCTGGAGTTAGAAATAACACCAAAAGCACAATCTATAACAGAGAAAAACTAAAAAAATTGGACTTCATCAAAATTAAAACCTTTTATTTTGCCAAGCACAGTTAAGAAAATTAAGAGACAAGCTGCTGAGTGGGAGAAAGTATTTGCAAAACACGTATTTGATAAAAGACTTATATCTCAATTATATAAAGAACTCTTAAAACTCAATAATAAGAACTCTCAAAACCAAAGCATCTCAATTTAAAAATGGGCAAAGGATTTGAACAGACACTTCACTAAAGAATATATAAAGATGGCAAATAAGTACATGAGAAGATATTCAACATCATTAGCCATTTGGGAAATGCAAATTTAAACCACAATTACATACCACTATACACATACTAGAATTGCTAAAACAAAAAATGTGACATCACCAAGTGCTGGCAATTAGAACTCTCATTTATTGGTGGTGGGAATGCAGAATGGTACCACCACTCTGAAAAATCGTTCAGCAGTTTCCTATGAAGTTATACATACACTAACCATGTGACCCAGCTGTCTCTCTACCTTAGTGAAATGAAAATTTATGTTCGCTCAAAAATCTATATATGAACTTACATAGCAGTTTTATTCATGATAGCCCAAACCTGGAAACAACACAAATGTCCTTCAAAAGATGAATGAATAAATTGGGATACATTCATACAATGGAATAGTACTCAACAGAGAAAAGAAATGATACACAACTTGGATGAAACTCAGACATTATGCAGAGTGAGACAAGCCAGTATCAAAAGGTTGTGTACTGTATGATTCCTTTTATTTGACATTCTTGAAAAGGTAAAACTATAGTGATGTGAAACAAATCAGTGGCTATCAGGGGTTATGCATGAGATGAGAGTTTGTATGAGTAGTCCCAGGGAACTTTTGGGGTTGGTTGAACTGTAATGTGTCTTCTTTGTGGTGGTGGTTACACAAATCTGTACACTAAAAGAAAAAAATTGTTTTACCCTATGATAATTTTAAAAAGTTATTTTTTAAATTTCAAAGTTCATTCTGTTTTCTAAAACTTTGTATGTGAACTTGTTTTGTTTTGCATTTTGTTTGGTTTTGGTTTTCTCCTCTCTCCCTCTGCTTTGGGGTAGGCCAGTTTCATCCATTGTTCTCTACATTTGGTGGGCCCTTTTGGAAACTGATATTCCCCAGTTCTGAAGGGTTTTTTATTTTCATTTTTGTTGTCGTTGATTATTTCCTCCCCCCTGCCCTCACCCCCATTTTTTTCTCATTCTCCCTTACTGATATTCAGACATTGGACTTCTTAGCTTAGTTCTCTAATTTTCTCATATTTTCTCTTCTGTTTTCTTTCTTTTCTCTTCCTACATTTTCTTCTTTATTTTTGTCTATTTCTGGAAACTTAATTATATATTCTAAATCTTCTGTTGTTTAATAACCAATAATTTTTTGTTCTCTGTTTATTTTTGACGGTATCCTATTCTTGTTTCATTGTTGTGATCTTTTTTTTAATTATACTTTAAGTTCTGGGAAACATGTGCAGAACTCGTTGTGATCTTTTTTTATGGTCATTTTTCTTTCTTCTTCCTGAATAGTTTGTGTTTGTTGTGTTGTGTTGTATGTGCTTTATCTTAGATGCTTTCCTTTGATATCTGATGGCCCTTCTTTGCTCATATTTAAAAGGAAGATGAAAACACTGATTAGAAGTTCATTGTACGTTGTAAGGCTTGTCAACTCTGAGCTTCACTGTCTGGCAATTTGGCTCGGCTGTATAGTTGGGGAACCCCCAAAGGGAGTATGATTAGCTCTTTCCTCTTGGTCTGGTTGGAGTGTCCAGAGTGGAGACTGTTTTGGTCACCTACATGGAGGGATAGAGTTGGTTCAGTGGAGCAAGAGGGCTGTAGGTCTCAGCATTCCAGGATATTCATTCACTCTCCCTATTTCTGGCCCAGTATCTTGTCCTCAACTGTGCTTGTTTCTTGCTAATCCAGATGCTCTCTGTTGTACCTTTTCAAGAAATAAACCTTCAGCATTCTGCCCTGGTGGCAGGAATGATCTGGGGATCTAATTGCTTCTGAAACAGATTTTCAGCCAACACTTATTTTAGCCAACTCCCATCTCCCCTTATGTACTCCCACTTTAATAGGTATCTGGTGTTGCCAATTTGAGTCTTTCAGGAATTCTCCTACGTAAAATCAAGTTGGTTCTTATTTTTCTTCATGTTAGCCTGGGACTCAGCTTTCTTTACTTGATCTGTATGAGTGGAAAAGTTCTAAGTCTAGTGAACAGAAGTCTGAAGAATCATTGAAACAGAACTATAGTCATAGCCCCTCAATTAATTCCCAGGCTAAGCCAGTTTATAGATCCAGAACCTCTTGAATGATGAAGGGGCATCTATGTCTCCTTAAGGAAGGACCCCACTGTGCAGCCAAAAATTTACACTGCAAATCTTTCTCCTAGCCTTTCCTAAGGGGGACCCTGCTGCCATTTACCAGGGTGACTGTGCATTAGAGGAAGGGAAATAATTAGACTTTTGGGGAATTACCAGACACTGGCTCTGAACTCACACTAATTCCAGGAGATGCAAAGTGTCACTGTGGCCCATCAGAGTTGGGGCTTAGGGAGATCAGGTGATCAATGGAGTTTTAGCTTATGTTCGTCTCACAGTGGACCCAGTGGACTCCCAAACTCACCCTATGGTTATTTCCCTAGCTCTGGAATGGCATGCTTGGAATAGACATACTCAGCAGCTGGCAGAATTCCCACATTTATTTTCCTGGATTTCCTAAGTCATTTACCATTCACCAGTTTGCCACTCAGCTTTCAAATTTTATTGCTATCATCTTGTCCCTTTTGTTTTCCCTGTCTTGTGGGTCCGTGACTTTGAAAAGTTGCTGTATTGTTTTAGTGGTGCTCCAGGAGGGAGAGAGTGTGGTACCCCTGGTCAGTCTTCCATCTTTACCTGAAACCTCTATCTATACTGTTTTGCTAGATGATGTTATATGGTCTCATGGCTTTGAAGACCATCCATAAACTAATGAAACCTAATTTATGTCTCAAGCCCTACTTCTCCTTTCCTCTGTGCTCTAGACTTGCATATATAACTTCTTACTCAATGTTTTCTCCTTAGATATCCAATACACATCTCAGATAATTAATTGCCAACCCTCTCCTTGAAATACTCATTTCTTATCTAATCTTCTCATTCTCAATATCACTACCAGCCAGCTACTTTCTTCATACAAAAATCCCAGGAGTCATCCTCAGATTTTTCTTCTCTCCTACATCAACTTTATCAGCAAGTCCTACCAGTTCTAGATTCAAGATTTATCTAGAATTCATCCACTTCTCTTCATCTTCATGGCTTCTACCCTGACGGAAGCCATTTTCATTTCTCACCTGGGTCCCTGCAGTAACCTCCCAGTTGCTCCCCTGCTTCCACTCTCATCCTGCTATAATCTACTGTCTACACAGTAGCCAGAGTGAAAATTTTGAATTTTAAGTTGGGTCATGTTCCTTCCCTGATTAGAAACACTCAATGCCAGGCCGGGTGCAGTGGCCCACGCCTGTAATCCCAGCACTTTGGGAGGCCGAGGTGGGCAGATCACGAGGTCAGGAGATCGAGACCATCCTGGCTAACGTGGTGAAACCCCGTTTCTACTAAAAATACAGAAAATTAGCCGGGCGTGGTGGCGGGCGCCTGTAGTCCCAGCTACTTGGGAGGCTGAGGCAGGAGAATGGCGTGAACCTGGGAGGCGGAGCTTGCAGTGAGCCGAGATCGCGCCATTGCACTCCAGCCTGGGCGACAGAGTGAGACTCTGTCTCAGAAAAAAAAAAAAAAAGAAAGAAAGAAACCCTCAATGCCATCCCCGCTACATTTCCATACTATTTCCTCTGCCCACAAGGCCCTGTACGATCTGGCTCCTTGCTTAAATCTCTGACTTCATTTCCTGCCAATGTCTTCCTTGTTCCATCTACTCTGGTCACACAGGCTTTTTGTTCATCAAATTCACCAAACTCACTCGCTCCTCAGGGCCTTTGCAGTTGCCCTTTTGTCTCTGTGAATATCCTTCCCCCCATATCTTCATATGGCTCACTCCTCATTTCATTCAAGTCTTTGCTCAAGTATTGCTAACTCTGAGAAGCCTTCCCAGGGCACTCTCTCTCCTTTCTCCCATATCCCCCTCTGTTACTCTCTATTATGTTATCTTATTTCCTTCTGGAAGTATCTTGTTCATTAACTTTATTATCTTTCTCAAGTCATTTGAATATAAGCCCTATTGCTCTGATCTGGCATATTCTTTGCTGATACCATCACAGCTACAGCATTACCTCACCTGTAGGAGATAGAAACCAAGAGACTTCCGGCTGGGTGGCTAGGAGAGCATGTGAATAAATACTTGTGAAGTTGTATACTGACTATTAGTATGCTGATTCTTCTGAATCTCACAATTCAGCCTTTCTACAGGATTCTTTCCCACCTTGACTGATTCTACTTGAATACCTTTATGTGTCCCCTCTCTTCCTGCCAAAAAAATCCGTTTTAGGCCCGAAAGTTTGAATTCCCAAAGAGCAGATTGCTCAGCCTCTTTTCTGCCTTTCACCCAGATGTTGTACCTTACACCATATGTTGTGCAGAAACTTGGATGAGACTTTGGTGGAGGGGCAACTAGCGTACCTTTTTGGCCCTCAGACCTAACTGAGTATGGTGCGGGATTACGAGCCAGAGATTGCAACTAGAAATTTAAGTCCTGTTGGCTCACTGCTCAGTATTGGGAGTCTGTTTTTGCTTTCTGCTTTCTCCTAGTCTTTTAATTTTTAATGACTCTGTCTACCAGCTACTGATCTTGTCAAAACAGGCTAAAACTAGGGCAGGGTGGTAGAGGGGAGTAGGTCAGTTTCATTTCATCACGTTCAGAAAGGAGTTGAGAGATTACAAATTGTGAAGCCCCTTTTGTCTGGTCACCAGCATTAAATCTGATACCTCCCAGTCCTCCTGTTCTTGAGTTATACAGCACTTGTATTTGTGGGTCCAGTTATAAGTTTCCTTTTAAATCTGATGAAGTAGGGATGAATTCAAGAAATGACCCCTTTGCTTTTTTGTTTTTCTTGTGTTTTGTACAACTCAGGAGGTTCATCAAGAACGAATTGCATTGGAAAACCAATTGGAACAACTTCGTCCGGTCACTGTGTTGTGACCCCCCCATGGTTCAAGTGACAGTGGGTGACCTTGTCTGCCAAGATCTTTCTTTTGAATGTTTTGAACCCAACTACTTGTCATAGATGTTTGACTGTGTCAAAAGCTGTGAGCAGCAAAATATAATCCATATGACCTTTTCTCTTGCACTTCACTTGTATGTTTTACTGTGGTGGAAAAAATACTTCAACTGATTATCACACTTGAAATGCTAATTATCAGTGGAATTTGTCTCCTATTCTTAAGTACTTCTGCAAGGTATTAGATGCTGCTCCTTACCAAAAATCAGTCTTCTAGCAAATAAAAATAACTTAGAGCATTATTTATTTAAAGAATTTATGTTTTCTATAAAACCTTATAACCAAGAACCTTCAGGATGCTTGTAACCAAGTACTTTCAGGATGCTTTTTGTATGTATATCACATAGAGTAGGTTGGTTTCCTGAGTAATTGGGATTCCAACTAGATAGTCATTGGTGTGACCATAATAAAAACAAAAGCTAAAATAAAAGCATCAGATTTAGACTGGCGCTGTGCCCTCTACCACTATATGCCAAAAATTGCTTCTCTAGTGCCATTTTGATATTATATCTAGCTATAAATAATACATGACTATCGTTTTCTATTGAATGTCAAAGACTTACTGGGTCTTTACACCTCTGTAAAGTGGAGGTTTTGGCAATGAGCTGTTTAACTTGGCCAAGCTAGGCTGTCAACCCAGACAACTCAGTCCTTTCATGTAAATTTTTGGGCAAGAGAAGTCTGCTTTGACTGCCTTGCCTGACCAAATTAAATAAATAGTTGCCAGATCTCTACTTTTATCCTGCATGGGATAATATATCTGTAAATGCATGAGTTTGGAAACCACCCATCAAATATGAAAGGCTGATGAGACTGTTAGGATTGATAAACATTTGTTGTTTGAACCCAGCTATCCAAACTGGGGAAGAAGGGGAAATGGTTGTTACCAACAATCTCTAGTAGTTATTTTAATCTTTATTTTAACCTGGATTGCAAATGTATGGGGTATGAGGAGATAATGAAAGAAAAGTGGTCCTCATGCTGGATATGTGACTGTTTTGTTCTCTGTAAAGTGTATTCTTGGGAAGTGATTGGTTTATATCAGATTCAGAGGAGCCCAATTAACTCCAGTGTAGGTAATGTAAAACAGTAAGCTCAAATTGCAGAAGCCAGTATCCTACAGAAATTTAAGTAGCTACTGCTTCTCCTGAAAGCCCAAGTTGAAAATGGGACCACAGGGGCACAGGGCTACTGACCCTCACAGGGCATGCCAGCGTTAACACCACTTTGAGAGACCAATGGCAAGAAATGCTGTCTCTTGTGCATTTTACTAATTTCCCCATTCTTAGGGTAGCAGGGTGGGGGTGTATAGGGTCTTTTTGAAGCAGTTTTGGATAGGTTTGCAATATGTGGGATTCAGCCTTTGATTTCAATAGAGCTGAGAGCTTTTAGAACAAGCAGGCATTTATTTAATGTTTCCTTAGTCCATTGGCAAGCTTTATCAATAGCTTAATGGCAGAGGATAAAGGCTCAAACAGATGATGTTTTTTCCACAGAAAAACAAATTGTTGAATCTATTCCGTGCATATTTAAGGATTTTGAATTGATTTTGAAAATCATGAAACTTGAACTATTTTTCTATTCCCTTTTTTTCTTCCCCATTTGCTGCCTTTTTTGTTTTTGTGGGGGAAGGGTTGGGAGTAAGTTTAAACTCTTCCGAAGATTATGAATGGGTCAGCACAAATTTTTAGGCAACTGCTTTTTCCATGTTCTGAGATCTACGGGCTACAACAAATTTTATCAGCAGTGTTTTTTGTTTTTTTGAGATGGAGACTTGCTCTGTCGCCCAGGCTGGAGCGCAGTGGCGCAATCTCGGCTCACTGCAACCTCCACCTCCTGGGTTCAAGCAATTCTTGTGCCTCAGCCTCCCGAGTAGCTGGGATTACAGGCACCCACCACCACGCTCAGCTAATTTTTGTATTTTTAGTAGAGATGGGATTTTGTCATGTTGGCTAGGCTAGTCTCGAATTCCTGACCTCAAGTGATCCACCCGCCTTGGCCTCTCGAAGTGCTGGGATTACAGGCGTGAGCCACCCGCCCGGCTATCAGCACTGTTCTGATTGCAGACGTTTCACAGCATGTTTGGCTTTTGGTAAATTCAATCCAGGAAAGACTAGCATGTGCACTTTATCTCATAATCTTCCAGTACATATGCTCTCAGTTGGGATAGCAGTTCATTTCCATTAGGCAGACGTATAAACTAAGGAATGTTAGTCTGCAGTATTCATTTTAAAAATATTGACATGCTTTTCCCCTCCCCTCCATGAAGTCAGTGCCAGAGTGAGCCAGATTGGGAGGTTGGGGTTTTGTTTGGTTGGCTTGGTTTTCATTAAGGGAAAAAACTTGCATTGGACAATCAAATTCCCCTGAGTTTCATAATCTCATCAATATTTTAAGATAGGCGAGCACACACTAATAATATCTATGCCTACCTTCTTGGGTGGACTCAACTGTAACCACAGTTTATTAGTTGCTTAGAAGTGGATTTTTAAAAAACAGTTAAATGTGTGTGCATAACACACAAGTAATGACACACTACTATTATTATTACCTAAGTAGTGCTCATCCTCTCTTTCTGTGTTTTCTTAGGATGTGCACTTTAATTTAGGATTGTAACGCCTAATAATATTTCTGTGAGCCTTTAATGTGATTTATAAGATGGCCGAATTACTGAAATCACCATTATACCTCTTCCATAAAACGACTCCAAAGTTAGACCTGCCTGTTGGGGAGAATTCTATAGACAGAAGGTCAATGTTGTCCCCATCCATAGGGGTTGAATTACCTTGCTGTTAAGTGGTCTTCCCCCATTGGGATCCTACAGTCCCACAGATGAAAGCACAGTAGTAGCTGACAGCTGGCTTATTTGGTCCCTCGGCATCTCTCGTATGTGGCATATTGCTTTTGCCACTTTCCTATCCAGCAGACATCAAAGCAAAACTAAAAGGTAGATATCTGGAATGAATGTATATGTTGTAATTGAGGCAGATATTTGCCTTAATTGGAAGGATCTAACTGCTTTACAAATATTAAACAAGTGCTTGGGCATGATTGGGAGAGGAGGCAGCTTAGCTGGAAGCTGTGCCCATCTTACTGTCACTGGAGAATAGGATGTCAGAGCTGGGCAGGACTGGTACCCATCATTTGCAGTTTGCATGTGGGGAAACCAAAGCCCTAAGAAACAACAGTTCCTGGCCCAAAAAATCCATAGAAAGAGGTAACTAGTGGCAGATTTGGGGCGCCAACCTGATTTTATGGATTTTGAGTTAGATTCTCTACCCTCTATCAATACTAAAAATAGATTAGGAGGGTTTTTTTTTCTGTTTATCATGTTGAATTTCATTGACTTAATTAGTCTTTAAATTTGAAAACATGTTTTAGGGAGTTTAGTTCTAGAAATTTCTCTTAGATTGAAGTGACAGAATCTGAAAGAAAAGAATATGATTGAGCTATTTGTTTTCCTGAACACCTCACCTTTTATGATGCAATAAGTTACTCTGAGTTTCTTGGCAGAGTTTTTGACAGCTGTTGCTTTCAATGGATTCCATTCCTGTATTCCTTATGGGAGGTTGTTTTTAAAATAGACTACTGCGATTGAAATGAACTCAATATGTAGTTAAGTTATAGTTTTCTTCAATGTATTTTTAGTTACTTGGGTCACAAATGTTCAATTTCAGCATATTTTAGGGTGAGTAATCAAAAATGTGAATTTGCCTTTGATTTCCTACCACTGTCTGAGCTATCATAAAGCATTCTCTTTAGTTGTGATTTGATTCTATAGTCTGTTTCTAAATGACATTTGTCTGTTTCTTAAATGATCTCACAGCCATGGTAATAATAGATGTGTACTCAGAAGATCAATAAGGTAATATTGGAATTCATGTGTTTTTTGCAATTAAGGCAGGCATTTGCCAATGTCTTCTTTTAAGCAGTAGTTGGAAACATCTCAATTACAGTGTAACACCTTAGAGCTAAAAACATTTGTTCAACACAAACTAGAATCACACCTTCTCACTAGATATCACCAAGGGAATGTGGTTTTAAAAATAAAAAGAAAACAATATAACGTATCATGGCAACCAGAGCTTCCCATATTATTGACAAGTAGGGATCATTAGGTTCTGGTTTGAACATTCTGAATGTGAACAAAATGAAATAGTAGTTAAGAGGTGTTTTCCCACTGTGTTTAAAGAGAACACTAGTAATTCTGGTTTTTCTTTCTAACTGCTTTACTGTTTCAAGGGTATTCTTTTAAAACTCTGATTTCAAAGGATCAGTTGAATTTATACTTTAGTTATGGGTGTTTTGTTACTTTTTTTTTTTTTGTATCATGACTCAGTATGGTTCAATTTCCTAGTAAGAAGTGGGGATTTGTGTTTTTGGAGTCCTCAGCTCACATGTCTTGTTCCTCCTTCAGCACAAGCTAGGGGAGATCCTACCAACACTGATAGGTCAGTCATTGATGGCAATTTGAATGTGGGTATTACTCTGTGAGCCACCCTGCTTCGCTTGTTTGTAAGGAGAAATGCATCTGGTTATGTGAATTTCCCGAGAGCAGCAGACATGGAGGGCCAGACTTTAAAAGCAACGCAAGCAGATTCGAAGAGCTGTTGCCCTCTTCTAAAAAAGGCTTTTGGAGGCTGTGTTACATGCATGCCCTAAAGCAGTCAGTCTGTTAGTATGAGCAAGACATCTGAAGTACACAGTTGCTTTTAGGCTTGTATAGTTATTTTCTACACATGCCAACACACATGATGATAAAGGAACCTTTTCTAGGAGGCATTGCAGGGTTTCAATACACAGGACATGTTCTAGTTACAGAAGCCTTGCTCTGCTGTCAACAATTGGGAAATGCTCATTTTTTCATGTTTTGTGAATACTCTGGTCTTGCTGTAAGCTAATGTCATGGCTGTGGGATATTAGAGAAGTGGGTTTATGACTCTGAAGACCAGCAGACACCAGACTTTAAAAGTGCTTAAATTGGAATTTGGAAACTACAGTAAAGAAACCTTCAGATACCAGTTCCATCCTGAAGCCCTCTGTTGAACAACAGGGCCAGATCCTAAAGCTCTTTCAGGGAGCTCTTCTCTGGGGCTGGAACAGTTGATTATGCAACCCCATTGTGTGGAGATTGGATCAACTGAGTTGTGTTATTTTTGTTTTAAGTCACCTTGTGCGAGAACCTCAACCGCACCTATCTTGGGAACCGGGTATACCCTTTTCTTTAGCACTGCTATCCTTTTTGTCTTCAGCACAAATAAGATGTTCAAGTGAGCCAGAAGCAAGAAGAGCCATTTTAGTCTTCATAGCTATTGGCTAAGAGAGATAATGAGCTGATGGTCTATTTTAACCTTGAAAGTAAAAATGTATATTTTTTCACTACAAGTACATTGAACAGTAAAAAGTGTAACAGCAAAGTATATATTTGATGCCTTCTGTCTTTTCATGATAATGTGCTAACAAGTTGTGTTAATATTTTACTCAGCCAGAGTCTCATTCATTTGCTAAGCATTGGGAACATTATGTATATTGACCTTAAACATAGGTGTCCTATATTTGGATTGTGACTTGTAGACTCAAGCTAACCTTACTGCCTCTTTTTCACACTTGTTGAAAAGTCTGTGAAGAACATAGTTAAAGATCTCCAACTTTGGAAAATATACATGATGTGAAACTGGGGTGCTATGTTAAAAATAAATGTATGATAACTAAGTGTGGGTTTTATGGAGTCTTGGTGTCGATATATTGTGGTTTGCATTTGTTCTCATGTATTTAATGAAAATGATGGGAAAAGGAGTTGGGAGTCTTTCCAATTAAGTCAAAGTCTGAGATTTGGTTGCTTTTACCTCCTGGTGATCTGAGACAGGTTCTTAAATACCTGCACACAGTAAACACTTGGCAGTCATGGGATATCATGGCTGACTCACAGTGCATTTTAAAGATCTGCTAAATTGAAAACTTGGCTCAATGTGGGGCCAGGTTATTTGCTTTATCTTGTCAGTGTTCTTTTGTTCAAAAATATTCCCATCATGATGTCCTTAGCTGGAGTTGGGGTGATGGGGAAGGATCAGAAAGAGTTGGCTTGAAATCTCGACCAAGTAATCTGGCACCCTAGTTATAGTTTCTTACCTTTAAAATTTGAATAATTTGGGGAGGCACCTCTCCTATTGGGTGAGGGGTTTTATTCCATATTGTGAATGCAAATGGTGGGCTACAGATAGGATATTTCCAATCTAGTAGTCCCAAAGGACAAACTAACTCTGGAAGAATCATCTATCATTTGGCCCATAAGCTTGGACACTGGAGATCACCAGGCCCTGACCATTCCTAAGCATTGATGTGGATGACTGGGTCATTTACTTTAGAAATAAAAGGGATCTGAGATAATCTATGCAAGCGGTTCTCAAAGTGTGGTCCCCAGATCAGCAATATCAGCATCATCAGGGACTTATTAGAAATGCAAATTCTTGCCACCCCTGCCCTGCACCAACTGAATCAGGAACCCTGGTAGTGGGACCCAGCAATCCCTGTGTTCATAAGCCCTCTGGGTGATGCTGATGTACGCTAAAGCTGGAACTACTGACTAGCCAATCTCATTTTACAGTCAAAGAAACTGTGGTGCAGAAAGGCAAAACTGACTCATCCAGAGTCTCAGCTGATTCAGAGCAAAGGCTAATTGTGTTTCCAGGGCATAGTTTTTGCTGTGCTACATTTTCTATCCATGAATTTGTTCCTTCCCATGACCCTCCTTCCATCGATATTTATTTAATGTGTTCCTCCTGTTTAACTGCACTGTGTTAGGAGCTGGAGATGAGACTAACAAGACACAACTCCTTCCCCCAAGGAGCCCACAGTCCAGTGAGACAGAGACCTACAAATGCATTGCAGTGCAGAGTGGGATAGGTGCTATGTTGTATAAGGGTAGGACAACTGCTGTAACAAAGAACCCTGGGAATTCAATGAATCTCATTCACCTCACCATCCAGGGTGGATGCTTACAGTTGTCCTGTTTTCCTTGTGGTTGTTCAGGAACCCAGACTCCTTACATGTGTGGCACCGTTGTACCCTAGGGCTGGGGAGTTTCCTCCCTTTAGCCAATGGTTTGATAAAAGAGAGATGGTGGAGAAGATACAATTACCTTTCACTGAAGTAACACACATCACTTTTCTTCATTTGCTGGAATTCAATTATCTGACAAAAGTTAACCACAAGGGAGACCAGGAAATGTAGTCTAGCTGTGAGCTCCAGAGGAAAAAGTTTTGGTGAACACAGTATGTACCAGAAGACGCAAGGCCAGGTTGCTCTGAGAACACACAGGAGGGGTATTTAACTCAGATTATGAGGATTCAGGAAGGCTTCATGGAATAGTCTTAAAAGAGGGATAGGCATTTACTAGGAAGAAGAGGATATTCCAGGCAGAGAGAGCTGCATGTGCTAAGGTGGGATATGATAAGAACATGATATATTCTGGAACTGCAAAGAAATTCTCATGTGGATGTAATAGATGGTGTCTTAATTTGTTTTCTGTTGCTTATAACAGAATACCCAAAACTGGATAATTTATAAAGAAACGAAATTTGTTTCTTACAGTTATAGAGGCTGAGAAGTCCAAGGTCGAGGGGCCACATCTGGTGAGGGCATTCTTGCTGGTGGGACTCTCTGTAGAATCTCAAGGTGGCAGGCGATATCACATGGTGAGGGAGCTGAGTATGCTAGCTCAGGTCTCTCTGCTGCTGCTGCTTATAAAGCCACGAGTCCCAATCCCATGATAACCTGTTAATTCATGAATGGATTAATTCATTCATGAGGGCAGCCATCATGACCTAATTAACTCTCAAAGGCCCCACCCCTCAACACTGCCACTTTGGGGATTAAGTTTCAATGTGAGTTTTGCTGGGGACAAACATTCAAATTATAGCAGATGGATGTGGAATATGGAGCAGAGAAGGACGCAAAGGTAGGGCACAAGGCCAAATGGGAAGGCCTTGCATGAGAAGGCATAAACCACCCTGAGATTACAGCTCTTTTCAAGATTTAAGAAGTGCATGAAGTTGCTTACTTCATGAGTAGTCAAGGAATGATTTGTGTTCTCCCAAATTTTTCCTACTCCCTAGAAAGGAAATGTTTTACTGGAAGATTGTAAACTAATGTTTTAACGTGGACCAAACCTGCTAGTTTAATTTGTTATATATCTTCTGGCATGTGTTTGGGCAAAGGACCAAAGCCCAGAACACAAGTGACTAAACCCTGGTAAGCAGGAGTCCTAGTGAATGATGTGAGACTTTTTCCATCTTCAGCTCTTTTTGAAAGGGGAGATGTCATGGGCCCTGAGATGACTGAGAGGTGCAGGACTCCCTTTTTATCAAGAAGTCTATCAAAGGGCAGAAATAAAGAGTGTGGAAATGAAGCTGAAATATACAATTCCTTTTGAACAAGAGTGCTCTATGAGTTTATTAAACACTTTTGAAAAATTACCAAGCCTGCAGGAGAAAATGCTTCAAGTAGAGCATCTCCATGGCAAACTGTAACTTCAAAGAACCCTGCCGTATCGTTTTTCAAATGTGAAGTGTTCTGGAAGTGTGAACAAAAGTATTTCCAGACTCTGAGTGGTGTTTACCTCATTGCATTTTTCTTTCAAACATAGAGGGAAAAGGATCTTTATCTTTGGATATTAAATTATAACCCAGATATATTTTCCTTTATTTGCCCTGAAATCCTCTTAGCAGATTTGGCAGAAAGAAGGAATTGACACAGAAACTGTAAAAATTTCAAGATTCACCTGTGAAAATCCTCTAGCATCATCAGCAGAAGACATTATATATGTGTATATATATACACATATGTAATACATATATATATATATATGTATTTTAAAACTCAACAATAGCCACAGTAATTGTTTAGAATGTAGACCAACAAAATATTTTTTAGGAGGATGAGTATTTTATCATTGACATTGTTTAGACTTAACGGGTTCATGGTGATGATAAAAGCCAACTAACTTATAGTCAATTTTATTGTTTTAACATTTTCTACAGAGAATACACCCCTTATTCTTGTACCTGGGGTGGACCATTTCTATCCTGGGCATAGCACTACAGAACAGAGTGAGTGCCTTCATCCCTGTGTTAGAGTTAATAAAAACTACAAGGCTGAAGGAAAGCCAGGGGGAAGAAAGATAATGCATAGGGAATGGAATCAAGGAAACCAAAGTAAATTAAATACAGATACAGAGAATTGTGTTGCAGGTCCTTTGAAATTCAAATGAAATTGGCTTGAACTTCAACCCATGTGTGCTGGGAGCCTGCATCCCAATCTTTCTGGAAGTTCTGAGAGGCAGAGGTAATGGTGGAGGGACTGATGTTTTTATCCTAGTCACTTGTGGCTCTGATATGCTTCCTAGGAATTAGTTTGATAGATTGACCATCTATTTTCCCCCAAAATATCATTTACATGAGGCATTTGTGTGTATGTGTATGGAGGATGGGGTGGAATGGAAATGGGGCAGAATTCGTAGACTATTTAGAGAGATGAGAGCTTTTAAATAGTTTATATCCAGAACCACCACATTGCACAGCTCCAGGGGACATTGTTCATGTTGTGTTTTTAAATTTATTTTTTAAAAAATTTCTGACCATGGCAAGGACATCACCTTGTATTTTATATGATAAGAACACCCCTTGGAGTTTGTGATGCAAGTTGTCCTCTTTATGGCTCCATGCTGCATAGTCTACTCTCTCTCAAAGTGTTCTTCCTTTTGCTTTTTATAGATCTATTGTTCTGCTTCTGCTGGCTGAAGGAAGGTGAGGAGGTGGGAACTTTAGGGGTCCTGTAACCATTTCTAACCCAGTTATTCTACCCCCATATCAGATCTCTTCTACCCTTACTGTTTCCATTATGGGTTTAGGCCAGTTGTTCTCAACTGAGTGCAATTCTGCCTCTGCAGTGTCTGGCAATGTCTGCAACTTGGCAATGCCTAGAGATAGTTTTGCTTGTCACAACTGGGGGATGCTACTGGCATCTAGTGGGTGGAGGCCAAGGATGTTGCCAAATATCCTACAGTGCACAGGACAATCCCCCACAACAAAGAATGATCTGGCCCAAAATGTCAATAGTGCTAAGATTGAGAAACTGTTACAGAAGAGCCCTCAGCCTTCTCTCCCTTTCTCTCAATTACCCATAGCAATTTAGCCTTCTTACCATTATCAGGAATAATCCTTCACATGGTCAAAACTATATCAACAGGTTCTGCTAAATTAGTCCATTAATTCAGATATCACCAGGGTTCAGGTGGCAATATAAATTGAGTGAAGTGAGTCAGGAGTAAGATGAGAAGTGGGCACTGGCCCATCTGCTTCAGTAGTAGGGAACAATGGGGTAATGGTGGGGACTGTGGCAAATTGGAGACTGCATACCCTGTGTATAAAGGCAGCCCTAACTTATTGCCATGCAGGCACCTGTGTTGATAAATGTCAGATTCCTTGAGAGAGACTCAATATCTCGCCTCCCTCATCCCACAGTAATCCCCTTTTGTGTTATTTTTTAGTTGAGTTGTTACATACACACGTGCACCAAATTTAAGTGTGCAGCACAATGAATCATCAAGATAATCTGGAAGAACGAACTTGGATTTAGACTACCAGGTTCCAAGACTTACATAGCTACAAGTAATTAAGACAGTGTAATATTGTTGCAAATGATAGGTTAATGGTACAGAATAGAGAGCCCAAATACATAGCCGCACATATATGATCCCTTGACTTGTATATTTTTTAAAAAAAGCCATCATAATTCAGTGGTGGAAAAGATGGTCTTTTCAATAAATGATGGTGGAGCAATTGGATATCCACATGGAAAAAAATGAACCCAGAAAACCTACCATGCAGAAAAATTAATTCAATATGTATCATAGATCTGAATGTGAAAGGTAAAACAATAAAGCTTCTAGAAGAATGCATAGGATAATATCTTCATGTGTCTCAAGTTTTTTAAACAGGGCATACAAAGGACTAACTTTAGAAAAAAAATTGATACATTGAATTTCATTAAAGTTAAGAACTTTTTATCAGAATTCAGGACTAAGAGAGTTTTGGCAAGCTGAAGAACAGTAGAACTTATTTGCAATACATCTGTCAAGGATACTTGCCTGTTTTTTCTATGTTGGCAACTATGTCTAATTTAAAACACTGAGGGGAAAGAAACCACTGTGCAGGCTGACAATACACAGGCCAAACAAAACAGGTCTGCAAGCCAGGTTGGGCCCACGCATTGCCTGTTTGCGACCTCACCTTCAGCAGCACAGAAGAATGAAAGAGGCTTTAACATTTCCACATTTTCTCATTCTTTACCTGACCAGCCTCAGTGAGGGGAAACAACAATGTAGACCTCTGTTTCCAAATAATAAGAATTTTCCCTTAGATGGCAGAACGGCTGGTTATAGTGAGTTTAGGTCTTAAATAAAACTTTCTTCCTCTCTGATAGATGCAATAATTAAAGAATATTTCAAAATATGATTCCATCAAATTTTTTTCATTGGCTCCCACTGTGTGTTCAGCTTGTCTTGGCTCTGTGAAGACCACAACTGATCCCCTTTTCACTTTGTTTGCTCTCTGACTCTAGAATTTCTCAGCCTCCCCAGATGATACTTTAGAGACCTGGGAAGTCAGCTTCAAGCTTCAATGAGGCAGAAGTCATGCAGAAACAGACTCAGTTTGAACTTTTTATGTTTCAAGCTCATTAATATCCAACTTCCTTACTTTCTACCTCCTTCCCAAACTCTGGTTCTAGTCTCTTTCCTTCTTCCAAGCACCACTCTTACTTAAGTTGGAGGCAATGGGGTGAGGTTGGAGAAAATTTCCTCTTGTTACCTCTTGTAACCCCACTGTTAGGATGAATAAGAGTAGGTGGCCTGAAGGATGGCACCCTGGAAGCATAACATAGTTGATAAAAGCATGGGGTTTGGAGTTAGACTGCCTGGATTCAAATCCTGTCTCTATTCCTTAATAACTTTGTAATCTTGGGCAAGTTATTTGCTTCTCTGTGCCTCACTCCATCATCTATACGTTACTGATAATAGTGCCCCCCAGCCCCCCAATGCACATCACTTAAAACAGTGCCTAGTAAGTGCTAGACATGTGTTTGTTAAATTAAAAATTGACTGTTGCCTGGTTACCTGTGAGGCCGTGGCATTGTGCTGAACATTGGGAAATAGAAGATGTGACCCCTGTCCCACCACCAGCCCACTCTTGATTTAAAGATGGGCAAACAAGTTGGCCAAATTGACCCTCCTCCTTTCCTTGAACTAGCCAAAATGTGACCACTGGATGATTTGATGACATCCTTCTTTTTGTGAAATCCAGTGATGTCTAAAATCCAAAGCCACTCAGAAGATGATTAAGATCATTCTGTGGAATTCTCTTTCCTAAAAACTGAAACTAGAATTATTATGCAGATGAGGAAACCTTTAACCTTGAGAAGTGAAGTGACTTACCCAGGATCCTTGTTATGGTGGCAGAGAGCTTACCAGAATTGTGTCCCACAATAATGTGGAAAGCAGAACTTGTGAATGATGAACTTATAAATTTCACTGAGGAGATTTCCAAGCAAAATGTTGAAGGTACACATTGGTTTGTTCTTTTTCTTTTTAGCTAAATGTGAGAGGAAAGAGAGAAGTTGAGGGAAGAACCATTAAACAAAAGGGAACCAGTACTTGATGATTTGGGAAATCCTTAGTCTATTGGGATTGCCAAGGTCAAAGTATTCAGTCACACAGAGGCTCTCTAAAGAGGTTAAATGTGTGACTCACAGATTCTCACAATCAAACCAGGGGGTATTTAGAAAGCTTAAGAGCATTATCCCTCAGCCATTTTAGCAGAAGTCAAAAACAGATGAAGTTATTTCAAAAATTTTATGGACCTGGCTTTCATTCCGTGACATCCATGGGAGATTCCCAAAGTTCTTAAGAATTGTATACTAATAGAAACACTGTTGGCTTGCACCAAAAGGAACAGAGAATATCTTAAATGGAAGAAGGCTGTTATATCCCCCAAACTCTGCTGGCAGGCAGCAAGCTGATATAAACACTTAGGTACAAACAAATACCAACTTTCATAAAAAAGGGAGGATGACTCAAAGGGTGGGACCAAGAGTCCAGAGGGTGAAGCTGAGAGCCCAGAAGGTAAAGTTGAGAGCCAACAGAGGATTATTTCTAGTCCTTGAAACCTAATGGAGTTTGGCTGGACTTAAAAATTGCTTTGGGTCAATGATTCCTTTTTACCTTCCATTTCCTCTTTTTTAAAAACATAATGTCTTTAACTGTTACCCGATGCCTGTCCCACCATTGTATGTTGAGAGCAGATAACTTGTTTCTTTAGTTTCATACATCCACAGATGGAGAGGAATTGTGCCCCAGAAGTTGTAGGGATTATATCCTGAGCCATATCTGTACTTAGTTTAGATGATGTAAATGACAAGATGTGGAACTTTTGAACTAGTGAGATTTAGATGAGATTTTTGGACTTTGATTTGATGCTGTAATGGGATGAGACTTTTGGGGACCTTGGGATGGGGTGAATATATTTTGCATATGGAATAGATGGGAATTATAGGGGCCACCAGAGGGCAGACTGTGATAAGCAGAATTTTGGCTGTCATGATCTCCACCCTCTGATGCTACTCCTGTGGTTATAGTATGTTACATGGCAAAGGGGATTTCACACATGCAATTAAGGTTACTAATCAGTTGACCTTAAAATAGGGAGATTATCTTGGATTATCCGGCAGACCCAATGTAATCACAGTAACTCTTAAATGCAGAAGAGGAAGTCAGAGAAATTTGAAGCATGAAAAAGACTTGCAGATGGAGTGGGCAATGTAATGAGGAATGCAAGGCAACCATAAGGAACTGAGAAAGGTTTATAGCTAGCAACAAGTGAGGAGACAGGGACCTTAACCCTATAGTCACAAGGAGCTGAATTCTGCCAACAACCTGAATGTGCGTGGAAGCAGATTCATCCCCAGAGCCTCCAGAAAGTATCATAACCCTGCTGATCTCCTGCCTTTTTTTTTTTTGAGAAACTCTAAGCAGAGGATTCAGTTGAGCCATGCTGTACTCATGTTTTTGACCTAAGAGACTGTAAGATAATCAGTGTTATTTTAAGCCACTAAGTTTATGGCAATTTGCTACAGCATCAATAGGAAACTAATACAAAGTCTGTATTCAGTTTCCAACATTATGGTGTCCACCCAGGTATTCCTTGGAGTTGGAGTAGGATGGGATTGGGGAAAGACCAAAAGATAAAAGGCCCTTTCTGATCTCTCCAAGCATTCATGGTTTTTATGAAAGACTGTCTTTTGGAAAATGGAAAAGATCCTAGAGGTATAGTGGCTTAGTGGCTGCTTCTGATATTTTAACTTGTCCGTTTCCCATCTTCCTCTCCCCAGTTCTGTGATAGCCTTGAAAACTAATAGCCTGCAGAGTAAAGAAGTAAAGACTGGCTTAGGTGTGCTTGATCTATGCAACTGCAGTGAAAACCAGCAACCTGGTAGCCACTGGGTGAGTCAGAACAGAGTTGGAGCTCTTTCAAAGCTCCATTCTTAGAGAACTGTCATAATTTGACCTATTTTATAGTTCCCCGGGAAATCTCACTCACAATGCTTGTCTTTATTTGACCTGACTCAGAGCTCATCCAGTGTGAACTGCCTTCTCCTCAAGGGCATTTGTCAAAAACAATTGGCAACAATTGTTTAATATCATGGCTGCCTGAGGCAGTGGTAAAAGTTGAGACAAATAACAAGCTAACTAAAAAACATAAATGGAAAAACTAGGGAATGAGATGTTCATAGATGGCCTTGAAAAGCTGTCACATATTCCTGGAAATTTAGAAGGCTACACACATGTTCACATGTACAGGTTTGAGTGCATACTCAGGGCTGCGTACATGCTCAAGAAATAACTGAGAAGGTCACCTCTGACTGACCTTAGGCTTCTGCATAAGCAGAAAGGGAAGGCTAAGACAGAGTTCTAAACTAGTTCTGTAAATTAACCAATGGCTTATAACAATTAAAGAAAAATGGCTGCATCTAGACAAGAACTGTAAGAACAGTCATACTGGCTGAGTGTTAAAGGTGTGTCCTAACATGCACAGAGAACCCCTCAGCAAAGACTCAGATTTATTGGTTCAAGGCATTTAAGGAAATGACGGTACAATTATTAACTACTAAGCTGAGTAGAGACAAAGAATACAGACTTTACAGAATTAGTTCAGGAATGTCACTGAACAAAGAGCAACAACACCAAACAGCAACAACAACAAACCATGGGGAGGAGGAAGAATCTGATTTTCAGAGTTGCCACATCACATTATACAAAATGTCCAGTTTGTAATGACAAATTATAGGATATAAAAAGAAACAAGAAAATATGCCCCAAATATGGGAGTAAAAACAATCAATAGAAATTGTTCTTGAGGAGGCCCAGATCTTGGGCTTATTAGACAAATACATAATTTAAATTAGCTATTTTAAATATATTCAACAGTGAAGGGAAACCATATCTTAAAAACTAAATGAGAATGTTGTCTCACCAAATAGAGAATACCAATAAAGAGATAGAAATTATAAAAGCAGACAAATAAAAATTCAGGGTTGAAAAGTACCAGAGGGGAAAAACAGCAAATTTCTTTAGGCTGAAGAAAGAATCAGTGAACTTGAAGATAGGTGAATTGAGATTGTTCATTCTTAGGAAAGAAATTAAAAAATGAAGAAAAATGAACAGGGCCTCAGAGGCCTATGGGACACTGTCAAGCATACCATTAGTTGTATAGTGGGAGTCCCAGAAAGAGAGAAAACAGATAAAGGGGCAGAAATAATGGGTGAAACCTTCCCAAATTTGATGACAAACATGAATCTACAAATCCAAGAAGCTCAATGAATTCCAAGTTGGAAAAACTCAGAGCATCACACTAAGACACCTCATAATCAAACTGTTGAAAATCAAAGGTAAAGAAAGAATCTTGAAAGTAGCAAAAGCTCATCACGTACAAGGGATGCTCAATAAGATTAAGAGGTGATTTTTCACCAGAAACCACTGAAGCTAGAAAATAGTGGGATGACATATTCAAAGTGCTGAAAGAACAAGTATCAACCAAGAATTTGATATTCAGCAAAACTGTTCTTTAGACATGAAGTTTCATTCTCAAATAAACAAAAATGGAAAGAATTTGTCACAAGCAGACCTCTTCTACAAGACATATTAAATACTGAAATGAAAGAACACTAGATAGTAAGTTGCCACATCAAGAAATAAAGAACACCAGTAAAGGTAACTACATAGGTAAAGATAAAAAACAGTATAAATATACTTTGTTTGTAACTCTTTCTTTTCTCCTCTCTGATTTAAAAGACAACTACATAAATCAATAATTATAAATCTGTTGATGAACATATAATATATAAAGATGTAATTTGTAGAAAAATAACAGCACAAAAGAGGCAGGAAGGAATGGAACTATGTAGGAGAAAAGTTTTTGTATATTATTGAAAATAAGTTGTGAAACTAGATTTTTATACGTTAGGATACAAATTTTATATGTTAAAATGTAAGTTACAATACCCAGGGCAATGACTAAGACAATGACTCAAAAATATAGCAAAATGGTAGATGTAGATCTCACATTATTAATAATTACATTAAGTATAAATGGGTTAAACACTCCAATCAAAAGGCAGAGATTGACAGAATAGATTACAAAAAAAGCATGATCCTATAATACATGGTCTACAAGAGATATACTTTAGATTCAAAGACACAAATAAGTTGAAAGCAAAAGGACAGAAAAAGATATATCATGAAACAGTAATCAAAAAGAGCTAGAGTGGCTCTACTAATATCAGACAAAATAAACTTTAAGACAGAAATTGTTACTGGTGACAAAGAAGGACATTTTATGATGATAAAAGAGTCAATTCATCAGGAAGATATAACAATCATAAACATATGTTTGCCTAACAGCAGAGTCCTAAAATACATGAAGCAAAAGCTGTCAAAATTGAAGCAAGAAATAGACAATACTTGTGAAATGCAGCTAAAGCAGGGCTTACAGAGAAATTTATAGCTGTACATACCTACATTAAAAAGGAGAAAGATCCCCAGTCAATAACCTAATTTTCCACTGTTAGAAAATTAGAAAAACAACAGAAAACTAAACCCAAAGAAAGCAGAAGAAAGGAAAGAACAAAGATTAGAATGGAAATTAATGAAATAGAAAATATAAAAACAATAGAGAAATAGAAAATATAAAAACAATAGAGAAACCAAAATCTGGGTATTTGAAAAGATGAACAAAATTAACCAACCTTTATTGAGTCAGTTCTGTGGTGTTTTTGAAACAGTTATCTTTTATGTCCTTAGCTCCCCTTCTCCCATTTTCTGCAGGGGTTATTTCTAACCGTCTTCATTTTCCTAGACATTCCACCACCACCACCACCACCACACACACACACATACACACACACTCACACACCACTTGAACTGAATTTACAGGAAATACACTTGTCATTATTTTCATAGAGAAACCATCAGATGGGAAATTCTTCAGCTTCTGACCACCAAACTTACTAAGCAGCCCTGATTCACTCCATGGATCTATTGAATCAGTCAGACTGTGAGAGAAGCCTTTGGCAATGACTTTTGAAAACAAACTCTGCATATTTAAGTGGATGATGAACCAGTTTGGATAAACTAAGGGAACCTGGACCTTTGCCTACTGCCACCAAAAGAACCAGGGTGGCTTCTGGCTGCTTTGCTTGGGATGGGCTCAGCAATGAAGTGCCTATTTGTTTGCTGGTTAGAAATTGTTCATAGTGTTTGCCTTCCTGGGAATCTTGTTCTCCCCTTGGGCATTTAAAGTGGGTTCAATATTTTCATGTGGCTTTCCCCAGAATTCTGTTTTAAGGGCTGCTACTCCATTTTTATTCCATTTGCAGGGAATCAGATTGTAAACCAATCTGCACCCTATTTAGTTGTCTGAGGGAGGAGCAGAGTGTGCTTTTGAACAGACTCTGCTTTTGAAAATTACTTGGAACGTGCTTTTTGCAATGCCCTGGCCTAATGTCGAAGCATCATGCCAGGGAGGTTGTTTTTAATTACTCATTTACTTCTAAGCTTGGGAAGCAGGAGTGGTATGAAGGGAGGAGAGGTTGGGTGGTGGGGAGGAAAAAGAACAGCCTGTGTACTTGTTTGCTCATGGTGGTGAGAATGTTATGCCCTGTCCTTACTCTGCAAGAGAAATTATTCATAGCTTTATACAAGTAACCTGACCCCTCCTTGCAAAAGGCACTGATATATATGTGAACAAAAGAGATGTTCTTGCATTTGCTGAAATAAAGAAAAAAGAGAGAAAGAAAAAAGCAAGCAAGCTGTGGCTTCTTCTAATGCTCTATTCCTAAAATTCCTTTATGCCTTCATGATTATTATACATAATTTTTATGTTTATATTGGGTTCCAGCACAAGAGGGAGGCTAAAGAATTCCAAAGCTCTCTTTTGATGCTCTGATTCTCTCGCCGCTGACCTGTGTGATAATAACAATAGCGGGGTTGGAAGTTGCTGTGGGAAGAGAGGTGGAAGAGGTGTTGCTTTCTTTGTCACCCACAGAGTCCCTGAATGTATTTCTCCTCTGGTACCAGAGGGTTTGTGTTGTCAGTTAAGCCCAGAAAAAAAGAATTATAGTGGCTAAGACACAGAGTGATTGGGCTTATCTGGGACTCCAGTGACCGTGGGCTACTCCCCAAGAAGTGCAGTTGTTTCATTGCTACTAATACACAGCCTGCTGTAATGGGGGAAAATAATAAATGAGCCCAGAACATTATGTTGGGTTTTAGCTCATTGACTTAAAAGGCTGAGGTATAATTTCCCTGAGATTTTTACAGTCATGAACATCTGCTCACAGGAGCCTGCAACATCTGCAGCACTTGTAGTCATTCTTTGCAAAGGACCATAAAGTTTATAGAAAAACGAATCCACCCAGACACAGAGGAGACCTGGCAGAACCACCTTCCTGGCTGAGAAGTTTATTTTATATTCCAGCCTGAGCTACAGAACATTGTGTGCCTACACTTGAGGATGTGTAGGGAAAACAGAGCTGGGATTTCTTCTCTGCCCTTCTCTACACACATGTGTATGTCCCAGTCACACAGAGTCCCTGCTGTGTGCTGGGTGCTTTCTCATTTATGTTATCTTCTTTAACTCTCATAGCAGCCATGTTGGTGGCCATTAGCTCTTTCCACAGTGGTGCATACATATGTACACAGACAATTTTAGGTGTACATACTGATTTGGGAATTTTTAAGCCCCAAACATAAGTTTCTGTAGTCTGGATTCACAATTATGTGGTGAGGAAAAGGTAAATAGAGGTAGTGTCATATAGAAAGAGGACTGGATTAAGATTGGGACACCTCCATTCTGATCTCAGTTCTGGGGCCTTTTTATGTTGATTTCTTTGGGGCTTCTATTTCTCATGTATACAGTGTGGGAGTTGGATTTAATTTTCTCTATCTCTTATAGTTCTCATGCTAAATAAACCAGGAATCAATACCCAGTATGACTTCAACCATATAAAATAAATATGTAGGAAGAAGGCAAGAAGGAACTATGCCACAATGTTTTCAGAGATTGCCTTTGGGTGGTAGGATTATGAGGGAGCACTAACTATGTTCTTTGTTCTTTCTGGCTTCTTCCAAATCTTCTATAAAGCATGCATATTATATCTATGATCTGAAGAACATAGTAACAATTTTGAACCATTTGGTGAAGATAGCACTGCCTTTTTATTGTATTATCTCCTTCTTCAGATAGACTTCTGTTACAGCCGCCAGACCAGTGTAACACCTCTCCTGAACCTTCCCTACTTAACTGTTGTCCACTCAGTTCCCTCCCATGGTACTGCCTTAGACATGCTTACTTGTTGCTTTGGGTGTTTTAGTCTTTATGGTATGTATGTGTGGTTTATATATACAACTAGATTAAAAGATTCTCAAGACTGGGGGGAGCGGGTCTTCTGCTTGTTTTTATTTGTTTGTTTGTTTACAGATGCTCTGGTATTACCCATTGTAGGCACTTACAGTTACATGTTGACAGAGCAAATGAGTGAAATAGTACATTTCAATGTCTTGGATCTAGGAGTTTCTTCCATTACGCAGCCAACAAAACTGACAGAGCTTTGCATTAGGGGCCAAGATAGGATTTTAAAAACTTCTATCCAATGTGGCTGCTGTCTTCCAGGAGCTTGTAGTTCAGCAGGGGAGATTATACACATTTATGAATGTCTGCAATTAAAAACTGTATGATGGGTGCCACTGGAGTGATGGAAACTTTGGAGCACAGGATCTCTGAGGAGGAAGAATTTACTTCCAACAAGATATCAGGGAAATTATACCTGACATTTTTGGCACCTCACAAAACCTCTGGTCTCCCTCTGGTTTCAAACACAGCTGCAGTGGATAGTTCCAGGCAAACTTGGAGTCATGCTGACAGCATCCCACCTCAAGTCGGCACATGTATCTTTCTGCCTCAGGGCTTTCTCTAATGCTGTGGGAGCTGGCTTGGTGCAAGAGCAGTTTAAAAGTGTGGGGAAGTTACTGTTCAGTGGGGTAACTCTCAACCAATAGAAGGTAGGGGCCAGGCATGGTGGCTCACCAGTAATACCAGCACTTTGGGAGGTGGAGGTAGGAGGATCGCTTGAGCCCAGGAGTTTGAGACCATCCTAGGCAACATGGTGAAACATCGTTTATACAAAAAATACAAAAATTAGCTGGGCATGGTAGTGCATGCCTGTAGTCCCAGCTACTTGGGAGGCTGAGGTGGGAGGATCTCTTGTCCTAGGAGGTGGAGGTTGCAGTGAGTCAACATTGCACCACTGAACTCCAGCCTCAGCAACAGAGCAAGACTCTGTCTGAGAGGCATCCCATAGCTTCTCAGGGATCTCTGTGGAATTTACCTCTCACTGCCTACAACAGTGATCTCAGTAGAGCACTCTTATATTGGCTTGTCCTCCATATCTGTTTTACTGTCTTCACTTCTTCACTCAATATCTGTGCTCAGGTTCTTTTCTCAGGCTCTGTTTCTGGAACAACTTAAACTAAGGCAGAAGCCATTGTGGATTCAGAGGCATTTGAACTGGGTCTTGTCCACAGGCAAAGACAAGGAGAAAGGGGAGGTTTCAGTTAGAGGCACGTTGTAGAGAAGGCATGGGAGAGCACAGTACATTGGTTGCAGTAGTAGTTTTGAACTTCCTCTTATCAAGATATGGAATCTGTTCTCTACCCCTTGAATCTGAGCTGGCTTTGACATGCTTTGTCCAATAAAATGCTGCAGAAGTGAGGCTGTGTGAGTTCTAAGCTTGGGCCTCAGGTAGCTCAGTACCATTCTGCTCTCATTGTCATAAAGCAGAAACTGCCATATTTGCAAGCCAGGACTAGCCTGCTGGAGGATGAGAGACCATGTGAAGCAATGACAAGCTGTCCCAGCTGAGGAAACTTCTAGACTTATAGCCCTTAGCCAGCTCAGTAGCTGACCACAGACATGGGTGAGCACAACTGGACCAGAAGAACCTCTCAGCTAAGCTCAGTGCAAATTGTGACTTGAAGAACCGTGTAGTTTTAAACTACTAAGTTTTGGAATGGTTTGCTATGCAAGGAAAGCTAACTGATATATCCAGGGGAAAACTGGATCATCCTGATGAGCTAGAAGATGGCATCCATGGTGAATTGGGGGTACATTAGGCTTTGAATGCCATCCTAAAGATTTCAGCATTAATTCAGTAGGTAAAGAAGCACTGTGGGGCCAGGCATGATGGCTCATGTCTGTAATCCCAGCACTCTGGGGGACCGAGGCAAGAGGATCACTTGAGCCCAGGAGTTTGAGACTAGCCTGGGCAACAGAGTGAGACCCCATCTCTACAAAAAATGTTAAAAAATTAGCCAGGTGTGGTGGTGCATGCCTGTAGTCCCAGCTACTTGGGAGGCTGAGGTGGGAGGATTGCTTGAGCCTGGGAAGTTGAGGCTCTAGTGAGCTGTGATCATGACACTGTACTCCAGCCTGGGTGATAGAGTGAGACTCTGTCTCAAAAAAAGAAACAAAAGAAGCACTATGGAAGAAAAGACTGGCTGACAATCAAAGATTTGGGTTCCCCATTCTGTAGTGTTGAGTTTTTTGCCAGGGAGGGTCTACCCAGCCAAGGACTGTCTTGTCCCAGTTCTCTTTACACATGACTAGTTCTCTCCAGTGGGATGCAAGTGGCAGGGGTGTGTGTAACCTTCAGGCTGAGATGACTAGGGCTTAGGTATAGGACCCTCCAAGCTCTCCCTCTGTCCCATCTGGCAGTTGGATGATACCCAGGCAATCTTACACCCACAGGATGGTAGAACCTCAAGATGGACACACCCCAAATTCCTGAGTCTCCCCTTGGAGGAGAACCATTCAACAGAGTGGACTTTGCATGAGCAAGAAATAAACTTTTATCATGTTAATTCATTGAGATTTGGTGGTTGCTACAGCATCTGGCATTGGTTGCCCTGATGAATGTTGGCACCATCACAGGAATTTGAGTTGGGTATTGTACACCTCAGAGCAGTGATTTGGAGATGTAGGCTTTAGCAGCCAAAGGCAGGGCAAAATGGCTCCTCCAGCGTTCTGGTACTAAGAAGACAATGCCCTGGATGTGGCTTTGGCTATGAAAGCAAAAAGGAAAGCACCAGAGTAGAGTGTCCTTTCAAGTTAGACATTTCCTTCCAGGGTAAGAAACTGGTTAAATTGTGGACAGTCCTACCATGCACAAGAAAATATTTACGCCTAAACTTGTTTCCATCTGTTTGGTTGTTAGTTATAAAACTTGCTCTAGCATTTCAAGATTGGAATCTTCAAAGGCCAGTTCTTCAAAAACAAACACATCCGAAGGTTCTTTTAAAGGATAATGGTAATAATGCTGGACCTGCCAGAGAGGCACTGTCCCTTCTCTGAGTCTGGGATACATTGTTCCTTTCTGCCATGCACTACTGAGATCCTAATCTAAACAAAATGGATACCACCATTTGGTTGCTTAGTTTTTCTTTGTGAGTGGACACAGGCCCTCTTGAGGAAATAGGATGATCTTTAGGAATTTTCTGGGGAAAGATTTAGATGGATTTCACTTCTGGTCACTTGGGGAAATTCAGTGCCTGTCCATGGGAGTGTTTTGGAGCCACATGCTTCTGAGAGACTCATCCCTTCGAATTGCTCCTTGAGACAACAAGCCATCCTTGGCACTTTGGAGCTGTGGCACTGCCACTAGTAACTTTGCTCCTTTGTGACATTGGTTGGCTTGGCCTAGCCTCTGCCCACCTCTCTCTGCCAGACTCCAAAGGCCAGGTCTGTCTTAGACAGGGAAAACTTTGTAGGACATCCTTGACTCCATCTGTCTGGCTGGCAGGGTGTTTGCCTATTGCCTGTGGCCACACCAACAGACGCCCTGCTTACAGGTCCCCTGGTGTTGGCCTCTCCCCTGCTCCAGCCTGTTTGTCAAGTCTCCTTGGCCTGGCCTGCCCCAGCCAAGCCCAGATTTTGACAATATCCCAAGGGCAGCTGTATCTTTTCAGCTGTGCTTCATGGCGGCCTTGGAGTGCTTCCCACCCAGCTCCCAGAGGCCTCTGGAATGTTGAGAGAGAGCTTTGACCTAGACCTGGTTCACCTCACACCATAACTAACCAGTTTATTATAGCATGCAATAAACCTCAAACCAGCTTGACTCAGATTCTTAAATGGCCAGTTCCAACCACCCCATGTCATCCTGGCAGAAGCATAACGCTAATTTTATTAAACCTCTTTCTAACATTGAAATGGGCAAAATGTGTCTTCAGCATCCCACAGCATCCACTTTAGGTCTTTCAAGAGATGTGAGATTCCTTCTAATATCTGAACATATATGCCATAATTATAATTTTTTTGAGACAAGGTCTTGCTCTGTCACCCAGCCTAGAGCGCAGTGGTGTGATCACAGCTCACTGCAGCCTTGGCCTCCTGGGTTCAAGCAATCCTCCTACCTCAGCCTCCCTAGTAGCTGGGACTACAGGTGCACACCACCACACCTGGCTAATTTTTATGTATTTTTTTTTTGTGGAGACAGCATTTTGCCATGTTGCCCAGGCTGGTCTCAAACTCCTGGGCTCAAGCAGTTCACCCACCTCAGCCTCCCAAAGTGCTGGAATTACAGTCGTGATCCACCGCACCTGGCCCATAATTATAATTCTTATGTTTTTCTTCTGCACTTGTTTTAAGAATTGAACCTAAGAATAATACTGGGACTGAAATATTGGCCACCCCTAGGATGGGAGGTTGGTTAATAATAATAATGATGGTGGTAACGCTAACCAATGTTCATTGAGTACCTATTACGTGTCAGGCTCACTTAAAGATAAATTATATACAGATCTTATTGAGTCCCCATGATACGCTTGCCCTGTGAGATAGATATTATCCCATTTTATAGATGAGGAAACAGATATACAAAGGCCAAATAATTTGCCCAATTTAAGAAAATACAATACTTGGGTAGCCAGGCTTAGAATCCTGGCCATGTCATACTAGAATTTGTGCTGTTAGCTCTGTTATCCTGTATCTTGATTTGTGGCAGACAGGCTGATATGGTTTGGGTCTGTGTCCCTGCCCAAATCTCATAGTGAATTTATAATTCCCAGTGTTGAGGGAGGGACCTGGTGGGAGGTGATTGGATCATGGGGGTGGATTTCCCTCTTTCTGTTTTTGTGATAGTGAGTTCTCATGAGATCTGGTTGTTTAAAAGTGTGTAGCACCTCCCCCTTCACTCTCTTTCTCCTGCTCCACACATATAATATGTGCCTACTTCCCCTTCACCTTCTGCCGTGATTGTAAGTTTCCTAAGGCCTCCTAGCCATGCTTCCTGTACAGCCTGTAGAACCATGAGCCAATTAAACTTCTTTTCTTTATAAATTACCCAGTCTCAGGTAGTTCTTTATAGCAATGTGAGAATGGACTACAGGCCCTAGGTGGATGGTTTTTCTGTCTTAATTAAATCTGGGAGCAATGATGGTAGAATTTTTTCTATACTGGAACAAACAATTGAGAGTTATTTATTTATTCTGTTTAATTACACTAGGCAGTGTCAGCTCTTCAAAGCAGAAAAATTCAAATAACTTCCTAGAATTTCAGAATATAAAATTAATACATAATTTTACCACCCAGAGATAACCACTGTTAACACTTGAATATTTTATTTAGTATTTATTTTCATTGTTTTCTAATATTAATAATAAAAGTAATTTTAGAAAGTACAGAGAATCAAAAAGAAGGAAATCAAAGTCATTCCAAATTTTACTATATTGCTATTTTTCAGTCTGTGTGTATGTATGTGTGTGTGTGTGTGTGTGTGTGTGTGTGCATCATAGTCCTTTATAATCTGAGCTTTGTAATTTAATAATATTTTATAAATGTCTTTCATCTAAAATAATACCTCTATTAGTTTTCTATTTCAATGTAACAAATTACCACAAATTCAGAGGCTAAAAACAACACATATTAGTTATCTTACAGTTTCCATGAATCAGGAGTTCAGGCACAGTTTAGCTTGATTCTCTGCTCAGAGTCTCACAAGGTTGCTAGCATGAGGTAGGTCAAGCTGTGTTCTCATCTGGAGGTTTGACTGGGGAAGAATTCTCATCTAAGCTCATTTGGGTTGTTGACGCAATTTATTTTCTTGAAGCTGTATGACTGAGGGCCTGGCTTCTTCCCGGCTGTTGAATGGAGGCTGCCCTTAGGTCCTAGAGGCCATCCACAGTTGCCTGCCAGGTGGCCCTCTCTGTAGGCAGTTCATAACATGGTGGTTTGTTTCCTTAAGGCCTGTAAGATAAGTATTATATCTCTATCTCTATCTATCATAATCTAACCACAAGAGTGACACCTCATCACCTTTAACATATTCTATTTGTTAGAAGCAAGTCTCAGGTCCTGCTCACACTCCACAAGTGGAGAGCATTACACAGGGTGTGAACATGAAGCTACTCTAGGATCCATTTGCCATACACCACTTAGAATTGAGCCACACTATTTCTGCTTTTGATACACTATTTAATGAATCCCTTATATTTGAACCTTAGTGTTCCAATATATTTTTGTCATTTTAAATAAAACTGCAGTGATCACCCTATTACCCTTGTGGTTCAATCTTTTCATAGGCCCTTAATTATTCCATTTTCACAAATTATAAAAGATGGATTTGTTGGGTTAAAAAGTTCACATATTTTAGAGGCAATTGATAGTGTTGCTAAATTGCTCCCTAGATCAATTTCCCCGGGTGGTGTAGGAGGGCGCAGGAGGCATTTTAGCAAACTAACCTAAGTTAACATTTGTAAAGTGCTTGAATAATCCTGGGCACACTGAAAGGTCATATGTACATATTAAGTCAAATGAATTAAAAAAAAAAAAGAATTGAGTTACTTCATCCTCACAACAACCCTGTAAAGTAGGTACTAATGCTTTTCCCATTTTATAGAAGATGAGGCCAGAAGGGTAGGCAAAAGGTGACTGACTTAAATACCAAAGGCCTGAACTGCATCCCAGCTTCTTCACTCATCAAGCATATGACTAAGCAAATTATTCTTCCTGTCTGAGTTTATTGTCTCCTTTGTCAAATAGGGTTAACAGCACTTACACTACCTCGCGTACATCAAGGGAGTTAATGCTTGGGCCCGTACTTGAAAGCTGTAGACCAGCGATTCTCACCTCTGGTTGCACAGTGGAATCACCTGGGGAGCTTTAAAAATGACAGATGCCAGGGTCCTGACCCCAGAAATTCTGATGTAATTGGTCAGGGTCGTGGCCTGGGTATCAGGATTTTTTAAGGCTCCCAGGTGATTCTAATGTGCAGCCAGGGTTGAGACCCACTGCTAGAGCCACCCACGTTTGCCAGGGATTATTTCTGCATACAGCTGAGGAAGCAACATTCAGTTCTTGTTCTCTGTTCTGAGCTGTCAGGAAATGGCCTGCTAGGGTCAGGCTGGAATCAAACCTCTGTCTTAAACTCCAGAGTCAACTCAGTCTGCTAAGTTAGTTTGGGAAGCCATCAATTACCTGCTGTTTTACCCTCCGGTGTGGGTCCCTGGGCAGCGGGGCATCAACCTCAGCTGTGCTGGCAGGGCTGCTTTTCAATGGAGCCTGCTGTCACTGCTGCTGCCGCCGCCGCTGCTGCTGCTGCTGCTATTTTTCTAGAAGCCAAAGCAGATCCTCACATCAGAGCTTCAGCTCCCTGCTGCCTGTCAGTCACAGCTGCATGACTGAGACTGAGGGACCAGATGCCTGGCTGCCCGCCACTGGAGCTGGGTAGCAGATTTGCTGAGGTGTCTTTGGGGCCAGGCCAGCCTTCCAGTTCACTGTGAAGGCTGGAGATGAATTTCTCTGGGCAGCCAAATGCAGTTCGAAATGAACGTGATCAATCAAGGGAATGAAAGCCTTGGTCAAGTGGCCCCAGCATGACAGAGAAGGCCAGCACCAGCCTCTGCCTTTCTCCTACGCTTGAGAAATTGGGAGAAGGTACTTGTGTGTGCCATTTTGCTGAGGTCAAACACTGCCCAGTGATTATGGGGGAAACGGTGGTGTAGAGAAAGACAAGGAAGAAAATGGAAAACTCTTATTTCAGGCAGGCCTACTAGGTGTCAGGCATTGTATGGGCACATTAAATGCATAACCTCATTGAATCTGAGTGATAGAACCACAAGAATTAGACACGGTTATCTCCATTTTACAGATAAAGAAGCTGAGCCGTAGAGAGGAAGCCTCCTTGTGAGGTCACATCACTAGCAAAGGACAAAAGCAGAATTCATGCTTTCACCTGCTGGCCTGCATAGCACTTGTTTTTTGCATACCACCCTGCTTCTCAAATTGGGAAGGGACATTTTTGATCCAGGTAGCTAGTTTTTTTGTGTGAGTTTCTTTGCCTCTCATTAGGGTTGTTGCCATCAGGGCCCATCCTTGGCTCAATAGTGCAATACTGAAGGTTGCTTTTGTCATGGTCCAACTTCTTCATTGAATTAATTTAGGCAATGTTAGCTGCTATAACAGACAAACCCCCAATTCTGAGGGGCCTAACACAATAGACATTTATTTCTTGCTCACATAAAGTCCAGCTGGCCGTGTGAGAATGAAGGTTTTGCTCCATGCAGTCATGCAGAGATCCAGGTCCCTTCTGTCTGAGGCTCTACCCTCCCCTAGAGCTTCAGTGTCATCCACTAGGTCTTCTGCCTCAGAAAGGCAGGTGGGGGAAGGAAGCATGGAGGATCCTGTAGGAGGTTCCACAGCCCAGGTGAGGACACAGTACACCTTACTTCTGTCCACATTCCATTAGCCAGAACTCAGTCACATGTCAATGCCTAAGCCAAGGCAGGATGGGGAATACATCTAGCTGTGTGCCACCCAATAACCAGCACCCACGTCTTGGTTGGGGGGGCTGCCCTAGGCTGCCAGAATCTGCTTGGTCCTTGGGTACAGACAGCTGGGATAGCCCATTGACAAAATGGCTGATGGGTACAGGGTGTAAACTCCCCCTTGTCCCCTGATGGAGACACTATCTCCAGAGCACTGCTGTGGGATTAAGTCAAAGGTTTATCTCCATGGGGTCTTCCCTGATGCACCCTTGCTTGGCCTCCTTCCCTTCTCAGTGCTACTTCTACAATCCTCAACTGGCTTTTAATACAGATTTACCCACACCAGAGGGTAAAGCAGCAGGTAATTGATGGCTTCCGAAGCTAACTAAGCAGACTGAGTTGACTCTGGAGTGTTACACAGAGATTTGATTCCAGCCTGACCCTAGTGGGCCATTTCCTGACAGCTCAGAGCAGAGAACAAGGACTGAATGTTGCTTCCTCAGCAGTATGCAGAAGAGAAGGAAATAGATTTCAGTGAACGTAGAGTAGTTCTGTTTACAACCACGTATGCCCCTGAAGTCTCTTCATTCTTGAGGCCTTACCTTCTTGATCTTACCCACACCCTCTCCAGAAACCCATCCTACACTTCATTTCAGTGCTCCTCTAATTGATAATTACCTTCTACCAAATTTCTGCCCTTCGTGCATAGGTCAGGGCAGGAACACCAAGGGTACCCAGTCATGGCTCTGCTGAAGGTCTCTATGGGGCCACCTCACACCCAAGTGGCACTTTGGCTAAAGACCATGGGCCTCTCACAAGACCTCTGGCCCACCTTCTGCTGGCCCTTCAGAGGCAGGAGTCAATAATGGGGAGGCTGCCGGCCCTTGGCTTATCTCTTCGTTTGACTAATGATGATGAATGTCAGTGTGTGACTCCGAAATCCCTGACTGCTTTTCCTGCAGTGTCTCCTCCTCGGTGTGTTTTCTTTCTTCCTTAGCTCTGCTGGCTTCAGACCCCAGGGAAATGATGAGTTTCACAGTGATGGACGGTAGGGATTTTTCACAGCTGCTAATTCTGAAATCCCAAGTCAGCAGGATCTGTGCTACCAAGACACATGATTTAGAGGCACTCCATTAAGACTGAAAGTGTTCCCTTAGAATTTCCATAACCCTCTGTGATCAAGGACGCTTATACCTTTAAATTTCCTTCAGAACAAATATGGCAAGGAAGGGCCCAGTTGATGTCAAATGAGCATTCTTTTGCTAGCTCCCTTTCCCAGGTGAAAGTGCTCCCAAATCCTTTCTCATTGGAACGCGAGGAGGAGTGGTCAGGACTCAAACCTGTGTGCCTTTTCCATGACACTTTTCAGAAACACGAGGGCCAGCCCAAGCAAAGTTTATCTGTGATGCTACTTTCAGTAGCTTCCAGGAGACCTATTTGCATTTTAGTGGGGACGACCTTGGTCTAGAAAACATAGAGGGGCTCATTACCTTGCCAAGAATAGAGAGAAACAGGGCAGTTGCTGAGGGGAGGCAGGCCTTGTGGCTTATGGCTGAACTGGGAGGCAAGCTGGCCCAGATGCCTGTCATCAGATGGTGTATGCAAAGGTCTGAGGCTCTTAAGCAAACTTCTCTTTTCTGCTCCCCTCCAATCAATCACTTGAACAAAAAATCCCTATCTCAGGCTCTGCTGCTGGGAAACATAACCTGAGACCTACTTAGGGTTAGATTAATGCCAGCTGTTTCAGTTTTCGCTTGCTGCCTTAACCTGCTACACTAGGCCTGCGAATTTGGGAAATAAGTAGAGAGAAACCTAAAGTCAAGGGGTGTCCTACCTACAGCTTATATGACTGAAAAAATATCAGGAGTTGGGGGAGAAGTTGCCCTGGATCTCGGCCAAGAGTGTGTCTGCTGTCAGTGTCTGGTCTCAACTCTACAGGCCTAATCCTCCAGAATGAAGGAGGAACAGACATTTGGAACTCCATTAAGGGGTTACCTGCCAAGTGGGGGTTGCGAGGGCACAGGTGTAGGAGGATGGAATGTGGGTATGGGGATTGTTCTTTGGAGATGAAACTGTTAACTAAAAGTAGTAAACCCCCAAAGTAGATGTAGCCACAGAGGAAGGCCATGGTTTATGTTTTTGGTAAATAGAGGAGACATCTAAGTGGAATAAATAAGCAAGGCCAAAAACCCAAGAACATTTTTTTAATGTAATATTCTGAAATGCACTCATGGCCTCACTTTGCACAGTAACACACTTACCTCCGGGGCTTTGTCTGACCATGTAACCTTGTTCATTTATGTGGTAGGGAGCTTTTCTGCCCAGCTAATCTTTCATTCTTCCAGTCTCCTGGTTTGAACTGCTCCATTCTGTCAAACCAAAACTGTAAAAAGAAGAAAAGCATAGAATAAAAAGCTGAGCTGAGATGCTTTTCCTTTCTTTGCTGACTGTGAATTATTGTGGTTGAATGATAACTCCCTCTGGGATAGATGGTAAATGATGAATGGGAGCTGCAGTGCTAGACTGACATCTTCTGGAAGGGAGTTGGTTGCCAAGGCCATTAGGAAGTCCCTGTGGGTCCCTAGACCCCTTGTCTTTAACTTTGCTACGCTATGGGCATAAAGACATCTCACCACAGACAGGGGCTCTTGAAGTCTTTGGATAGGCCAGGCGCGGTGGCTCACGCCTGTAATCCCAGCACTTTCGGAGGCCAAGGCGGGTGGATCATGATGTCAGGAGATCAAGATCATCCTGGCCAACATGGTGAAACCCTGTCTCTACTAAAAATACAAAAATTAGCCAGGTGTGGTGGCGTCGGAGGCAGGAGAATTGCTTGAACCTGGGAGGTGGAGGTTGCATTGAGCTGAGATCATGCCAGCCTGGCAACAGAGCGAGACTCGGTCTCAAAAAAAAAAAAAAAAGTATTTGGATAATCCTGGTAGGTTAATTTCCATAAAGTTTAGTGCACAGTTGGCTCCCCTGTTCAGTCTTTTCTTGACTTGGTTTGCATACACCAAATCCAACCCTAAGAGATGACTCCACTCACATACTAATGAAACAACATCACATTATGGAGTGAAAAAACAGACCAGCTTTTTAATCTTAGTTTCATCACTTACTAGCTCTGTGATCTTTGTCTGGCAGGACTGTATTTTCCAAAGGTGGCTGCAGTAGTAGCTTCTATCTTACATGTTCTTCTAGAACTTTGCCTTCCTCCATCAAAAGGTGGAATCTAATGCCCCTCCCTTTGGAGCTGGCTGGGTGGATTTGTGACTATTTCCACAAATAGAATGTGGTGGGAAGTGATGTTGCATGACTTCAGAGGTTAGCTTCTAAAAGGATCATACAACTTCTACTAGATTCTTTTGAGACACTCACTCTTAGAACTCAGTCACCATGCTATGAGAAAGCCTAAGCAGCCTGTGGAGTGGCCTAAGTGGAGAGAAACCAAGGACACTGACCCACGATCCTGACTCAGCTCCTAACTGACAGCTGACACCAGCTTACCAACCATATAAGTGAACCATCTTGAAAGTAGATCTTCCACAGCCCAGTTGAGCTGCCCCAAATGATACCACTGAAAACAGAGATGATCCATCCCTGCTGAGTCCTTCCTGAATTGGATATTTGAGGGCATACATAAATTATTATTATTTTTAACAATAAACTTTAATAATGAGTTTTGGGGTGGTTTGTTGCACAGTAATAATAGGTAACTGCAACATTTGGGACCCAAGAGTCCCACATTTCAGAATACATTTTATAGATATAACATCATCAGTAGATCTATAAGGATGTCTTTGTGCTATGGCTGTAAGGGGAAAAAAACCCTTGAAGCAACCAGAACACCAGGCCATTAGAAATGATTGCACAAATTGTATATCCTGTTTGTACCTTAGACTGTGCAGTTATTGCAAAGAATCAGTTAGCTCTATATTAATTGCCTTAGAGAGATGGCTATGATGTATTGTTAAGGTAGAAAAACACGTTGCAGAGTAATTTATAACATGATCCAACTTTTGTAAAAATGAACAGCAATTAACTCCCTCTGTACATGTGTATATATGTTTGTAGGAGTATGGAGAATTTCATAGAAAGACACATACCCTGATGATAACATTAGATACATCAGCAATATATGGGAGTGGGGCAGGCAGGAATCATGGTCGCAGTGGTGATACTGAGGAGGGTCTTAGGGTAAAAATATTAAATTTATACATCTTTGGATTGTTTCACTTGGTACAATGACCATGTCTTGTTTTTGAAATAAAGAAAGTGCAGGAAAGGAAAAGAAACTTTCCTACTAAGTTTAAGAAAGAAAGGAATAAAGGGCATGGAACTTGGAAACTGACAGATCTAGATTTGAATCCCAGATCTGCTATATACTAAGCGATCTTGAGCAAGCTACCTGACCTCCCTGGGCTTCTGTTTCCTCACCTGGAAAAAGGAAAAATAACAATGCCTACTTTGCAGTGTAATTGTGAGGATTAAAGGAGAACATCATTTTGTGTGATTACCCTCAAAATAAGCCTTAGTTCCGCATATCCAGTCTCGGTTGATGTTCCACCTGAAAAACATAGTCCAACAGACAAAAAAGAAAGAAATTAGCACTTCAGGCTTTGGTTCTCTCTCTCTCTCTCTCACACACACACACACACGCACACACACATGCACACACAGAAATGCCAAAAGAAAATTGTGGGGGCAAGTAAAATGTTACAACACTTCGTCAAAATCCTTTCGCCTACCACTTTTCCTGTCAGTAACCTCCACACAGATGATAGTGATGATGATGATGCTAATGATGATGATTCATTAATCCTTGACTGTGTGCCAGAAACTTTGTGTTTTACATGTATTATCACATCTCAATGTCAAAAATAGGTAAGCAGCAGAGTGCCAGGATTGTTACCCAGGCAGTCTGGCTGCAAAACCAGCCTTCTTAACCATGCTGTCTCTTGCTGGCACCCTCAAATTCACTTTCTCTACCTCTCAAATCCCCAATATTTCAATCAGAAATATTTTGAAATATATCTCTTTTCTCCCACTCAGTTCTTCCTTGCCTAAAAGTATACTGTCTTCATTCCAGGCTGGACATAGTACCTGGACTTCTCTTCATGATCATGGACCATGTAGGGCTGCCCTAGACTAGAAGCCCTGGAGACTTCTGGCCCTGCTCCTCCCTCACCCCCCTAGGGGGAAGCATAAGGAGTCTTTAACATGGTCCTTCTCTCACTGTGACCTCTAAGGGAAATTATCGTGGACAAATAGGTGAACAACATTTTCTGTCTCAGGCTATGGTAGGTTGCAAGGATGGTCACAAATTCTTCCCTTCCCTGTATCCACACTCTTGCAATGTTTGTGGAGCTGGTCTGGCCATGTGACTTGATTCAGTCAATGGGACAATAGCAATCATGACATAAGGAGACTCAAAAAGTGCCTGCATAATGGGGCTTGCTACTACAGGACCCTTCCACTATGTGACCAAGCCTGGGCTAGCCTGCTGGAGAATGCAAGACCACATGGAAGAGAACCAAGGAGCCTCAGCTGACTAGCAGCTGACTGGTGATGCACAGCAGGCCCAGCAATCTGCTGAGCCTGGCCTAGCTCAGGAACAGTGCACAGCTGAATCCAATTCAAATTGCCATCTATAGACTCATGTGCTCAATAGTGGTTGATCCATAGTTAGCTTTATGTAAAGCATTCAGGACATACAAATAGGTACTCAATAAACATGAGTTTTCTTTTTCCCCTTTCCCTTGCTCCATAATCACTCTTTCTCTTAAACTGATAAAGGTAAGGCCATTCAAGTAAAACTACACAGTTAGCCAATTCAAGTAGGGCCTGTGACTTTTTGTTCACATGGGTATTTTCTTGGCCAGCACAAGTCGTGCTTGAACTGACTGCCTCTTTCTGTCTGTAGCTGAGCATATTTTCCCAAAAATGGCCATAATATTTCCAGTTTCACATGCTCTTCCAGAATCTTGCTATTCCCCTATCAACAGGAGGAGTCTATGTTGTTTCCCCCTGAATATCGGGTGGGACTTTGCAACAGCCTCAAGGAATAGAATACAGTGTTATTTATGATTAGTAATAATAGACTTCAAAGGCTAGGTCATAAAAGGCAATACATCTTCTACCTAGTGTGCTCTATCTGTCTATCTATCTATCTATCTATCTATCTATCTATCTATCTATCTATCTATCATCTATCTATCTATCTTAGGACAGGCTCCATTGGAGTCCTGAGCTGCCCATGTAAGAAGTCTGGCTACCGTGTGGCTGACATGTTGGAGAAGCCACATGGAGAGACCTCATAGAAGTAGAGAGAGATGCCTGCGGAGCCCCAGTTTTTCAGCCCAGGCACTGGAAATTTGACCGAATAAGGTTGCAAGATGAACAGCCACAGCACCACTCTAACTGCAACCACCTCTTCTGGAGCAACAGGTAACTTTACCATGATAGTTTCAGACATAGTCTCCATGCCCTATGCAGTTGGCAGCTTTTTTCCTTATGTACATAATCCACAGTTGAGAACTCAAGGCTGCTGCTGGCCAAGGGGACAGTGAGCATGACAGCCAGTCATTAGTAAACAACAGAAGTACAGTCAGAACTCACAGAGTCAGAAAATTAGGAAGGGAGTGCTGAATTAGGGAAAATCAGAAATAAAATTATTTTTGTCCATTTTAAAATGGAATGTTATTTTGCGTCTTTCAAATAGTCACACTAACAAAGACATGCAGCCCAGTGACTGGCATTGCAAGGGCATTTGACGTGAAACAAGAATAGTTAACACTGAGCGAGCACCTACTACGTACCAGGAGCTGTCCTGAGTATTTTAATCATCACACACCACCATATGGGAGGTACTATTATTACCTCATTTCAAAAAATCTGCCAAGCATCAAACAAGTAGTAAATGGCACAGTTGAAATTTGAATCTGGCAGACTGGCTCCAGAGTCCATGATTTTAATCAGCAAACTATACAGTTTCTTGATAATTGTTAAACAAACCAATGTTTCCAAATTAACTTCTAAAAAAAATAACATTTTAAGCAAGTGGTTTATAAGCAAATGTGGATATCTTGGGAGACTATAATGGGAATTCTGGTGAAAAATGTTCAAAGGAGGAATGTTCCCTGAAGGAGGTTCTGCCTTCAGAGAACTTACTAGGGAAAATTTGAATCCTATTCACAAAATTGTAAAAACAGGAATTATGAACCAAATACTCTATTCCACACACAGCTGATGCTGGATTTATGTTTTATCCGCTTTAGTAAGTATGAGGAAAACTTCATATGCCTATTATTAATAATTAACAATAAAAACCTGTATGAAATATGAAGAAATGATACACTTATTCACTACATTGTACCCCAAAAATATATATAATTACTGTCAATTAAAAATAAAATTAAACCAAAAAAACTCCTCAATAAAAGTTGTAGAATAAGTATATGAAGAGTAAAGCAATACCAGTGACCTAAAGTTTATTAGACCCATGGATCAAGTTACAAAATTTTGCTTCAAGCCAGCATATGTGCTGTATGAGGCATTCCTTCTAAAATAATTACAGAATCTGATCCCTTCTCACGACCACCACTGATACTTCTCTAGTCTAAGCAGCATCTTCCCTCCCCTGGACCTTACAACAGCCTCCTAACCAGGCTTCCTGCTTCCACTCTTGTAATTCTACAATCCATCCTCCACCCTGCAGCCAGAGGGAACTCTAAAAGATGGAGATGAGATGATGTCATTCTTCTGTTTAAAGCCCTCCAGTGGTTTCTTACTGAACTTTGCTCACCTTTCTGACTTCCCCTCTGGCCACATTTTCCCTCTCTCACCAGTCCAGCCACACTGGCCTTTATGCTGTTTCTTGAAAACACACCTAACAGGGTTTGACTTGCAATTTCCTTTGCCCTAAGGCCTTCACGTAACTGGCTCCTTCCTTTCATTTGGATCTCTGCAAACAGGTCACCTCTTTAGAGAGGTCTTCCCCAAATATGTTACCCATAGTACTTCTCCATCACCTCATCCTCTTTGTTTCTTTTTTTTTTTTTATACTTTAAGTTTTAGGGTACATGTGCACAATGTGCAGGTTAGTTACATATGTATACATGTGACATGCTGGTGCGCTGCACCCACTAACTTGTCATCTAGCATTAGGTATATCTCCCAGTGCTATCACTCCCCCCTCCCCCCACCCCACAACAGTCCCCAGAGTGTGATGTTCCCCTTCCTGTGTCCAAGTGTTCTCATTGTTCAATTCCCACCTATGAGTGAGAATATGTGGTGTTTGGTTTTTTGTTCTTGCGATAGTTTACTGAGAATGATGATTTCCAGTTTCATCCATGTCCCTACAAAGGACATGAACTCATCATTTTTTATGGCTGCATAGTATTCCATGGTGTATATGTGCCACATTTTCTTAATCCAGTCTATCATTGTTGGACATTTGGGTTGGTTCCAAGTCTTTGCTATTGTGAATAGTGCCACAATAAACATACGTGTGCATGTGTCTTTATAGCAGCATGATTTATAGTCCTTTGGGTATATACCCAGTAATGGGATGGCTGGGTCAACTGGTATTTCTAGTTCTAGATCCCTGAGGAATCGCCACACTGACTTCCACAATGGTTGAACTAGTTTACAGTCCCACCAACAGTGTAAAAGTGTTCCTATTTCTCCACACCCTCTCCAGCACCTGTTGTTTCCTGACTTTTTAATGATTGCCATTCCAACTGGTGTGAGATGATATCTCATTGTGGTTTTGATTTGCATTTCTCTGATGGCCAGTGATGGTGAGCATTTTTTCATGTGTTTTTTGGCTGCATAAATGTCTTCTTTTGAGAAGTGTCTGTTCTCTGTTTGTTTCTTTTAATGTACGTGTTACAATCCATATTATCATGGCCATCTATTTGTTTTCTTCTTTACTTTCTGTCTTCCCCATATCAGTTAGTTTCCCCTTTGTCAGTTTTATTGTGTAACAGACTACCCCAAAACTTAATGGCCTAAATAATCACTTACTCAATTACTTATGATTGTGTGGGTTGCCAGTTTGGTCTAGGCTCAGCTGAGTGTTTCTTCTGCTTGGGCGAGGGTTGGCTGATTTGGGCTGGGGCTGCTCATGCACGTGCTGTCAGCAGAAGGATCGACTACAGCTGGTTGGTTTATAATGGTCTTCGTTGGGAAGGCTGGAGTACTGGGGCCTTTCTTCACATGTTCTTGCATCCTCTAGCAAGTCAGCCCAGGTTTGTTCACATGGCAGTTGTAGTGTTCCAAGAGCTTGAGAGTGGGAGATTTTGGGCTTCTTGAACTCTAAGCTAGGAATTGCAGTGTTACTTCCGTTGCATTGGATTGGTCAAACAAGTCACTAGACCAGCCCAGATTCAAGGTATACAGAAATGGGGTCTTCCTCTTGATGAGAGAATTTGCAAAGCATGGCAGCCAGTATTGCATTTTATCATGCCCCCATTGGATTGTAACTCCGCGAGAGCAGAACTTTGGCCCTGGTCCATGGACTGGTGTTTGGAAACTATGGCTCAAAAGCCCAGAACTGTGCTACATTCTGGTCAATCCCATATTCAGTCCTCACTTGGGCTTAAGTTATTCAAGATGTGGCAATTCCGCCTTTCACATTAACCCACTCTGGAATGCAACCACCAACTGAGAAACTGTCGCTGTAGAGAAAAATTACCCAAGTTGGAATGGAGAGAGGGGAGGGGGTAATATGAGAAACTTTAAATTGAAGAGTGAGGCTGAAAATCTGTCACGTTCTGTAAGATAAAAATCTTCTCAAAAGGGCACATCTGCCAAGACTGCATTTTCACAGGCAGTCTTGACTGGAAACAAGGTCAGCATGAAGCGAGTGTCCTCTCTTCCAGCCAGGCCTTGGGAGGGAGTGGAGGGATTTTGATGAGGACTAAATTGGATCCCCCAAAGGTGGGGCTCTGTGTCCTATCTAAAGAAAAAAAAAATCTTCTTAAATTGGCTAGAAATGCTAGCAAGGGCAACCTCATCCTTGCTGTGGAATTAGAATGAAGTTACATAGGATTTTCTCCCTCCTCACACCTGAACTGTTTCAAAGTATACTTCATATTTCAGAAGCAAGTCGTTAAATTAGTCAGCCCATCAATAAGTACTTAGAGCTGACCTACCATATTTGCAGTGCTGTGCTGAATATCTTGAGGACACCCCAAAGTGGGGGGATTCTGCTTCAGAGAACTTACTAGGGACACACAGTCCCTGAAGGTGCTAACAGTGGACACTGTCTGCTGGCAGCATTCCTTGCAGCTGGGGCAATGAGTCTTTCATTGAGGGAGGATTTGGGAGTACAGTTTCACGTCTATCACAACTATCCTTTATTGAGCAATTCAAATGTGTGGACATTCTGCTCAGAGCTTAATGTTATTATGCAATTGAGTCTTTATGACAACCCTCTCTTGAGGTGAGTGCCATTAGTATCACATTTTATGAATGAAAACTGAAGCCCGAAGTTATAGGACTAATTGGTGGTCAAGCCAAGATTTCAACTCACATTTGTCTCACTCCAGCTAGAACACTATGCTAGCCTTCCAGTATAAGATTACCAGTAGTAAACATAATCAGTAGCATTTATTGTATTCTTATCACCAGGCTTTACATGTATTATTTTATTTAATCCCCACCATAGCCTTAGGAAATAAAGTTATTGTGTCCGTTTCACATATGGAAACACAGAAGCACAGGGAGATTAAGTTCATGCCCAAGGTCACAAAGCAGGTCAAGGTGGCCCTGGATTTTCTCATAATTTTAGTAGCTGATGGTGACCCTCCTGTACCTTCTTGTTCTGGGTGCTGACCTGATTCAGTGGTAGGAGAGCTGCCATTGTTCCACCCACCCACAAGTACCTAAGACACATTAAAATGGGAACCATGTATAATGGACATTGGAGACTCAGAAGCAGGGAGGGTAGGAGGAGGGTGAGGGATAAAAAAAAAACTACATATTGGGTACAATGTACACTACTCAGTTGACAGGTGCACTAAAATCTCAGACTTTACCACTATACAATTCATCCATGTAACCAAAAACTAGTTATACCTCAAAAGCTATTGAAATAAAAAAAATTAAAACAATGGGAACCATGGCTTTTTCCGAAAAACCTTCCCACTGACCCCGATCCCATTCCTAGTGGGCCTATCATGGATTTTATTCCTCTTGCTGCCCTAAATCCCCTCCCTGCTGGAATCTTTACAAGTCTTTTCTTTTGCTCTTTCATTATGGGAGGACGGCTCTGCAGAAATCTCTTCCTTCCCTCTTTGTCTGTCATGTTTTCCCCTTCTAAGCAGGCTGCAGGGACCAGGGCACACAGCCAAGAAGAGGGAAGGAGACCTTCAAATCCAGGCTGCCGAATGGGCCCTCCTTAGAAGCTCCTGAGAAAAGAGATCTAGAGCGGCTGACACAGAGGAATGTGCCCGGAATGCAGCAGCCTCCTGTCAGCTTTATTTCGGGCAAATTAAAGCTGACTGCAGGAGAAGGGGCCAAAGAAACCCAGCCCTTCACACTCTTCTTGGACATAACACCCAGCTTCTATCTTGGAAGATTCCAGCTGGACAGGCTCCAGAAATTACTGCAACTAATGCTGTCATTCTACATAGGATACGACAGAAGCTCAGAGAGCTCAGTGGCTAGTCCAAGGTCACATGGTCCTTTAGTGACAAAGCCAGGCCTACAGAACCCATACCCAAGTCACTCTTCTTTCCAACCACCTTTCAGCAGGGCTTCCAGCCTTCAGACCTTTGGGGACCACCTTCACAATTTTGGCCACATCCATGAATCATCTGTGCCAATAATTGCTTAAGATTTTCTCAAAATTGACTAATGTTTTAAATAGAAATTATTGAAAAAAGGAAGCTTCACATCACCAGTTTGTCCTGGTTTTATGTTTTTTCTAATAAATATACAAAATATAAAATTATATCATTTTGTACCCCACCAGCAGTATGCCTTTCACTTTTTTCGGAAACCAGGTCTCAGAAGTAACCACAATGAGGTATAAGCGTCGCTGAGTTCAAGTTTCTTCTTGGTTACTTCCCAGCTGCAATGTCATGGGCAAGTCACTTCACCTTTCTGAGCCTGTTTTCTTAGCTGTGAAATGAGAGTGAATACTAATTCTCACCCCTGCACTTCTTATAGGGTTGTCATGAGAACCAAACATGGGAATATACTTGAAAGAGCTTTATTCATTTAGAGAAGCTAGACCAATAGAAATTTTCATGATTACTCCTCTTAGGAGCTTCACTATTTTCCCATTTACGGTAGAAATATTTCTTTGGTTGCCCACTTTCCAAGAGATGTGAAGGTCTCCTGGTGCTGGTCCCACTCTTTTTGAGGACAGAGTGTCTCTGAGCAAATCCCTTATTTTCACATGCTTATCTGTCCTGTGGGGTTTCTACTCCTCTTTAGTACTCAAGGACATCCCCAGCCAGATGATGAGTGAAGGTCTGGTTTTACATAGTTTGATGAACAGACTTTCCTAAACATGTCCAAAGTCTCTAAAGTTAGTGAGAAAAATATCCTAGGAAAGGCTCAGCTGTCATATCCAGCCCTGGCTAGCTCTGGACAGAGGAAAGGAAAATGCTGACCTATAGCTAAGAAATCTGGAAAACTGATCTGAATTTCCTGTTATAAAGTACTGAAAGGAGTGTCAGTTTGTAGGCCTTGTTCACTGAAACTAAAATTTAAGGGTAAATTTCACCAGAGATAACTCATTTTCTGATTTTTTTTTATTATTATCCAGTCTTTGTGTTTAAAGATCTTGAAGAAAGAGCTTGTTTGGGCTTTTAGATTTATAATGGATTGTCATCAGGGATATGTGTGTGTACCATTCATAGCACTTATGTGCCAAGCACTATTCTGGAATTTTACAAATATTAACTCATTTAATTGTCTCACCAACCTGTGAAGCAGGTACTATTAGTAGCCTCATTTTATAGATGAGGAAACTTAGGCACAGAGTAGTTAAGTGGCTAGCCCAAGGTCAAACAGCTAGTATTGGGCAGATCTGACATTAAAACCCAGACAATATAATTCCAGGATATCTTTTTAACTACTATACTATGTTATGAAATATAAACATACTGAAAGTCTAAATTCCATCTTTCAAGGCCTAATTTCAAAGGTTCCTGCTGCTTGAAGAATTTCCTAATCTAACGCAAGAGAAACCTTCCTTAAACTCCAATTGTGTATTCTCTGTATCTCTCTAAAGGCACATGCCACTTATCTCTCTAAAGGCACATGCCACTTTCTTTTCTTTTCTTTTTTTCTTTTTTTTTTTTTTAGACAGAGTCTCGCTCTGTCACCCAGGCTGGAGTGCAGTGGCGTGATCTCAGCTCACTGCAACCTCCGCCTCCCGGGTTCAAGCAATTCTCTTGCCTCAGCCTCCTGAGTACCTGGGATTATAGGGGCCTTCCACCACGCCTGGCAAATTTTTTGTATTTTTAGTAGAGATGGGGTTTCGTCATGTTGCCCAGGCTGGTTTTGAACTCCTGAGCTCAGGCAATCCACCCGCCTGGGCCTCCCAAAGTGCTGTGATTACAGGCATGAGCCACCGCACCCAGTGGCACATGTTACTTTCTAGCTTGCTTTAGAATGATTTTTATTTGTCTTATTTTCCTCTCTCTCCTCTCTCTCTCTCTCTCTGTCTCTGTGGTGTGTGTGTATGTCTGTGTGTCTGTGTGTGTCTGTGTCTGTGTGTGTGTATTCCTTAATAGTTATTAGTGCCCTTCACAAAATATTTCTGGCTCTCCACTTCCAGGTGTAGAGTAGAATTGCATTTCCTTGTCCCCTCCTTTGCTATGGCATAGCCACAGACAATATTTAAGAGAGTGGCTGGTCTATCTGCCCAGGTCCCTAACAGAACATGAAAGGAAGAGTCCTGTCAAGCTATGGCGGACAGGTATTGTGTGCAAGATATAAATGTTTTCTTGTTGTAAGAGATATTTGTTGTTCAAATATTGGGGCTATTTGTTACCACAGCAAAACCTAACCTACACTGACTGATGTAGTCTAGTTGGTCCCCAGTTTTAGTTGTCAGTATGCCGTATGGGAGATGGACAACTTCTTAAGAACTGCACAGTTTGGCTTTTGGAAGGGAAAAATTTTAACCAGGGATGGAGGTGGACCTTAACACGAATATATAAAAGGTATCCATATTGGAAAGGAAGAAATAGAGTTCATTCTACTTACAGAAGACGTTATTATGTGGAAAATCCTAAAGAATCTACAAGAAAACTCCTAGAAATAATAAGTCAGTTTAGCAAGTTACAGGACACAAGACAAATACACAAAAATTTACCGTATTTCTATATACTAGCAATAAACAATTGGAATTCACAATTTTACAGTAGCACCTCCAAAAAGTGAAACATTTAAGTGTTAGTCTAACAACGTATGTGTAGGATCTTTATGCTAAAGGCTACAACACACTGAAGAAATAAACCAAGGAAGGTCTAAACAAATGGGAACACATACCATGTTCATCCCTCAGAAAATTCAATATTGTTTAGATGTCAGTTCTCCACAAATTGATTTATAAATTCAATGCAATCCTAATCAAAATTCCAGCAGGATTTTTTTGGGGGGTAGATATGTATAAACTGATTCTAAAATTTACATGGAAAAGGAAATGGACTAAAATAGCCAAAATAACTTTGAAAAAGAGCAGAGAAGTAACACTATTTAATTTCAATACTTACTATAAAGCCACATTAATCAACATAGTGTGGTATTGGTGAAAGACAGAAACATAGATCAATGAGAAAGAACAGAAAGTCCAGAAGTTAACCTACTCAAATACAGTCCATTGATTTTCATTAAAGTTGCAAAGGCTTTGCAGTGGAGAAAGAATAATATTTTAAATAAATGGTGCTGGAACAATTGGACATCCATATGCGAAAAGATGAACCTTGACCCAACTTCACAACTTATACAAAAATTAATCTCAAATGGATCATAGACATAAATATAAAAACCAGTAAGCTACAAAGCTTTTAGGAAAACAGAGGAGGAAGTCTTTGTGACCCAAGGAGTCCTTAGACACGACACAAAAAACATGATCCATAAAATAAAAAATTGATAATAAATTAGATTTTATCAAAATTAAAAATGTCTGCTCTTCAAAAGACATTGTTAAGAGAATGTAAAGACAAGCAGATTGAAAGAAAATACTTACAAATCACAATTCTGACAAGAACTGATATCCCAAATATACAAAGAACTCTCCAAATTCAGCAATAAGAAAAATGGGCAAATGATTTGAACAAACATATCATCAAAGAAGATATATGAATGATAAACAGGTATATTAAAAGAAGCTCACCATCATTAGTCATTGGGGAAATAAAAGTTAAGACCACAATGAAATACCACTTCACACTTATAATAACTACAATTTTTTAAAAGCAACAATATCAAATGTTGACTAAGATGTACAACAATTGGAGCTCTCATACGTTGCTAGTGGGAGTGTAAAATGTTAAAAACACTTTGGAAAACTGTTAGTGTCTTATAGAGTTAAACCTACATTTACCAGCAATCCCACTTATAAGTATTTGCCTGTTAAATGAAAACATATTCATATAAAAACCTGTACATGAATTTTACAGCAACCTTATTCATAATTGCCCAAAACAAGGAATAACATATATGGCAGGGAATACTCAGCAATAAAACAAAATGAAATATTGATACTTGCAACAACATGGATTATTCTTAAAGGCCTTCTACTAACTGAAAGAAGTCAGGCCCCAAAGGCAACATACTGTGTGATTCCATTTACGTGACACTGTGGAAAAAGGTAAAACAACAGATCAGCACTGAAGAACGCATCAGTGGTTGCAGGGTTTAAGTGTGGGGCAAGGAGTTGATTACAAAGGGGGCACCTCAAGGGAATTTTTTGGTGTGATAGAACTGCGTCTTGATTATGGTGGTGCTTACAGAACTGTATCATTTGCTCAAGCTGATAGGACTGTATGCTACAAAGAGTGAACTTTACTGCATGCAAATTAGAAAATAGATAAATAGAAACAACAAGTGCATGTATTATGTGAGCTTGGTACACCTGCTAATTTTTTTGAAATATCTCTCTCTCTCATTTTGAGTATTTAAATCACTCTGGAATCAGTGCCTGTCAGAGATAGATTCTGCCCCCGACCGCCGATGTGTGTGCGTGTGTGTGTGCGTGCACGCATGAGCGTGCATGTGTGTTTTCTGTCTCTTTAACTCAAGTTTCCAAGAGAGTGGAAATCATCCATGCTCAAGTAATTATTTCATCTCCGTCTCTGCATGAGTCACCATTTTGTTAACAGGAGACAGGAAAAGTCTCTGGAGGCATGTTAGCATGAAGTGCTTATCCTGCCTCAGACTGCAGTGCCAATCTCTCATTTGGTTTCCCACTAAGTATGCCTACTATTGTATCAATTTGCCTCCTCCCAATAATCTGTTGGGTGGAGTAGTCAACTGGCCCTGCTACATGTCCTGGTGTCCACAGATCCACAGATGAGAAGGAGGACAGGAAAAAAGGGTGGCCTGGTCCAGTGTCCCATGAGGTGAATGGGGGAGCAATTCTCCCTCATATTTTTTTGAAACTTTAAAATTTTTGGTCTAACATTTAGTTTACACAGTAAAAGGCATAAAGTGTACAAACCCTAAGTGGTTTACTTGATATAGTTTTGTATATACCCAAATAACCACTACCCACATGAAGGTATAGAACCACTTTCGGCACCCCAGATGGTTCTTCATGCCTCTTTTCACTCAGTAATTATCTCCCACTCCTTTCCAGAGGTAACCACTCTTCTGCCTTCTATCACCATAGAATAATTTTGCCTGTTCTCAAACTTCATGTAAGTGGTATTACACAGTGTGTACTCTTTGTGAGCATGGCTTCTTCTGCTTAACATAACACCTGTCAGATTCATCCATGTTGTACGTATCAGAATTTTATCTGTGTAGTATTCTATTGCATGAATATTCAATAATTCTTTACCCACTGTGAACGTTTGAGTTTTTGGCTATTATGAACAAAGCTGCTATGAACATTTTGTGCATGTCCCTTGGTGGGCATATGCATGCATTTCTCTTGAGTTTATAGATAAGAGAGGTATTACAGGAGATGCATATGTTTAGCTTTTAGTAGACATTACCAAACAGTCTTCTAAAGCAATTGTATCATTTTGTGTTCCCAGCAGCAATATATGAGAATTCTTGTTGCTTTACACCTTGTCAGCACTTGGTATTGTCAATGTTCTTAGTTTTAGCCATTGTGGTGGCTTTGTGGTTGTATCTTATCATGGTTTTAATTTTCCCCTTGAAATATGCATGTGTACCCTTGCTGTTGTCCCAAGGAGGAGAATTTCTGATTGGTTTGAGGGATGTGGAATGGGAGTGGCAATGGCAGGTGATGGGATGGTGGGAGAAGCACTTTTGTTAGGAGGGAGGGCTTGTGAATTGTCCCAGCATTGCAGTCCAAAAGTGGGTAGCATCCATGTGCCTATTTTCCTGAAGGCTGTTCGCTCAGAGGGCTGGCTCATTATTAACAGGCATACTCATTTCTCCAGGAGGCTGTGCTTGGGTTATGACAGGCAGAATGTGTCCCTCTCCTAAGCAGATGGGCTGCTTGGAAGCTTTTTCTGGTACTATATGAACTGGTGTGGCATTTCCAGTCATTTGTTTTCAGAATGACAATGTGTCAGTTTAACCACCACTCCCCTGATACACTTGCCAATTAGAAAAGACAGTGAGAAAACAGCCCAAGAAACAATTATTTATCAAGATGGGGGAAACCAAAACTCACTGTCACCTATTTATTTGGTTCGTCAATGACCCTCTAAGTACAGGAACCTCTAAAACACAGGTCCATCAAGCAGGTGAGCTATCAGTCATTTTACTGTACATTTCCTCAGATCTATTCTGATTTATGGTAGGAAAATAATGGAGAAAACTGGGGATGCATCGACAGTCCTAAGTGCTCTCTGCGTTCATTTTAGCTGGCCCCAGCCCCGATGCCTGTGATAACCCAAGGAAGAAGTCATCAAATAAACTGACAAACAGCACTCATCAGCTTGAGAATTGAATACCTAAGTATGAATTCTAACCTGCTACTTGCCAATTGTGTGACCGTAGCATGTTAATTGGTGTTATGGAGCCTCAATTTCTTCTTTTGTAAGTACAGACCCTAAAGTTCATCTTACAAGGATTTTTTCGGGGGTAAAGATTAGTTGGAACAACAAATATGAAAGTAGGTAACATATCTAATAGGTTCTCAATATATATTACTGATCTAATAGCCCAAAACAGCTCAGATGTCCTTCTACAGGTGAATGATTAAACAAACCATGGTATGTACATCCCATGAAAAACTACTCAACAATAAAAAAGGGACAATGATGCATACAGTACAAACAACTTAAATGAACTTGCAGAGAATTATGCCAAGTGCAAAAACCCAATCTTAAAAAGTGACATATTGTATGATTCCATTTATATAATATTTTGGTAATGACAAAATTTTAGAAATGGAAAACAGATTAATGGTTGCCAGTGTTTAAGGATGGGAAGATGGCTGGGAGGAAGGTGGGTAAGATTAAAAAAGGATTATGAAAGGACTCTGTGGTGATGAAACTGTTTAATATCTTGAGTGTGGTGGTAGATACACAAACCTACACACGTGCTCAAATTGATAGAACTAAACACACACACGAGTACAAGCAAAACTGGGGGAATCCAAGTAAGTTCTACAAATTCTTAATATTCTGAATGTAATATTGAACTACTCTTGCAAAATGTTACCGTTAGGGGAAACTGGTTAAAGGGCATGTGGACTCTCCCTCTATTATATCTTATGACTTCATCTAAATTGACAATTACCTCAACAAAATTTTCAATTAAAATATTACTGATCTCTTTAAGTGTAACATGGCATGGATTATAAGAAGCACTATTTAATAACAAGCTCAATTTAATAATTTAAGACAAAAAATACACTGCCTTATTAAATCTATTTTTAGATTGCAGGACAAATCCTGACTTGAGAACTGTTAAAATGTGGTTGTGAGGGAGGGAGAAATTGCAAGCTACATTAAGGAAATTTGATAGTTTCTAGTAGCTTCTATTTATCCTCCTTCTTCATGCTCTCTCTTCAGATAACCAAAGTTTTCATTAAGCCTAATTCCAAAAGGAAGAAAGAACTTCTGGCAAAAGAAGCCACACAAAGCTGTTGTTGACTTAATTCATTTATTTATTTGTTGCTTCTCCCTCGTCTCTGCCCACCTTTCATGCCCAACTCATCATTAAGCCCTAGAATAATGACTTGTAGACAGTGTGCATTATATATTCGGTGAAGATAATGAAAGGATTTTAAAGCACGATTGCTGATTAGGGTAATTCCTAAGTTACAGGAATAACAGTCTAATGGTAAAATGTTGAGCACCTTGGCAGTTGGGGATAAAAATCATTTTGGCCCTGTTCAAGTAGCTCAACAGAACCCCCTGCCCACTGTAACCTTATTCACGTACAAAACCCATCCTTTCCCAAATATATGTTCCAAGTTTTAAAAATTGAGCCTAAAATTGTAAGGGTATGTACACATTGGGAAATGAAATTGTCATTAACACAAATGTGACTTCTGGTGGGTGTTCTAGATCTATCAGCTGATAATTGATGATGAGAATTTTGTCTTCTAAATAAGGAGTATTCTTATTCTGTCCTGGGAAGACACTTTAAAGTGTTTTACCTGGTATGTTTGAGGTAATATTTAAAGATTTTGCCCTCTGGCTTCAAAATTCCTCTCTTGATAACAATAATTAACTTGAATTAAGGTTTATGCGAAATGCAATAAAAATAACTCAATATTTTAATTATTGGCAAACCAATTTTCATTTTCTTGAAGTAGAAATAATGAAATAATAGATGCCAACACTCCACTACTTCCCATGATTTTATTATTTTAGATGCGAGGATAATGTTTTAAAATATTATCCAAATGTGTTTTCCCTCTTTGGTGGGTAGTTACTAAAGGAGGAGGAAGAGGAAGAGGAGGAGGAGAAGGAGAAGAAGAAGAAAAGAAGCACCTGCTGTTCTTCTGCCATTAAGATTATGCAATAAGATGAAGGCCTACTGCCTTGGGAGGAGGAGGTAGATACAGCGTAGGACAAAATAGTCATTGCGCAGTTTTAAATTTCAACTAGATTTTTTAAAAACCCTTACTGGGGCAATAGTCTTGAAAGCCAGACTAAAAAAAGAAATAAAGGAGTTTTCCTAGGACTCCCAAAGTTGGGCCCCTGTATAATAGAAACCAAAGCTTAGATGGTTACTATGGTCTGAATGTTTGTGTCTCCCCAAAATTCATTATGTTGAAACCTAATCCCTAATATGATGGTATTAAGAGGCGGGGCCTTTGGGAGATGATTTGTTCATGAGGGGAGAGCTCTCATGAATGGGATTAGTGCTCTTATAAAAGAGGCCCCAGAGAGCTGCCTTGCTCCTTCCATCATGTGAGGACACATCAAGAAAATGCCATCTTTCAACCAGGAAGTGGACCCTCATAAGACACAAAATCTGCTGGTATTTTGGTCTTGGACTTTTTCAGCCTCCAGAAATGTGAGAAATAAATGTTCATTGTTTATAAGTGACTTGGTCTGTGGTATTTTCTTATAGCAGCCCAAAATGGACTAAGACAAGAGCTGGCCGTAGAAAAGCCATAGAGTAGGAAAAACAGGGACACAGTGAAAGTCAGGGACACTCCTGCACGCTGGAGAGGGAACAGCCTTCCAGTTCTTGGAGGTGACACTGGGCACAGAGAAAGGAAGAAGATGCAAGTGTCCCCCTATATTCCCATTCTTTCCATCATCCAAATAGCCCTCTTTGGGGGCAGAAGTAAGGGGTGGTAGGAACACCCAGCTAGGCTTGGGAGAATCTGAGAGCACTGGGGTAGGTGACCACCTCACCAGGCATATCCTGGATTAATACAAGCATTTCAGAGAAACTTGCAACAACATTGTGCCTCCTTCTTGATGGGGAAGAAGCCAAGTAACAGCAGTGGAGAGAGGTACCTCCATAGCCTCACAGTCTCGCATACTTCAGAGGCAGTAGAGAGTTCCAGGACCCCTAACTGGGGCACAGAAACATTGAGAGGAGAGATGTGTCCAAGAAAGTCTGAGGACAAGGAAGCTGTAGAGTTTGGGGACCTCACAATGGAGGCAATGGCAAGGTCTATGATCAATAGCAGAAGATGCCAGCACAATGTCCAGAAACTAGCCATAACTCAGTGGAGACCAGGGCAGGATGCCAAATGAGTAGGTGGTCCAGGCTACTCCCAGAGGACAGCAGGAGGACCAGGCCATCTTTCCTCAAATCATAAAAATGCACCTTGTTGGCTGGGCACGGTGGCTCATGTCTGTAATCCTAGCACTGTGGGAGGCCGAGACAGGCAGATCGCTTGAGCCCCGGAGTTTGAGACCAGCCTGGGTGTAAGGTACATGGATGTGCTTTGGTCAAGGAATAGGCTGAGGTGGATATCCAGTCCTGCATGACTCAGTGAGTATGGCGCACAGGCACACACCTCCACTTGCTATATAACTTGTTTGTGTAAGTTCATGCTTGGCTCTGAGCCACTATTGTCTGTAAAAGATATAATTGCCCTGCTAATGCTGTATAGGGGTTCTTGGGGCTCGGCTTAGCTCAACATGGCTTGACATGGTAGGCATGCTGGTGCCCAGAGAAAGAGAGAGAGAGAGCCAAAGCTGTCCATCTTGCAGATGGACAGGAGGGAGCCAGGACACAGCTCGGTTTGCTCATGCTCAGAGACAGAAAGAGTTAAGCTCCTAACCCTGAAGGCAAGGGAGAGCCGGCCATGCAGCTGCAGGCATGGGGGCAGCAGAAGCCGCATAACCAGAGCAGACAGCTGAGATAAAGGTGGACAGTGTGAGAGAGCTAGTGTAAGTAAGCTATTGATGAGAGCTGCTGCTGAATGAAACTACATTTCACCTGCCTACAGCCCCCCAAGTGTTATTTCTGCCCATCCGCTCACTCCCTTGGACTTCAGCATGGGCTGGACCTGGACCCCTGGATCTGACACCGGGCAACATGGCAAAACCCCATCTCTACTAAAAATACAAAAAAATTAATCAGGCATGGTGGCATGTGCCCATAGTCCCAGCTACCCGGGAGGCTGAGGCAGGAAGTCGCTTGACCCTGGGAGGTTGAGGCTGCAGTGAGCCATGATCACACCACTGTACTCCAACCTGGGTGACAGAGCGAGACCCTGTCTCAAAAATATTTTTTTTAAATGGACCTAGTAACCATATTGGGAAAAAGAGGGGGAAGAATTTTTGATAGATAGGGAAAAGTCAGAAAAACAGTACACTTGAAAGAAGCAATTAAAGCTAAGAAACTGAGATGTCTATAGTTAGCACCATCAATACGGACGGGAGCTCAAGAGCAAGAAATAAAGTTATATTTCTTTATGCCCCAGTTGGTGAGTTTTAAATTTTGACACTAGTATACATTTTTTTAAAAAGTATAGTTTATTCAAAGTAGAATGGGGGAAAGGGATGTGGCGAGTGCTCTCACTGCCCCACCTATATCCCCTTGGCATTTACCATTTCTGTGTGTGTTTGCCTGACATCCAACTGCCAGCACCTGCAACCCCTTGCCTAAGAGGTTTATCTGGCAATTGGAACAAGTTTGCCCTGGGAAGGCCGGTAGTGCTGGGGAATTAACACTTCCCAGGGAATCGCCTGTAGCCAATGACTGATGGGAGTTGATGGATAAGTGCCCTGGCTCACACATCCCTTGGCTCTGAGGTATGTGATCTGCACTGTCTTCCACAGTCCCCAGTGGGTTTAAACTCTAATTGCCCACAGGGATAACTCATTTGACAATGCACACTTCCCATCCCTTCTCTGTCTCAATTTTTCCACTTCATTCTTGGTGTTTTCCAGGATCACTACCTCAATAAATAATTTGCACTCGAATCCTTTCCCCAGAGTCTGCTTCTGGGGGAACCCAGACTATCAGGGAAGAATATGAGTGGAAGAATGGCCCAAGATAGAGGTCAGCAAACTTTTTTTGTAATGAGCCAGATAGCAAATATTTTAGGTTTTGTGGGCCACATATGACTCTCTGTTGCATATTCTTTGTGTGTGTGTTTTTTACAATCTTTAAGAAATGTAAAAATTATTCTTAGCTTGAGGGCTGTACAAAAACAGACCATGGGCCACATTTGGCCCACAGCCCACAATTTGCTGATTTTAGGAGAAGAATCTATTCTGATAAAGATTTTAGATTCCAAGGGAGATTCTTCTCTAGCTCAGTGCCTAAAATTCTGGTCCTTAATATACATTTAGATTTGTTTTCAGTCTCCCTTTGGAAGACACGCATTAAAAGAAAGAAGATGAGTAGGGCAAACTAGTGACAAGCAGTTTGAAACATTTAATTAGAAGTTCAAAATTGAAAAAGTCAGGAAGGGCAAGTTAAGAAAACAGGGCCAGGTACATAGATTGGAATAGCTGGGGCTGATACTGCTCACAGTAGAAGGTAGTATCAGATTCCCCAGGCTTTTCATTACTGGGCTGCCATCATTTATTTTAGCAGAGTAACTTTTGGTAAGTCACCTGATTTCTCCAAACCTAAGTTTCTTCATCTGCAAAATGAGGACAATGATGATGGTGGTGATAGTGGTAATATATGCCCAATAGGGTTGCTGTGGCATTTGCACAGTACTTGGCCACATAGTAAGCACTTCCCTAGTGCTACAATTGGATCAGAGCACCATCATGAAATGTAATTTGGTCATTCATCTCAACATATACGAAGCACTTATTATATGCCAGGAACTGTATACTAGGCTCTAGGGGGCATGAAAGTGGAGAAGATGGAGAAGAGGGCAGAAGGGCTATTCTTAGTAGAGAGAACAGTAAGAGAAAAAGCTTGGACAAATGTCAAGCATGGGGTGTTTTCATAGAACATAGAATAGTAGAACATGGCTAGATGGTAAGTTGACAGATGAGGAGGGCTAGGAGGTGAGGAATTCTGGGAAATGAGTCCGGGGCTAAATTTTAAAAAAGCTCTAAATTATTTCTAAGTCTTTGAAGGTTGAGTTTATACTGTGGTTGATGGGAAGTTACTGGTAGATTTTAAGAAGGGAAGTAAAAAATTCAGGTGAGTTTTTGATGAGTCTGGCAGAATGGATGCTGTATTGGTGGTGGTTGTCAGGGGAGGTTGGTGGTCTTGGAAGCAGGAAGATTATTTAGGAAGCCATTGTCTTCTGTATCAGTTAGCTTTTGCTGCATGACAAACTACCTCAAAACTTAGTGCTTAAAGCAAAAACTATTTGTTTAGCTCACAATTCTGCATGTTGGCAATCTGGGTTGGCTCAGTTGTGTGATTCTTCTGGTCTCAGCTGGGCTCATTCATGCATCTGCAATCAGTGGCTGTATTGCTTGGGAGCTGTCTGGCCTATGATGATGTCAGATATGATGGCTTTTTTCTGCTCCATTTGGTCTTTCATCCTCCAGCAGACTAGCCTGGCCTTGTTCACAAGGCTGAGTTCCAAGAGAGTGAGTAGAAATGCACAAGATCTCTTTAGGTCTAGGTCCAGAATTGGCACAACATCACTTCTGCTTTATTCTTTTGGCCAACATGTATCACAAAACCAGCTCAGATTCAAGGGAAAGCAAATAGAGTTCTTCTCTTAATGGGAGAAACTGCGAAGTCACATTGCAGAAACTGGATACAGAAAGGGGAATAATTGTGGCCATTTTTGTAAAACATCTCATGCACCATAGTGCAAGCAGAAGATGCTTAAGGCCTTAACTAAAGCAATAGCACATGGGAGTGAAGAAAAGGGGTTCCATTTCAGAGGGATACTCCTTAATTTCCAGCTTGGGTGGCTAGTTAGTGCTGCCAACCTTTCTAAGACAGGAAATAAGAAGGAAGAATTCAGATTGACAGTAGGAGAATGTGTGGGAACTAGTTTGGGATGATGGTCAGAGATGCTGCTGGGATAATGAATTCAAGATGTTAAGGAGGCAGGGTCTTCCTTCCCTCCATGGGCCCGATAGGACTGTCCACATTTCCAGGTTCTTGACTTAGCTCAAGAATGTTGATACCCTGGGTCCATTTCCCCTATAAATCTGTGCTATACATTCCACAGGTAGGTTCCATTCCACTGAAAGCTTTTCATTTCTCTCTAAAAGACACATTGTCAATTCCCCACAGCTCTATTTAAGAAAGCCTTCCCACCTCCCAGCCTGGTTGTTGTGGTCATCTTTTGCTGTATAAGAAGTTACTCTCACTGGGCACAGTGGCTCATGCCTGTAATCCCAGCACTTTGGGAGGCCAAGGCGGGTGGATCACTTTAGTCGAGGAGTTCAAGACCAGCCTGGGCAACATGGCAAAACCCCATCTCTACAAAAAACACAAAAGTTAGCCAGGCATGGTGGCACATGCCTGTAGTCCCGGCTACTTGGGAGGCTGAGGTGGAAGGATAGCTTGAGCCTGGGAGGCAGAGGTTGCAGGTTGCAGTGAGCCAAGATTGCACCACTGCATTACTGCCTGGGTGACAGCTCAAGACTCTGCTCCCTGAAACAATAACAACAACAAAATAAAAAAAAAGAAAGAAAGAAAAAAGAAATTACTCCCAAACTCAGTGACATAAAACAACCACTTATTATGCTCATGGATTCTGAGGTCAGGAATTTGGACAGGGCACAGCAGAAGTGGTTTATCTCTGTTACTCAATGGGGCCCCAGTTGGGAGACAGAGGCTACTGGTGACTTGACAGCTGGAGGCTAGAATCGTCTGAGAACTTGTTCACTAATATGTGATGTTAGCTGGGGAGATTGGCTAGAATACTTATACATGTCGTCTCCACATAGCCTGGGCTTCCTTACAATATAGTGGTTCTATTTCAAGGGTGAGCATCCCAAGAAAGAGAACGCCAGGTAGAAGATAGAGTAGCTTTTCGAATCTAGTTTTGAAAGTCACACATCACTTCTGCTGAATTCTAGTTGTTGAAGCAGTCATGAAGGCCCACTTGGTTTCAACAGAAGGGAAAACAGACTCTACTTGTTGATGAGAAGTAACAAGTTTCTGGAAAAGCATGTAGAACTGCTTTTTAATTTTATTAATTTAATTTTGTATTGTTAAGGCAGTTTTCGGAAAATATTATCTGCCTTACAGGTCTATTCCCTTTCTCAGTAGAAGATTAGCAACCACTAGATACACTTCTACCTATTTTCTCTCCAGCCCCTCATTTTATAGAGTCTTATTCCACCTTCTTACCCTTTCCATCCTTTTCTTAAAAAAAGAGGAGTGTTCCTCGGTCTCTCCAGGGTCCACTCTCCAATACACTCCCATGATACACCACTCCTTACTCCAACCTGCCTGGAAATTTTGTCTTCCTGTATCTTCCTCACTCTCACCACTGAATCTTTACCCTCATCTCATAAGCCTTTTCACATCTTCCCCATCTTCTGAAGCCCCTTCCTGGGAGCTTGCTGCCTCCTAAGGTAATGTCTTGGCCCTTGTTTTCCACTTAGCATTTAATTATTTTTTTTAATGTGTCTATACTTGCTTCCATTACGTCTTCACTATGAACCTTTTTCTTAGTCCTTTGAAACACGGCACATCTTCCCTTTTAAATCCGTTGTCCCTGTTCTCTTACAATTTACCAGTGTAATCTTAAATTTAAGTTTCATAGCCATTTCTTAATTCATATAATCTTTATTCTCTCTGAAGTGTTAATCAATGTTGACTGTGCCTTTCGTTTTGAAACTCTCCCTTGGCCACTATGATGTAAAACCTGTAAATTCTCCTACTTCTCTGTTCCTTTTCTGACTCTACTTTCTATTCTCAACAGTTTAAGGCAGATGTCCTCAAAGATGTTTCCCTTGTACATTTTTAGGGGGTCTCTGAGTTGTCCTCATGGCTTCAGAGCAACCTCCCTATTGTGAGGATGACTTTCAACTCTTTGTCCCAGCCCTGACTTTACCCCTGAACCTTTAATTGTCAATTACTTTCTTAACAATATGTCCAAAGCTTCCCTCCAAATCTGCTTTCTTTTCTCTACTTCCTGTTGGAACCTATTGTGAGGACTGCTAACAGTTTTACATGTTCATTCTCACTTCTTTCTTTTAGTAAAAGGATCCCCTGAATTTTAACAGAAATATGCCTGCCCAGCCCCCCTTGCAGCTGGATAGGTTTATGTGATTAAGTTTGGTTCAGTGGGACATGAGCTGAAGTGATATGTGCAACTTCCAGGTCATCTCCTTAAAGAGAGTGCCTCTAGCCCTGGAACTTTTCTTTCTTCCTTACACCGCATAGATAAGAACAAAACCCTAAGGGAATGGCAGATCCACAAAATGGAAGGAACCTAGATGCCTGAATAATTTCTAACATTGGCCTTATCAGTAATACATATGATATTTTGGCCTGCATAGGCTGACTCTTTTGTCTTATTTCCCATTTGGTTTGGAACTCAGAGAAGGGAGAGTGCACTATTTATTGGTCCCTGACACTCTCAACACTTGCTAAGAGCTCCAAATGGTGTGTCCTTCTCTCTCTATATTTCCTTTCCTTCCCTTCCTTTGCTTCTCATTTCCCTTCTCTTTCCTTCTTCTTTCACAAAAGCTGAGAGATGGGAGGGGTTGCTCTGGATTTCAGGGGATATGAGAGCATTAAATCATCTCAGGATCTTTACACAAGTGTTGGAGCTAAAGTTGGAGTGGTTGGAACCAAATTCAAATTTCACCTTTTGGGCGAAGCCTTCTCAGCCTCCTCTGGAGTATTTATTTATTTATTTATTTTATGTTCTCTGAGTTCTCAGAGCACTTGGTTGCAATCTCTGCTTTGGTACTTGCCTCCTATTACTATAATTTAGCTGTTTCCACCCCTGGACTGTGCTGTCCTCAAAGGGAATGATCATTCTAGGCTTATCTTTGTATTCTCACTGCCTATCACGGTGCCTGGTAAAAAGTACATGCGCAATAATCATTTGTCAAATGAAAAAATGAAGGACAGGTGGTAGATGTTCAATAAATGCCTGTTTTTTATAGAATGCAATAGTTACCGTTTATTGGATTCTTTCTATATGCCACACACATTTATATATGTTAGGGTCTAATACAGCACTTAGTAGCTTGTATTATGGTCACCCCTTTTTACAGATATGGAAACAGGGGATCACAGAAGTTAAGAAACAACTAAGGTTGCCCAGCTGGTGAATGGCTAAGCTAGTATCTGAACCCATGTCTTTATGACTATAAAGCTTTTCTTCTCTTCGCAGCATCACACTGAATCTCATTTATAAGGCAGATTTATGTAGTTATATTCCTTGAGGCCTTGCAAAATGAGATCAATACAGGACCCAGGGAAATAGTTATCATTTTTTTGTCATCCTTTTCCCACTTCCCTTGCCAACCACCATTTATTGAGAATCTACTGTTGGGAGATTATTCCTCATGAGTCTCTTATACATCTGTGCATCTTGCAAGCAGATTCACTGCTCTTGATTCTGGACTACCTTTTCAAGGATGCCTTGGAAGACATAGTGCCTCCCTCCAGAGCAAAGGACCAATACCCTTACCATCTAGTATAATAAAGGCAATGGCTCCTTCTGGAGCAAAAGGAAAAAATGTGTACTGTCCATTGTAAAAGATTCAGGTTTTCTAAGCTCAGGGTTTCTCTCCTGTAATAGAACCCACTTGCATATGCAAGTATCACCTGGCCCTCTTTGGATCATCCTGTGGGAATTGGGGCTTGGAAAACTGATGCAAAAACTGCTGATAATCTGTCTATGATTATTCTGTGAGTAATAAGCTATCCTTCATTTCTGACCCCGGTGTCTCATGTCTTCTACCAGCATCCATAAAACTGTGACAGGCTAGCTTGTTAGTTTGCAAGTAGCGTTGAATCTTAGACCCTTTGCAGTTCTTCACACCTACTTTGGGCCAGGTGCTTTCACATACAGTGTATCTCATCTTCACAATAACCCTTTGATGAAGGTGTGAATAGCCCCATTTTCTAGAGGAGGAAACAGATTCCAAGAGGTTTAGAAATGTGCCCAAGTAAGTGGCAGGAGTTGGATTTGAACTCAGAATTATATGTTTCCAAAGCTGTGTTTTTTCCACAGTTCTGTAGAAATTCTGTGGCCATAGCTCCTCTTTGCTTCAGGGAAAGAATGAGGCTTGGTTAGGTTACTTACACTGATCAGTGTTCTAAAGAGTGTCCTAAAGAGTAGAGGACAAAGCCATTGCACGAACAGCCTTCTACTTGACTTGTGAAATCTTTGGAAATTCAGAGCTATTTGAAACAAAAATCTAACTCCCCACTATATTTCATCTCTCTGTGGCTTTTTACATATATATTCTCTGTTATTGCAAAGCTCTACATGGAATTTGAGATTCTGACAGTTGGTGATTTTTCTCAAGGAAGAGAAACATTAAGACATTTGTTCTTAGAAAAATAAATCAGTGTATGTGACATGCGTACCCACATGTATATACAATGGAGCAATCTATTCAGAATTTATTTTTATATAGAGGACTGCTGTTATGCAAATATACAGACCCACTCTATATTTTAAAGACATTTTCTATATAGAGAACGAGGGATGGCGGAAAGGGGAAGGAGACAGAAAGACACTGAAGATTGCATGGACACACTAAATAAGTCTACCTTCCTTAGGCTCTTTTAGACATCTTTGGAATAAAGGTAGTATGATGGTTTGAAAGCATATTCAATATTTTAACTCAACCTCTAGAGGTAGAGCTCTAAATGCTAATGGGTATCTGTTGTGACTTCTTGAGGTCCACATTACTGTAACTCCACAATAGCATCAGAGCCCCTTTGTTTAAGAAACTGAGTAAAAATAGCAACAACACCGGACTCTCTATGCCCCAAATCTAGTTTTAAAACCGGCTTAAAATGACTTCCTTCCAGTATTTGCTGATGAAAGATCAGATTAACATTGATGGCATATCTTGCTGTCCTCTACTCCACACTCCGGGATGTGGGCCCAAGTGTTAGGAAAATGAAAGAAAGATCAGGGGCGCATCAACCTCAGACCTAAGCCTCGAACACAAAAACAACTGCCGATGCCTCCACATGCTTTTCCACCCACCTCCAGCTCCCAGACTCAAGTCTGATTTCACCATGTTCACCAGAGCAGCCCCCATTCCTGGTTTCATTAGCATAACTGTGGCTGCGAGAGCACATGGCAAAGATTATAGTTTCCATGACCTCACTGATTCTGGAAAGCACACTGATATTTCAGAAAATATACGTATTCTTTCCTTCTGAGATTAAGAACAAATCTAATAATGCATACAGGATGCCTCCTCTGAGCCTTCTCCTCTTACCACTCCCTCATTCCCCCAAGTACAGATTCTCTTATTCCTTTTCACACAACCAAATTCAGGAATCCATTTAAAAGAATTCAGGGTTAAGAAGTACAGACATGGGCCACTTATCAAAACTCTAACCAATAGATGTGGTCCAATGTCTCCTGCATACCTCTTTTTGGAAATGACTGTGCAATGCCTAACCTAAAATATATAGTACTTGCATAACCTTCCCCCAACAAACCCAGTTGGACAAGTAGGTAATTTTTTTCTCCATATAATTGCCCTCTTGGTGAGCTGCTGTAGTGGGAAGCAGCAAAAAGAGCTCCTTTTTAGCAGACTCTGCTGGTTCTCTGTCCATATCCCGTGAGCTCTTAGCATTTCAGAGTGCTCCCACTGACTTCCAAGTGGCAGCATCTACATCTCTATGCTTGATGGCTTTTTATGGAACAGCAGAAACCACTCTGTACCTATATGTGGCAGGTTTGAAGCACCAAGGAATTAACACTGCTGGGAGTAGCCTTCAATGACTTTGCTGTTAGTGTATAACACCTCAGTTCCCTTTCCCTTCATGTGGGATAAATTTGAGACCTGTGTTTTTCACCATTTTCCAGAGCTTCCCCATGGGATTAATTTCAATTACCTATTGTGAGCAGAAGGCTTGATAATGTACGCCTTATCCGATGCCTTGCCTTCTCTGAATTAACTTCCCACTTTCCTACACGTGTTCTCAACACCTCCCAAATAAACTATGTGCTCGCTCTGAATTCTTCACAGAACTCAAACTATGATAACTGCTAAAGGTTATATAAGATCACTGAAGAAGTTCCATTAACCCGTAAGCTGAAAGTGCAAGGAAGCATGGGGAAATGATTCTGCTACTCTTTAGAGGCTCCAGCAGAAGTGAAAACTCTGGCAATTAAGTTGCATGTGAACAAATGCATTAATTTTAGCTTCTGTTGGTCAATTATCCTCAAAACAACTCAAGCAGCCCCCTCGAGTTTGGTCATTTTTAAATGCTTGCTCACCAGTCAGTCTTCTTGCCACACTGTCATCTCTCCAAGTGGATAAAGTTGAAACCACCTTTGCAAAAATTATAACAGAAAATTATGGCAGTGAAAGAGATCTGATCTAATCAACTCCATCTTGCCTTTAATCTCCAAACTGTCCTTGGTCATTCCTGGGTGTGGGCAAAGCTAACTTTGGGAGAAATTTAATTTATAGTTTAAATGATGATAGCCCTTCCCAAAAACTAAATCGCCCTTATAAAACTAATGCAAGTCCACCAAGTTAGGAGGATGAGAGTGGCCTGAATTCTGCTGGATGTCACAAGATCTGCAATTTCCCCAATTACTCCTGTAATTAACATCACTATTGTAGAACCTAAGATTGTTCTTTTGAGATGTCTTTTCAGGCTTTTGCATTTCTGATGACCTGATGGCCCCACCCTGACCAGTGACTCACTCAGTCCTGTGGCCCCCACCCAGAAGCAGACTCAGTGCACAAGGACCGTTTTCCACACTCCTATGATTGCATCCCCAACCAAGCAGCAGGACCCATTGCCTAGCCCCCTGCCCACCAAACTATCTGAAAATCCCTAACCTCCAAATTTTCTGGGGAGACTGATGTGAGTAATAACTGTGTCTCCCACATGGCATAGCCAGGTTTGCATCAGTTAAACTTTCTTTACTGAAATGCTGTGGTCTCAGTGAATTGATTTTGTCTGTGCAGCAGGCAGGACGAACCCATCAGGTCATTACAAAGTCAATATTATTTCTTGATGGAAATAGCCTTTATAGGTGAAACTCTGTCTCTACAAAAAAAAGTATATATATATATATAATTAGCTAGGCATGGTGGCAGGTGCCTGTAGTCCAGCTACTCAGGTGTTGGGGTTTGGGGTGCTGAGGTGAGAGAATCACCTGAGCCCAGGAGGTTGAGGCTGAGGCTGAGGCAGCAGTGATCTGTGATCTTGCCACTACACTTCAGCTTGGGCAACAGAGTGAGACCCTATCTAAAAAAAAAAGAAAGAAAGAAAGAAGGAAAGAAAAAGAAAGAAAGAAGAAAGAAAGAAAGAAAAAGAAAGAAAGAAAGGAAGAGGGAGGAAGGGAGGGAAGGAAGGAAGGAAAGAAAGAAAAAAAAGAAAGAAGGGAGGGAGGGAGGGAGGAAAGAAAAGAAAAAGAAAAAGAAAAAGAAAATAGCCTTTATATATCAGGGGATTGGGGTTTCTATCCCAACTCACTCATTTGTGGTGTATTGGCAAGTTTTCAAATTCTTTTGAGCTTCAGTTCACTCGTCTCTAAATCTCTAAATTCAAGGCAAAAATGTCCATTACATTAGGTCATTCATTTAACAAGTATTTTTTGAGCACGTACTAGTTACCAGTTTTGTGCTAACTCCCTGGGGATATAGTCATAAATGGCTATCATTTCTTCCCTCAGGACACTCACAGCACAGATGTTGTGGACTCTGGAAGCAGACAGCTACTTTCACTAACTCCATGACTTCACTACACCTTTGTTTTTTTCTTTGTAAAGTGGGACCAATTTTCTCACAGGGTTGTGAGAATTAAAATCTATGATCAAGACAAAGCACATAGGAAATGTTTAATTAGTGGGTAAGACATAAGAAGAGTATAAGAATTGATATTTATTGAGTACTTACAACATGCCAGACATGGCTTAAACATTTTAAAGATATAAACTCATTTAGGCCATCCAAGAACCCTCAGAGGTGGAGGTTATTCTTTACTATTTTTGTCATCCCCATTTTAGGAATAAAGAAGTGCAGAAAGGCCAGGTAACTTTTCAAAGATCATCTAGCTAATATACAGAGACAGGATTTGAACCCAGGCGTGTGGCAGGCCAGATCTTACTAATGCAGGCCTCCATAACAACTGTTTCAGTACTGACTGAGTGGTTAAGTTAAATATTAAAAGCCAGTGCCCGTATACAAAGGCTGGGATGTAACAAAAGCCCACCAGGAGTTTTGCCTAGGACTTTCCTGGGCCTTAAGGCATGACAAAAAAAGAAGGAATTCTTTTTTTTTGAGATGGAGTTTCGCTCTGTCACCCAGGCTGGAGTGCAGTGGCGCAATCTCAGCTCACTGCAAGCTCCGCCTCCCGGGTTCACGCCATTCTCCTGCCTCAGCCTCCAGAGTAGCTGGGACTATAGGCGCCCGCCACCAAGCCCGGCTAATTTTTTTTTTTTGTATTTTTAGTAGAGACGGGGTTTCACCGTGTTAGCCAGGATGGTCTTGATCTCCCGACCTCGTGATCCGCCCGTCTTGGCCTCACATAGTGCTGGGATTACAGGCATGAGCCACCGCGCCCGGCCAAAAGAAGGAATTCTTAACAGGACCTATTTAGGACTAAACAAGTTTTATTGTGGGTCTGAAGAAACTCCCCAGGCCTCCACAAACAAGTTGATTGGGGGTCTGAAGGAACTCCCCAAATCTCCATGATTTAGCAGGAGACAAGATAAGGCTAATCACCCCAGCACCTAGACCCATTTAGCTTAAGTAAATTTACTGAGGCTCCAGAGGAAGGTCTTCAGGACTCAGACCTTAGTTATAGATGAAAAGAAGTTAATCACTTATGTCTTTAGATGAGTGCACACTTACACGTAGGCATATAGCTTAGAAGGTATATAAGCTCTGGAAAACTTTCTAATTTTGAGTTGGTCTGGCCATAATTTCCAGGCCTTTTCCATGTAACCAGTTGCAGAAATAAAACTCTCTTCCTCCCCAGTTCATCTGCATCTAGTTGTTGGGCTATGAGAAATAACAGCCCAGCCGTCATTTTGGTCCAGGAACAGGTGGTCTAGATGCAGAATCCATACTTTTAAACTCACACCCTTGCTTCTCAAGGTGTGGTCCTTGGAGGAGTGTATTAGTCTGTTCTTGCATTGTTATAAAGTAATACGTGAGACTGGGTAATTTATAAAGAAAGAGGTTTAACTAGCTCATGGTTCCACCAGCTGTACAGGAAGCATGATGGTAGCATCTGCTCAACTTCTGGGGAGGCCTCAGGAAGCTTACAATCATGGCAAAAACCGAAGAGGAAGCAGGCACATCTTACATGGCCAGAGCAGGAGGAAAAGAGTGAGGGGAGGTGCTATACAGTTTTAAAACAACCAGGTCTTGTGAGAACTCTGTCACTAGAACAGCACCAAGGAGATGGGGCTAAACCATTAGAAACCACCCCCATGATCTAATCACCTCCCACCAGGCCCCACCTCCAGCATTGAGGATTACATTTCAACAGGAGATTTGCACAGGGACACAGATTGAAACCATATCAAGCAGCTTGTTAGAAATGCAGAATCTTGGGCCCACCCTAGACCTGCTGAATTGGAATCTGCATTTTAATGCGATTCCCCAGGTGAATCATGTGCATATTACAATTAGGCACTGCTGTACACCATGCCAATTGGAGTTTGATGAGTTAAGGGCTTCATTGGAATTATGTGTAAAGTGCTATTAGGGCAAAAGTCCAGGAAGGCCTGGACTGAAATTAATTCAGTAAATTAGAATGTATTTTGTCTGAAAGTCATTGGTTAGTAGGTGCTCAATAAACACTAAAACACACACATGCCACCATTGTGAACATGAGCATGGGCCAGTGACTTGTGAAGGCCCAGCTTTTTCCCTGACTACAGCTGCCTCAAAGATACCACTGGCCTTAACTCAATCTGCATTTATCATTGGCCATTAGGCATTATTGCTGACAGCCGTGTTCTCTTATACCTTGATGGCTCAGGAAGCAATTTGCATAGGCACGATTGTTTTGTTTTTTTAGCTTCTTTGTTGTCATGGTTACTCAGTTTATTTGCATCTTCAAGCCTCTTTCACATTAACCTGAAAGCCACTCAGAGGGTCTCCTTCAAGGAGGGGGAAATCATACAGGAAGGGTGAAGCAGAGTCTTAAATCCCAAGTGTCTGGGTGATGGTTTTTAAATTCAGGCATCTCTAAAATAGAAATAATTTTTAAGATTCTGCCAGAAATCACAATTCATCTGGAGTCCTCATCTTCAGATCTGGTGTTGGAGCTCTGTATCTTGTATGTGCATGTCTCAGTGGCAGAGAATGTGTCCTGAAGCAGAAAAAAAGTCATAATGTTACTCAGTGCAAAGACTATAGAGAGAAGGTACATTTCTCAAGGCAATTTCACTCTTCCAATTGCTCAGGAAAAAAAAAAGGTTACCTTCTTAAGCCTTTATCTTTGATGATATCAGTCATAAAAGAAACCCAAGGCTCCTTGGTCATCCCTCACCTACTTACTCTAGTCCCCAGATGATTTTATGCATCTGTTTTAGTCATCTCCTGTACCCAAACCACTCAAAACCATAATGGCTTAAAACACCAACCATTTTCTCCCTCATGATGCAGTGGGTTGAATGGGTTCAGCTGGATGGTTCTTTTGCTCATGTTATCAGCTGGGCCAGCTATCATCTGAGTGCTTGATTGGACTAGAATGTCCAAGATGGCTACTCACATGACTAGCAGTTGATGCAGGCTTCTGGTGGAAAGCTCTAGGAGGCAGTTGGTCAGATTTTTTTGGTTCCCCTCCTTGTGGCCTCTCCAAATGGCTTGGGTCACTAACGGTATAGTAGCTGAGTCTCAAAAGGAAGTATTACAAGGAAAGAAGTACTCTATTGGCTGAGAGACTGCATTGATTCAAGGGGAGAGGAAATAGGCTCTCTGCTTCCTGAGGAGCACATTAGAAGGGCAGGACTTGTTGGGGAATCCTTGGAGACTAGCTTACATAATCCCCCTTCATGACTTTTTTTGTTTACCTTTCCTCAACTCAAACTTTGCTACTATGCCCTCTGCCTTTGAAATTCTTATTCAGTCATCAACAAAATTCCCTCTAGCCTAAGTCTCTTCTTTGAATGTTTCCTTTATTTTCTTGCTGTACATGAAACCTGACATTTTCCTGAGGACAGAGCTTTTCCTGCCACCCTCTGAGGTGATGGCTATTTTCTCTCCTATGCTCCTCATATTCCTGAACTGGAAAGTGGGATGGATGCCTTTCCTTGCTGTTCATTTCCCAAGACTACTGGGAAATACCATTGTTCCCAAGACTATTCTCCCTCCACACTAATGCCATCCCTCTCCCTATCTTTGAATCTTAGGTTGTTGGATTATACCACCCACTGCTCTTCTTGGTTACCGTCATTGGCCAACCCTATGTCACTCTCTCTCTCTTCTTCCTCTGAGATTTTAGACCTCCCTCATTGTCAGTTTCTCTAATACTGCTCTTGTCATGATTCTTGGGGATTTCCATACCATGTCAATAACCCTTCCAATATTCTGCCTCTCTGTACCTTGACTTTCCTTCCTCCAGTGATTTTGTCTCTTGCCACTGCAGCTGCACACCCCCATAGTCATACCCAGGAATTATTTCCAATTCCTTTGCCTCCTCCATAATTTCTGTTCTCCCAAGGCATCCAATCCAAGCAATTGTTTTGATTCTGTAAAATGTAGAGCTGAGCCATGACAAAATTACCCACAATACTCTTAATGCTTTTGGACAAATAGCAGAATGGTTTTAGCCAGTTTATTTAAGAGCTGCTTGACAGAGATGAGCAAGCATTCACCAGTTGAATTTCATGCTCAACACTGAAATGAAGAGATCTGCTCAATCTACTGACACATAACATAGTGTGTGCATAATGCAGTGGTGATCATGCTGCATTTAGAGTCAGAAGAGCCAAGTTTAAGTTCGATGTTTGTTGGGCATTGTGATTCATTGAGCAGTTCGCTTAATTCCTGTAAGCATCAGTTTCCTTGTACAAAACTACTACAAGACATTCAGCTGAGTCCATCTCATTAGATTCTTTTGAGGATTAAAATAATATATGTGATGTTCATCTCTAAACTGTCAAGGACCTTACAATGTTATTTTTTAATGCGAATTTATACCAGATTTTGGTCTGAAGAATAGCATGATAGCCAGAGTTTTAACAAAAATGCCCTCATTTTTAGAATAAATAAAGGTATATTTGAAAGGTTTTCCAAGGAGAGTTGATTGTTAGAAGCTGTTTATTTCTGATGTGTTTTGATACCTGTTCCTAATGTCCAGCAATGCAACTTCTGCTTGTTTTGGGGAAGCTCGTTTTGTGACAAAGAACAGTTTTTAGTGCCTTTTTTTTCTTGAGACAGGGTCTTGCTCTGTCACCCAGGCTGGAGTGCAATGGCATGATCATGGCTCACTTGAGTCTCGACCTTCCAGACTCAAGTGATCCTTCCACCTCAACCTCCTGCATAGCTGAGACTATAGGCATGTGCCATTCTGTCCAGCTAATTTTCATTTTATTTTTTTGTAGAGACGAGGTCTTGCTATGTTGCCAAGGCTGATCTCAAATGCCTGGGATCAAGCAATCCTCCCACCTTGGCCTCCCAAAGTGCTGAGATTACAGGTGTGAGCCACCATGCCTGGCCGGTTTTTTAAAGCTTTATTATATTATTTCTTTCAAATTAATATTAAGGGTTATTATATGCCCTGCACTAAGTGTTGGGGATATACTGGTGGGTACAATAGGTGCAATGCCTCCCCTCACAGAACTTTTAGCTGGGCCAATCAACAATCACACAATTGTGTAAAGAGCTGGAAAGAAAATAGGCTCAGACTAGGAGGGTCCATGTTAGATAGATCTAACTTAGCAGAATGTTGAGAAGGCTTCCCTGAGGAACTAAGATCTGAGGGAAGGTAGAAATCAATTATGTGAAGAAGAGAGGTGTATTAGTTTCTGACTGCTGTTGTAAGAAGTCACTACTAGTTTAGTTGCTTAGAACAGCACAAATTTTTTATCTTATAGAGGTCAGAAGTCCTAAAATCTATGTGTCAACAGGGCTGAATTTTTAATGGAGGCTGTAGGAAAGAATTCATTTCTGTGCCTTCTCTAGTTTCTAGAGGCTACCTATGCTTCTAGAGGCCATCTTGGCTCATGGCCCCTTCCTTCATCATCAAAGCCAGCAACATAGCATCTTTAAATCTCTTTCCTCTCTGACCTCTACTTCTCTTATCACATCTCCTTCTCTGGCTCTGACTCCACTGCCTCCCTCTTTCCCTTATAAGGACATGTGATTACAACGAACCCATGCAGATAATTCAAGATATTCTCCCCATCTCAAGATGCTTACCTTAATCACATCTATAAAGTCCCTTTTGCCATATAAAGTAACATATTCACAGGTTCTGGGGTTGGGACATGGACATCTTTGGTAGAGGTGTTATTTGGTCTACTGCAAGAGGGAAGAGCATTTTAAGTGGAAGAAACAACATGTGCAAAAGCCCTGGGATTGGACAGTGTATCTCAAATCAAAGGGACTAGAAGTAGGTCAGTGTGGCTAGCGCCCAGAAGATAGAGAAAGAATGGGACATGAAGAAGCTAGAGAGATAGGCAGGGACTAGACCTATATAGGACCTTTCAGGCTATGTAAAATGATTTTACCTGGATCCTCAAAGCCATATGAAAACATAGGCTTTAAGCAGGAGAATTGGCATGCTTCTATTTACATTTTGAGAAGACAATTCTGCTGCAGGCTGTGGAGAATGGACTGGAGGAGCTAGTAGTTGAGGTGAACAATAATGATAGCTTGTACTAGCTGGAAGTGGAGAGAAGTTGAAGGATGGGAGAGATATAGGAGGAAACTCAACAGGGCTGGATAATGCTTGGTCATGAGGCTTCAGTGAGACAGAGGAATGAAGGATGCCAAAAATAACTAACTGGCTTCAGTCCTGCATCCTTGGGATGAATGATGACGCAATCATTATGATAGGGAACGGGTCATGAACAAGGATGAAGTTTGTTTTGGACACTCATGAGTTTGGTTTGGAATTGCTAGGTTTGGCATGCCCTTGAGCCATCCATGAGGAGGTGTCATGTAGGCCATTGGTAGAGGTCTGGAGCTCAGAGGAGAGGTCTAAGGCGGTGATAGAATTTTCTGAGCCATCGTCATTTAAATGTCTGAGGTACAGTGTGAAGGAGTTTTTTAGGAAGAGTGGGATGGGAAGGGGATGTAGTTAAGGGCCAAGGATTAAGGAACTCCAAAATTTAATAGCTTGGCAAGGAGGACAAACCTACTCAAAACAGAGAGCCCAGAAAGGTAGAAAGAAAAGTTAGCAGGACATTGTTTCCTTGAAACCAAGGGAAGTGAATTTTTTTTTTTTTTAAAGTAGTGACTGGTCACCAGTGTAAAGAGGAGAACAGAAAAATGTCTCTTGGATTTAATGACATTATCAAGTACATTCCTCAAAAGTGTAGGGCTGCCTAAGTCTGTATATTTCTTCTCGTTTTTTTTTTTGAGATGAAGAAACTAAGCCACACTAGAAGAAAATAACTTAACCAAGGCAAAATCACAGGAAACTGAACTGGGCGAAGCCAGTTTCTTATTTGGAACCTCAATCCTCTGATACCTGTGGCCCCAGGTTGAGCTCACAGCTCTCCCTCTTCTTTGTTAAGGTCCAAAGAAATTACCAGAAGTGCAGCACTTTATACACCATTGGCACTCAAACATTTATTGACGGACTACTTGGAGAACTCACACATTTCTTCCTGACATGTACTAATCTTACCCACAGGAATTAGCAATTCTTACTCATGTACGACCTCAAGGTTCTGATTCATAAAACAAACAAACAAACAAACAAAAACCAAAAAACCCTTCTGTCTTATTCATTGAAGTATGCTTTTTAAAAACCATAACAGCTTTTGTATTCTCACGTGCCTGAGAGATTATTTTTGTATTGTGTGCTCTTGGTCATTTCCTTCTTGTGTGTGAAAATGTTTGGGAACAGTTCTTTGTGTAGACAAAGTGGAAACAATTTTTTTAAATGGAAGAGGATGTTTTCACTGTGGAAGAGATGGTAGACAGGGCATTCACAAGTTTGACCTCCCAACCAGGCTCTGAAAAATCTTTATGAACCAGCTTTCCACCATTCGTCTTTTTTTTTTTTTTAATGGGTCCATAGCTTGAACCCAGGAGGTGGAGGTTGTAGTGAGCCACGATTGTGCCACTGCACTGCAGCCTGGGCAACAGAGTGAGACTCTGCCTCAAAAAAAAAAAAAAATGGGCCCATAGTACTTGCTGCAACTGAAGACAAGAAACAGAAGTTATGAGCAGAAAATGAAGCTCTATGTGTGTGTGAATAATTTGCTACTTTAAGAATGAAACAGAACTACCAGCAGTTTTACTCCTATAATCAACAGAATTGAGCACACTTGGATGAGTTGTATCCAAAATGTTCATAGCAACATTATTGCCAAGAGCCCCAAACTGAAATAAAAAGCCCCCAATTCTCATTGTATCAGTTAGCTTCTGCTGCATAACAAATTACTCCAAAACTTAGCAGTTAAAAAAAACAAATTATGATTCTGGAGTTTAGCAATTTGAACTGGGCTCAGCTGGATGGTTCTACTAATCTGAGGTAACCAAAATCAGCTGAGCCTGTCCCAGACCAGAGAATAACTCTCCAGTAGAATCTAAACTAAATACAAGTTATTGTGATAAGCCACTACATTCTGGGTGGTTGCTATCCAGTAATAGATAACTGATACAAAGCCACCTCAGTTCATGGTCTTAAAGGGCATAGGTAAGTTTCTCAAGTTCCTAGAATAAAAGATATAGTAGTTATTTCCTCCAAGTTTTCCCTTCTCCTTTGCCCGAAGGACAAATTCATGATCTTGAAAACAGAGCAATTGTGGAAACTGCTGAAGTTTTTCTTAGTGAATGTAGTTATAGTTATAGTAGTCCCTCCTCCAGTTATGGCAACAAAATATCTCCAGATAGACATTGCCAAATGCCCCTGTGGGGCACAATTGCTCCTGGTTGAAAACTACTGTTCTTGAAAAACTGTTTAGGGAACATCAATGCAGATACCCCTCTGAAAACTAAGGAGGGTGATGGGAACGGATGACAGTGAAGCAAGTGAAGAAATAGGGAGAGAGGGATGAACAAATATAGAGAGAGGAATGAACATTTATTCAGCCCCAACCATGTGCATTGCTAAGGTCATTAAAATCTCACAAGAGCCTTGTGAAGAAGTTACCATCACCTCATCTTACAGATGAGGAACTAGAGGCTTAGGGAACATAAGTAACAGGTGAAGCTGGTAATGTAAGCCAGGTGTTTCTAATTCCAATATCCACCATAGATCCAGGGCTGCCTCCCATTTAGGTCAAAAAAAGTCAGAGATATCCAGCAGTAGCCACCCAAAGATGGTCGATGGTCCTAAGAAGGGAACACAGGCCCTTCTATGATGACTCAAAAGGCAGTATCCCAACTCTGGTGAGTGACTGTGGGGAGTGCAAGGCTCAGGGAGGGTTATAAAGCAGTACACCATTCACCATTAACAACTTTCTAGGGCTTAGGTTGGAGATGGAGAACTGTTATTAGTTCAAGATAAGAAGAGAGTGATAAATTGAAATCCACCAATAATGTCCACACCTCATTTCATTATTTATTTTTTGAAAGGGAGTCTCGCTCTGTTGCCTAGGCTGGAGTGCGGTGGCATGATTTCGGCTCACTGCAACCTCTCCCTCCTGGGTTCAAGCCATTCTCCTGCATAAGCCTCCTGAGTAGCCGAGATTACAGGCGCCCGCCAACACATCCGGCTAATTTTTGCATTTTAGTAGAGACGAGGTTTCACCATCTTGGCCAGGCTAGTCTTGAACTCCTGACCTCCAGTGATCCACCTGCCTCGGCCTCCCAAAGTGTTGGGACTACAGGCGTGAGCCACAGTGCCTGGCCACACCTCATTTTATTCTACATTTCTTTTTACAAATTTTTTTTTGAGAAAAGTTCTCACTGTGTCACCTAGGCTGGAGTGCAGGGGCACGATCTCGGCTCACTGCAACCTCTGCATCCCAGGCTTAAGTGATCCTCCCACCTCAGTCTCCTGAGTATCTGGGGCCACAGGCGCATGCCACTGTGCTTGGCTAATTTTTGTATTTTTTGTAGACAAAGGGTCTCACCATGTTGCCCAGGCTGGTCTTGAACTCCTGGGCTCAAGTGATCCTCCCACCTTGGCCTCCCAAAGTACTGAGATTACAGGCATGAGCCACCATGCTCAGCCTTTAAAATATTTTTTAACCTTTAAATAATGCATCTAACTTATATTTTAACAGACAATGCATGCACATAGTACAAAATTTTAAAGTAAGCAGTAAAGGGTAAGTTTCCCTCCTATCTTTCACCCCTTTCTCGTCCCAAAAGGCAACCACGGTTATCAGTTTTTTGTGTATCGTTCGAGAGATATTCTATATTTAGTCAAGCAATATATGTATTTTTTTAATCAATGGTGATATAGTACGCATATTTTCGGCACCGTAACTATATGTGTGTGTGTGCTTATGCATACATATGTAAATGTATATTTGTATATGGATACACACAGAGATATATATACAGTCATGCACCACATAACAATGTTTTGGTCCATGACAGAAATGACAATGGTCCCTAAGATTATAATGAAGCTGAAAAATTCCTATCACTTAGTGATGTCATAGCACAACACGTTACTTGCGTGTTTGTAGTGATGCTGGTGTAAACAACTCTACCACTCTACCAGTAATATAAAAGTTCAGCACATACCATTATGCACGGTCCATAATACTTGATAATGATAATAATAGGCCATGTTACTGGCTTATGTATTTATTATATCATAATTTTTATTGTTATTTTAGAGTGTACTCCTTCTACTTATATGTTTTTTAAAAGCTAACTGTAAGGCAGCCTCAGGCAGGTCCTCCAGGAGATATCCAGAAGAAGACATTGTTATCATAGGAGATGACAGCTCCATGCATGTTATTGCCCCTGAAGATCTTCCAGTGGCACAAGCTGTGGAGGTGGAAGACAGTGATATTGATGGCTCTTGCCCTGTGTAGGCCTAGGCTAATGTGAGTGTTTGTGTCTTAGTTTTCAACAGAAAATTTTAAAGTAAAATTAAAAAGCCATAGAATGAGGAGAAAGTAAAGAAAGAAAATATTTTTGTACAGCTGTACAATGTGTTGGTGTTTTAAGCTAGGAATAATTACTAAAAAGTCAAAGTTAAAAAATTGAAAAGTTTATAAAGTAAAAATGTTACAGTAAGCTAAGGTTAATTTATTATTAAAGAAAGAAAAGTTTTAAAATAAATTTAATGTAGCCTAAGTGTACAGTGCTTATAAAGCCTGCAGTAGTACACAGTAATCTCCTAAACCTTCATATTTACTCACTGCTCACTCACTGCCTCACCTAAAGCAACTTCCAGTCCTGTAAACTCCATTTATGGTAAGTACCCCATACAGATTGATAAGGTTTGAATTTGTGTCCCGACCCAGATCTCATGTTGAACTGTAATCCCCACTGTTGGAGGAGGAGCCTGGTGGAAGGTGATTGGATCATGGGGGCGAATGGCCCCTTGCTGTTCTCGTGATAGTGGGTGAATGCTCATGAGACCTGGTTGCTTAAAAGTATGTGGCACCTTCCCCTTTGCTCTCTTCCTCCTTCTCCAGCCATGTAAGACGTGCCTGCTTCCCCTTGCTTTCTGCCATGATTGTTAAGTATCTTGAGACCTCTCCAGCCATGCTTCCTGTACAGCCTGTAGAACTGTGTCAATTAAACCTCTGTTCTTCATAAATTACCCAGTCTTGGGTAGTTCTTTATGGCAATGTGAGGATGGACTGATACAAAGGTGAACCATTTTCCATCTTTTATACTGTATTTTTACTGTACCTTTTCTATGTTTAGCTATGTTTAGATACATAAACAGTTACCATTGTATTACAACTGCCTACAGTATTCAGCATAGTAACATGCTGTACGGGTTTGTAGCCTAGAAGCAATAGGCTATATCATATAGTTTACATGTGTAGTAGGCTGTACCATCTAGGTTTGTGTAAGTCACTCTATGATGTTCACACAACAACAAAACTACCTAACACATTTCTCAGAATATATCCCTGTCCTTAAGTGAAATGTTACTGTGTGTGTGTGTATATTTATAATCTTGGAGCACCTCTGAAATCAGTACATGAAGATCTGTCTCTTTTCAATAGTTGCCTAGTATTCCATAGTAGGAATATGGAATAATTTTGTAAACTGTTCTTCTAGTGATGGACATTTAGATTGTTTCTATTCTGTTGCTATTATAAACAAAACCTCAATAAACAACACTATACACACATTTTTTTCCCATTATGTGCAAGTGTATCTATTTATCCAGATTGAGTTTAATTACTTTATATTTCCTCTTTCTTTCTGCAGTGTCAGTGCTAAGATCAGTGTAACTTTGGAAGCAAGGAAAAAAAAATAGAGCATCTGAACAAAATATGAAATATACAATTAATCTTGATAAATCAAGCTTCGAAGGAAAATAGGAGAATGATCACAAGTGGTAAGTAAAATATTAAGTCACCTGGTTTCTCAGGTCCCAGATTCTTCATCTAGAAACTGCTAGAAGGAGATAGGACCTCAGCTATTCTTCAGTGCATCCCCCCTCCACGTTTTTACATATGAGGACACTGAGATCCAGAGATACTTGTAAATAGAAATGCTCAGTTAGATTGAAATCTAAGTATTCGAAGTTCCAGTTCTGTGCTCTTTTCAATACACTATCACAATGTTCTTCTCAACCCTACTATTTTGAAACTAAGAAAAAATTGTTCTTTAAAGCCCAAACAGACTGCATCTACTTCTGCCTTCTAAAGTAGTAGCATAATTCAACAGTGAACTAATCTCTGCTCCCTTTTAATAACAGAAACTTGGGAATGAGAGAGAAAGCAAAGATGGATATTTCAAAACCTCTGCCAGTAAAGTATTTGGCCCATTATTTTATTTTATTTTATTTTATTTTATTTTATTTTATTTTATTTTATTTTATTTTATTTTATTTTATTATTATTATACTTTAAGTTTTAGGGTACATGTGCACAACGTGCAGGTTTGTTACATATGTATACATGTGCCATGTTGGTGTGCTGCACCCATTAACTCGTCATTTAGCATTAGGTATATCTCCTAATGCTATCCCTCCCCGCTCCCCCAACCCCACAACAGTGCCCAGTGTGTGATGTTCCCCTTCCTGTGTCCAAGTGTTCTCACTGTTCATTTCCCACCTATGAGTGAGAACATGCGGTGTTTGGTTTTTTGTCCTTGTAATAGTTTGCTGAGAATGATGGTTTCCAGTTTCATCCATGTCCCTACAAAGGACATGAACCCATCATTTTTTATGGCTGCATAGTATTCCATGGTGTGTATGTGCCACATTTTCTTAATCCAGTCTATCGTTGTTGGACATTTAGGTTCGTTCCAAGTCTTTGCTATTGTGAATAGTGCCGCAATAAACATACGTGTTCATGTGTCTTTATAGCAGCATGATTTATAATCCTTTGGGTGTATACCCAGTAATGGGATGGCTGGGTCAAATGGTATTTCTAGTTCTAGATCCCTGAGGAATCGCCACACTGACTCCCACAATGGTTGAACTAGTTTACAGTCCCACCAACAGTGTAAAAGTGTTCCTATTTCTCCACATCCTCTCCAGCACCTGTTGTTTCCTGACTTTTTAATGATCGCCATTCTAACTGGTGTGAGATGGTATCTCATTGTGGTTTTGATTTGCATTTCTCTGATGGCCAGTGATGATGAAAAATGTGTTTTTTGGCTGCATAAATGTCTTCTTTTGAGAAGTGTCTATTCATATCCTTTGCCCACTTTTTGATGGGGTTGTTTGTTTTTTTCTTGTAAATTTGTTTGAGTTCATTGTAGATTCTGGATATTAGCTCTTTGTCAGACGAGTAGGTTGCAAAAATTTTCTCCCATTCTGTAGGTTGCCTGTTCACTCTGATGGCAGTTTCTTTTGCTGTGCAGAAGCTCTTTAGTTTAATTAGATCCCATGTGTCAATTTTGACTTTTGTTGCCATTGCTTTTGGTGTTTTAGACATGAAGTCCTTGCCCATGCGTATGTCCTGAATGGTATTGAGTATTTGGCCCATTTTGTAACAAGATATAGAATAATGATATGTGGAGGTGGCTGCCCTTCTAGGCAGAGGAGTAGTGAGCTAAAAGACTTTGCATAATATTATGAGGGGAATGGGATTTTCCAGGGAACCCTGAGACAATGAACCCCAAAGGGGATAATCAAGAAGCTTTAGAAGATAAAGTGTGGCTCAATATCATGGAAGGGTAGCCTAAATATTTTATAGAGATAAAAATGTCTGATATTTAAGCTGTGTGGCCTTGTTGTGATACAAACTCAAACTTTAAAGGAAGCCAGTTTCATACACAAATATCTTCTGTGTGTGAACATTTTTGGTTTATGGAAATGAAAAAAAAGAGAGCTGAGTTCTACATACAACTTAGGCCAGATCAGAGATTCAAGAACAACAATGAGAAGAGAGATAATAAGGGAGAGACCACGACCTGTGGGAATGAGATTTTAAAGCCAGAGGGGATCAGGTTAAAAGGAAGCCTTCCAGCAGAACCTGAGAGCACTTAGACACTGAAAATCACCATACAAAGTGAAAGGTTACTATTATTTAATGCCTTTCCCCTTCTAATGATTAGGGGGTGTATAAGGAATCATTTTGGAATGTTTTGGTTGCACATAATAGAAAACATAACTAACATTGCTTTAAATAAAAACTTTATCTAACAAGAAGACTGAGGGCAGAAGTTCTAGGATTATTTCTTCAACTCTACCAAGTCAGGGCACTGAGTCGGCATTGTGTGATTCTCCTGCCACTTTCTCCCTCAAGTTCAGCAGCCACAACTCTGTGCAAACTAGTCTTTAAAATACCTTAAAACTCATGGTCAGAAGATGGGGAAGGGAGAAAAGTGTTTTCCTTGTATCAGAGGGAAGAAGCTTTCCTGGGAGTCCCCAGGAGGCTTTACCTCTCTTTGGCCAGATATGTCTCTCATTTCATCCCCAGCTGCAAGCTAGGGGGTGCTGAAAAGCAAGCATGCTCATCCCTCACTTAATTACTTTATTTTTTTCTTGAAAGCTTTGCCTCTAAGTGGTAAGCTGTTGATTTTTTTGAATTCTATTACTTTTAAGGGAAACATTACACTGTGTTCTGTCCCAATCCAAGATATCCAAGTAATTTTCACAGATAAGAAAATATATTCAGTGAACAATGAAAACAAGTTTATATAATAAATTAAGAACCATTTGAAAGTAAGCATATACAGTTTGTACACAAAATGAAATGTAATGAGGAAAAGCAGACTTGATAGGGATGGTGGAGGAGGGGGTGAGGGATTCATTTTTTTGGAAGGTGAATTCTTTTGTCTACACCATTTGCTTCACCAGCTTTCAACTTTGGGGAGGCAGTTCATAATTATTTTGTACCCTAAATTTACTTAAAAGCTATAGCCTAGAAATCACCTTTAGGGCAAAATAAAAGCTAAATGTGAGAGTGTGTTGAAACGTGAAATTGCACGTGCACAAAGACAAAGGAAATGTAGACAGCACATCTTTATCCCTCTCAATTGGCATCTGTATGCAAAGCAGAACATTGTAGGCTCATTCAAACATGATGCTCAATTCAAATTTGTTCCATATGATATGCTCTGACAAGTAAATATATGTCAAGTAAAATTTGTGAGCATGATTTAGCCTGCAACTGAAATGATGCAATATCACGTCTTATAGCATATTTGTTTGGTATGTTTGGGGAACAAAAAAAGTCAATATATTGAAAAAAAAGGAGTCATTGTTCAAAAAGTGTCACAAACTTTTAAGAGCCATTATGACAAAAAGTCATTAACTAACAGTTGTTATGTACATTTAAATCTGTACCTGGAAGGGGGGAACAGAATCATCTCGACTGGTTTCTCATTAATCATAGCCACCCTTTAAGCCTGGGAATATTGCCAACCCTAACCAAATTAGAGTCTCTTCTCACAGAGAGGGAAGGTGGCTGTTGGTTAGGTCACTAAGTGTGTCTGCCACAAGATATCTGTTCCCTTCCAGATTGCTTGGAAAATGTGCATTATGCAAGAAGTTAACTGAGGCTTGGTAATAAGACTTATATATAATTTTAATCACAGAATAGAATTAACTTCTTATAAATACTATACTGGCAAGTAATTGATGGCCAGTTGCTGGTACAGAGTCCTCAGTATCCCACAGACGGGCAATAGCCGCCCTCCACACCACAGAGAATGGAACTTTTGGCACTTGCATTGAAATGTGAAGATCTATTTGCATCATTGTCCCTTTAGCTATCCAACTTGGCATACCCCATTCTGCTTGCCAGACTTGGTGAAGACTCCTGTGACAATTTCTCGGTGCCATTCTTCATGGCTATGAAGCATACCTCAAATCACTTTTCAGATGATCAAACTTGAAACTTTCCATTTTTTGGACTTGCTGGCTTTGAAATTGAGTTATTGATTCAATGACCCTTTACTGAGCATCTATTATAGGTTAGGCACTTTGCTCAGTCCTGAAGAAAATTTGAGACAAATCAGACACGACCCTTCCCTCAAAGAGCTTACAGTCTAACAGAGGTGATAAAATATGAATAACAATTCTAAAATGTAGAAAGTAGTATCTGTACCATAAAAGTGGGACAGATAAATGTTTCTGAAAAAAAATTAGGAATATTTATTTTTTAAAAAAGGAATATTTATTAACATCCTTAAAATTTTCATGCCCCTTGATCTAGTAATTCAAATATATCTGACCTAGAAATTCTTGGACCCCTAAAAATTCCACACATAAATTTCGGCAAATTCCGTTAAAGAATATGCAAAAGTGTGGTTATATGTTTTACTGCATTATTCTTGGGAGAATATCCCTAATTTTGTCTAATTCTTAAATAAAAACATTAATTCACTAAAATACTCCAACTTCTAGAAACCCATCTTAAATAAGTGATTAGACACGTAGACAAAGCTTTATTATTAAGGATGTTTATCACAGCATTATGTATAATAGTATAAAACTGGAAACAACCCAAATATCAAACAACTGAAAATGAGTTAATTATAGTACATCTGCACAATGGAATTTATATTCCTGTTGAAACAAGACTTCAGAAAATTAACGACATGAAAATGTGCTCATGATAAAATGTTAAGTATAAAAAAACTGTATCCATTGTATGCTCTCAATTATGTTAAAAATTATCTGAAAGGCTAAAGGGATAACACAAGAAAATGTTAACAATGATTATCTCTGTGTATTGTGGGATTAAGAGTGATTTTTTTCTTTAATTTTTTCCATATTTCTCAACTTTTCTACAATGAGCATGGATCACTTCACAAATGAGAAAAAAATTAAAATTATGTGAAAACTAGGCTAAAGTGTCATGGCAGTTCTGCAGTGAGATCCCTTTTATTTGGGAAATCAGAGAGGTCTCTTAGAGGAGGTGGCTTTTGAGCATATCTTCAAACCATGGCCACAGTCGACCTTCTGAGGGTCTAAGAGAGGGCAATCAAGGAGAGTGGTTGAAGATGTCAAGAGTTGTAGGACAGTGCTCCATGTAGAAGCTGGGATGTGGTGATGGCCTAATCACTTTTCCCAGAAGTCCTGGTACAGGGAGGGCCAGCCTACTTTCGGGCAAACAGCAGTTGTGGAGTGTAGGCTGACTCCTAGGGCTTCTTAAGACTCCTGAGATGTAGCCTCTGCTGTCCAGAGACCCTTTGCATTCTGTAATAGAGAGTTCAACATGGGGTTACACTGGATAAATTATGAAGGGTAGGAGTAATCAAAAGTTTGGCAGGTGGACTTTTTTGGAGGTATTAGCCAAAAATTCTGAGATTTAGGAAAGAATGGTTAGAAAGCAAAAATTTATATATCTCTTTGTGACTTGAATTGTTTTGAGGCCAGCTGTCGTAGTGTGAAACTGCACTTTTCAGTCCTTTACATATCTAGAGGAAAACGAAAGCTGGTAACAGACTGATTAATGCCATAAGATGTATGATTACACTGCATAATGTTTATTTGTGCAACTTACTATTCTACGTTAGCTTTAACAAGACAATAACTTTTAAGGAACTGATTATGCATTTTGACCCATTCATTCATTTGGGGAATGGCACTTAAGAAATTAACTCAAAAAGGGAAAAAGTAGCAATTTGTATAAAGTAACTGTTTTTGTAACAGAGGAAAAAATATTAGAAGTCTACTCGCACAAGAACTCAAGGGTACTGAAATATATTAAATAAAAGGAATATAGTATTATGAAAATTATTAACTAATAGGTTTAAGAGTTATATGGACACAACCATAAATTCATGTTAGGAAAAAAAGCACAAAACTAGTATGTATAGATTAATTCCACTTTGTTAAAAGCATATCTGTACAATATTAGGTCACAGTCTTAAGAATAGTGGATGATATAAGGTTAAGAGGAGTTGGGAGGTCTGCACTGCTATGCTGGATGGTTTTATTTTGGCAACCAGTATTCATTCCCATTTCTTTATATGATCTCCTAACTACTGAGGGGCTAGAAGCCTAGAAGCTACATTTCCTAGAAGACCTTGCCATCAGGCTGCCAGGAAAGAGTCCACCAATGAGAAGCCCCCTTGCAAGATTTGGAAGACAGAAGAGAGGCAGAATCCATTGTAATAGCAACAGGAAGGTATGTGGGCTTTGCCAGACAGGTTTTTCAGCAGCTTCAAGGCATTCTCTTGTAAATCACTTATTTCAGTCCTGCAGGCAGCTGTGACCATTGATGGCAGCTTCCTATAATTCTTACAACTTTCTGATTTCTTAAAAGCTAGAGGAAGCTTTTTCTGACCTTAATTTCCCAAGCCCTTCCAAGGGCTTTGTAGGCATTTAATTTTCTGAATTAAAACCTTTTCTTCTTAAAATATTTAGATCGGTTTCTGGCTTCCTGACCAAACCCTGATTGTTATAAGGTCTTTGTAATCCCTTTGTTTGTTTATTTTCCATTATAAAATTGACTAAACAGATGAAATATATTTTCAACCACTATCTTATTATGTCTCTCTAGGTTAAAAATATTTCAAAAACATATATTATGTATTCCTATCTGGGTAAATTACACAATGCCTCTCTCACCCACATCACCATTGTTTTTGTAATCTCCGTATATAAGCTCCTTTTACCAAATCATCTACAGGAGTATATCAACAGATACTGTAAAAGTAAGAAAGCAAAAAGAAAATATTATCACTTCTAAGTATTTGTGTAGCTTGAAAATATTCATATAATGAGTGTGTGCATGCGTGTGTGTGTGTTAAAGGGAATTACATGGATCAGTTTACAAATTGATGTGAAAATTTTCTAATAAATGAATAAGTCAAGATTGGGACTATTCATTTATTTGACTAGACATAATCAACATTGCTTTGACAAAAAAGGTGCCCAGACTCTGCACTAGCATGCATAGTTACCAAACAAACATAATATGTATATACATAATTTGTGTGTATATACATATATATCAAATATACATGTGTGTGTGATTTTGTTCCTGTATAGATATGGAAATGTAATTGAAACAATACCCTCTGGCAATTTTAAACACTTCACATGTTCTCATTTGTTTCCTCCAAACCATTTCATTTTACCACAGGAAAAACATGAAACATGGAGTACAACCAAGCCTATAACACTGCCAGGGAGATGCAAGAGAGAGTCCTTGCATGGACTGCTATCTCAAATGGCAACAAGGGTGTGGTAGATTGTTTACAAAAATGGCCACAATAACTCCTGCCCTTCCTGCATGCATACACCTTTGTAATGTGACTTGGTAGCAACTCCCATAAAGATGTAGAATCGATTTCTCCACCTACTTGAAGCCACGCTAGACCATATGACTTGCTTTAACCAGTGAGGAATTAAAATACATGATGGAAGCAGAGGCTTGAGAAGTACCTCTGCCCTGGGTTTGTCCTCTTTGATGTTCCTAGGAACCTTAAGAATACTATTGTGTGAATAAACTTGGGCCAACTACTAGTCAGCTCTGACAGCCAGCACCAACTACCACACATGTGAGTGAGGCCATCTTAGTGAGATCAGACTCTAGCCAATCTTTCTACCTGAGTCATAGGTGTAAGTCCAGGTGAGACCACCAGAAGAATCATCCAGCTGATCCCAGACCAAATTTCTGACCCGCAGAATCATAAGCTAATTAAGTGATTGTTGTTTTAACCTACCAAGCTTTGGAGTGTTAAAAATTAGGCCAGGTCGGGTGACTATAGTCAATAATTACTTAATTGTACATTTTAAAATAACTTAAAGAGGCTGGGCACTGTGGCTCATGCCTGTAATCCCAGCACTTTGGGAGGCCGAGGCAGGTGGATCACGAGGTCAGGAGATCAAGACCATCCTGGCTAACACGTTGAAACCCCATCTCTACTAAAAATAAAAAAAAATTGGCGCATGATGGCGGGCACCTGTAGTCCCAGCTGCTCAGGAGGCTGAGGCAGGAGAATCACTTGAATCTGGGAGGCGGAGGTTGCAGTGAGCCGAGACCACGCCATTGCACTCCAGCCTGGGTGACAGAGCGAGACTCCATCTCAAAAAACAAAAAACAAACAAAACAAAACAAACAAAAAAAACAACAAAAAATCTTAGAGTATAATTGGATTGTTGGTAACTCAAAGCATAAATGTTTGAGGGGATGGATACCCCATTCCCCATAATGTGCTTATTTTACATTGCATGCCTGTATCAAAACATCTCATGTACCCCATAAATATTTATACCTACTATGTATCCACAAAAATTAAGACTTAAAAAGAAACATTAAAAAAATAAAAATCCGGCCATGTATGAAGTTGTGAGCCTGGGCCAAAACTGAAGACCCCATTTCATGCCTTTTCCATAACAACTAAAATTAAAAAGACAAAAACAAAAAATTATGGTGAAGGTCGTCAATTGCCCTTCATGACCTCTCCCCTAAAGGAAGATAAACAAGAAAAGCAATGTTAAAGACTCCTTTTCTTTCCATGTTAATTAGAAAATTCTGACAAACGAGTAGCTCATCACCCAATTACCATCAAAACTCGGGGAAGTGAAAATGATTTTGATTCACTGAGAAATTTAAGGAAATCAAAATGAACCAAAGTCTGCATTCTCTCTTCATCAAGACCATCATAGGCCTTGCCATAAATTCTTGAGGCTTGTCCCCACCCCCTATTTCTTCAAGTTCAGCTACCCTTAGGTCCATGATAGCCCATGATCATGTAATAATTTTGTTTTGTTCACTACGCTCTGTTTCTCTGCCAGTGATAAGAAAATGAGAGACAAAATAGAAAGGAAATGTAGCCCATGAAAATATTCTCTCCCCAAATAATAATCCTTCCCTCACCTATCACACAGCTTTCCTAATAGCTCATCTTGAGAATTACATAGCCAAATATTCAAAACAATGTCACTTCTACAACCCAGTGGTCACTGTCTTGGAGGAAGCACAGAAGTCTTCCCATGTGATGAATTAGGCATCTTATGTCATTCAAAAAGGAAAGAAGGCCATATCAAGTGCTAGGTGAGACGAAGGAGGCATGGCTAACTTCAACCTGGGCCTGACTCTGCACCATTTCCACATGGTTATCAGTGCCAGATCCATAGTCAGGTTTGATGCTTACATTCCATTTTTTTTTCCTTTTCATACTATGCTCACCTTTCCCTGGTCTTCTAAAAGGCAAGAACCTAACATTTTATTTTGAATTCTTTTTTTTTAAATTTTATTATTATTATACTTTAAGTTTTAGGGTACATGTGCACAACGTGCAGGTTTGTTACATATGTATACATGTGCCATGTTGGTGTGCTGCAACCATTAACTCGTCATTTAGCATTAGGTATATCTCCTAATGCTATCCCTCCCCCCTCCCCCAACCCCACAACAGTCCCTGGTGTGTGATGTTCCCCTTCCTGTGTCCACGTGTTCTCATTGTTCAATTCCCACCTATGAGTGAGAACATGCGGTGTTTGGTTTTTTGTCCTTGTGATAGTTTGCTGAGAATGATGGTTTCCAGTTTCATCCATGTCCCTACAAAGGACATGAACTCATCATTTTTTACGGCTACATAGTATTCCATGGTGTATATGTGCCACATTTTCTTAATCCAGACTATCGTTGTTGGACATTTAGGTTCGTTCCAAGTCTTTGCTATTGTGAATAGTGCCGCAATAAACATACGTGTGCATGTGTCTTTATAGCAGCATGATTTATAATCCTTTGGGTGTATACCCAGTAATGGGATGGCTGGGTCAAATGGTATTTCTAGTTCTAGATCCCTGAGGAATCACCACACTGACTCCCACAATGGTTGAACTAGTTTACAGTCCCACCAACAGTGTAAAAGTGTTCCTATTTCTCCACATCCTCTCCAGCACCTGTTGTTTCCTGACTTTTTAATGATTGCCATTCTAACTGGTGTGAGATGGTATCTCATTGTGGTTTTGATTTGCATTTCTCTGATGGCCAGTGATGATGAGCATTTTTTCATGTGTTTTTTGGCTGCATAAATGTCTTCTTTTGAGAAGTGTCTATTCATATCCTTTGCCCACTTTTTGATGGGGTTGTTTTTTTTCTTGTAAATTTGTTTGAGTTCATTGTAGATTCTGGATATTAGCCCTTTGTTGGATGAGTAGGTTGCAAAAATTTTCTCCCATTCTGTAGGTTGCCTGTTCACTCTGATGGTAGTTTCTTTTGCTGTGCAGAAGCTCTTTAGTTTAATTAGATCCCATGTGTCAATTTTGGCTTTTGTTGCCATTGCTTTTGGTGTTTTAGACATGAAGTCCTTGCCCATGCCTATGTTCTGAATGGTATTGCCTAGGTTTTCTTCTAGGGTTTTTATGGTTTTAGGTCTAACATTTAAGTCTTTAATCCATCTTGAATTAATTTTTGTATAAGGTGTAAGGAAGGGATCCAGTTTCAGCTTTCTACATATGGCTAGCCAGTTTTCCCAGCACCATTTATTAAATAGGGAATCCTTTTCCCATTGCTTGTTTTTCTCAGGTTTGTCAAAGATCAGATAGTTGTAGATATGTGGCATTATTTCTGAGGGCTCTGTTCTGTTCCATTGGTCTATATCTCTGTTTTGGTACCAGTACCATGCTGTTTTGGTTACTGTAGCCTTGTAGTATAGTTTGAAGTCAGGTAGCATGATGCCTCCAGCTTTGTTCTTTTGGCTTAGGATTGACTTGGCCATGCAGGCTCTTTTTTGGTTCCATATGAACTTTAAAGTAGTTTTTTCCAATTCTGTGAAGAAAGTCATTGGTAGCTTGATGGGGATGGCATTGAATCTATAAATTACCTTGGGCAGTATGGCCATTTTCACGATATTGATTCTTCCTACCCATGAGCATGGAATGTTCTTCCATTTGTTTGTATCCTCTTTTATTTCCTTGAGCAGTGGTTTGTAGTTCTCCTTGAAGAGGTCCTTCACATCCCTTGTAAGGTGGATTCCTAGGTATTTTATTCTCTTTGAAGCAATTGTGAATGGGAGTTCACTCATGATTTGGCTCTCTGTTTGTCTGTTGTTGGTGTATAAGAATGCTTGTGATTTTTGTACATTGATTTTGTATCCTGAGACTTTGCTGAAGTTGCTTATCAGCTTGAGGAGATTTTGGGCTGAGATGATGGGGTTTTCTAGATATACAATCATGTCATCTGCAAACAGGGACAATTTGACTTCCTCTTTTCCTAATTGAATACCCTTTATTTCCTTCTCCTGCCTGATTGCCCTGGCCAGAACTTCCAACACTATGTTGAATAAGAGTGGTGAGAGAGGGCATCCCTGTCTTGTGCCCGTTTTCAAAGGGAATGCTTCCAGTTTTTGCCCATTCAGTATGATATTGGCTGTGGGTTTGTCATAGATAGCTCTTATTATTTTGAGGTATGTCCCATCAATACTGAATTTATTGAGAGTTTTTAGCATGAAGGTTGTTGAATTTTGTCAAAGGCCTTTTCTGCATCTATTGAGATAATCATGTGGTTTTTGTCTTTGGTTCTGTTTATATGCTGGATTACATTTATTGATTTGCGTATGTTGAACCAGCCTTGCATCCCAGGGATGAAGCCCACTTGATCATGGTGGATAAGCTTTTTGATGTGCTGCTGGATTCGGTTTGCCAGTATTTTATTGAGGATTTTTGCATTGATGTTCATCAAGGATATTGGTCTAAAATTCTCTTTTTTGGTTGTGTCTCTGCCAGGCTTTGGTATCAGGATGATGTTGGCCTCATAAAATGAGTTAGGGAGGATTCCCTCTTTTTCTTTTGAGTGGAATAGTTTCAGAAGGAATGGTACCAGCTCCTCTTTGTACCTCTGGTAGAATTCGGCTGTGAATCCATCTGGTCCTGGACTTTTTGTTGGTTGGTAACCTATTGATTATTGCCACAATTTCGGATCCTGTTATTGGTCTATTCAGAGATTCAACTTCTTCCTGGTTTAGTCTTGAGAGGATGTATGTGTCGAGGAATTTATCCATTTCTTCTAGATTTTCTAGTTTATTTGCATAGAGATGTTTATAGTATTCTCTGATGGTAGTTTGTATTTCTGTGGGATTGGTGGTGATATCCCCTTTATCATTTTTTATTGCGTCTATTTGATTCTTCTCTCTTTTCTTCTTTATTAGTCTTGCTAGTGGTCTATCAATTTTGTTGATCTTTTCAAAAAACCAGCTCCTGGATTCATTAATTTTTTGAAGGGTTTTTTGTGTCTCTATTTCCTTCAGTTCTGCTCTGATCTTAGTTATTTCTTGCCTTCTGCTAGCTTTTGAATGTGTTTGCTCTTGCTTTTCTAGTTCTTTTAATTGTGATGTTAGGGTGTCAATTTTGGATCTTTCCTGCTTTCTCTTGTGGGCATTTAGTGCTATAAATTTCCCTCTACACACTGCTTTAAATGTGTCCCAGAGATTCTGGTATGTTGTGTCTTTGTTCTCATTGGTTTCAAAGAACATCTTTATTTCTGCCTTCATTTCATTATTTATCCAGTAGTCATTCAGGAGCAGGTTGTTCAGTTTCCATGTAGTTGAGCGGTTTTGAATGAGTTTCTTAATCCTGAGTTCTAGTTTGATTGCACTGTGGTCTGAGAGACAGTTTGTTATAATTTCTGTTCTTTTACATTTGCTGAGGAGAGCTTTACTTCCAACTATGTGGTCAATTCTGGAGTAGGTGTGGTGTGGTGCTGAAAAGAATGTATATTCTGTTGATTTGGGGTGGAGAGTTCTGTAGATGTCTATTAGGTCCGCTTGGTGCAGAGCTGAGTTCAATTCCTGGGTATCCTTGTGAACTTTCTGTCTCGTTGATCTGTCTAATGTTGACAGTGGGGTGTTAAAGTCTCCCATTATTATTGTGTGGGAGTTTAAGTCTCTTTGTAGGTCACTAAAGACTTGCTTTATGAACCTGGGTGCTCCTGTATTGGGTGCATATATATTTAGGAGAGTTAGCTCTTCTTGTTGAATTGATCCCTTTACCATTATGTAATGGCCTTCTTTGTCTCTTTTGATCTTTGTTGGTTTAAAGTCTGTTTTATCAGAGACTAGGATTGCAACCCCTGCCTTTTTTTGTTTTCCATTTGCTTGGTAGATCTTCCTCCATCCTTTTATTTTGAGCCTATGTGTGTCTCTGCACGTGAGATGGGTTTCCTGAATACAGCACACTGATGGGTCTTGACTCTTTATCCAATTTGCCAGTCTGTGTCTTTTAATTGGAGCATTTAGCCCATTTACATTTAAAGTTAAAATTGTTATGTGTGAATTTGATCTTGTCATTATGATGTTAGCTGGTTATTTTGCTCGTTAGTTGATGCAGTTTCTTCCTAGCCTTGATGGTCTTTACAATTTGGCATGTTTTTGCAGTGGCTGGTACCGGTTGTTCCTTTCCATGTTTAGTGCTTCCTTCAGGAGCTCTTTTAGGGCAGGCCTGGTGGTGGCAAAATCTCTCAGCATTTGCTTCTCTGTAAAGTATTTTATTTCTCCTTTACTTATGAAGCTTAGTTTGGCTGGATATGAGATTCTGGGTTGAAAATTCTTTTCTTTAAGAATGTTGAATATTGGTCCCCACTTTCTTCTGGCTTGTAGAGTTTCTGCTGAGAGATCAGCTGTTAGTCTGATGGTCTTCCCTTTGTGGGTAACCCGACCTTTCTCTCTGGCTGCCCTTAACATTTTTTCCTTCATTTCCACTTTGGTGAATCTGACAATTATGTGTCTTGGGGTTGCTCTTCTCAAGGAGTATCTTTGTGGCGTTCTCTGTATTTCCTGAATGTGAATGTTGGCCTGCCTTGCTAGATTGGGGAAGTTCTCCTGGATAATATCCTGCAGAGTGTTTTCCAACTTGGTTCCATTCTCCCTGTCACTTTAATTCTGCAGAGTTGTTCAGTACTGGCCCAACTCCAAAGGTGAGAGCAAAGATTCCTAGAGGCTGAGAACTGGATCAGAGACATGTTTCAAAGTGGGCCAGTCATACATGCCCTCAAAGTAACTAGACTCACAATATATTTCTTCTCACCCCACCATGCCATCAAGTGGATTTTGAAATTCACCTAAACCCATATTTGTACTTGGAGATATAGGCTAAGGAATGAATGAAATGTAGGCAGGCATTGAGTGAATTTATTTTAAGACACTCACCTCATTAAGGATTCCCCTCACAAAAGAACTTTGCAATGTGTTCAATAGCCAGAAACAAGGTTGGTAATGAGCTTGGACAGTGATAGAATGGGAACATGGAAATATATTACCTTGTGACATTGCTTATATTCTTGCCTGGAATTTTGACATAGTTCTTGTAGGCGTATTTAGTTCTTGGGATGCCTGTACTTTATCCTCCTAAGGAAAACGTGAATTCCTTGAGGTTGGGGAACTCAGTTTTTTGCTTCTCTGAATCCTCCATATTTCTGAGCACAGTATAAGTTAGATGGCAAGCTCTGTAAAGTCAACTAATATTGCTGTCTGATTCACTGCAATATCTCTAGTACCTAGTAGAGTATCTGGCACATAGTAGGGACTAAATAAATATTGAATGAATGAATAAATGTGTCTTCAGATACTTCATAACAGCTGTTGAATGAAAGAGTGAACTGATGCATACATGTATAAGAATGAATCAGTTCTTGAAATCTGGTGCTGGCATCCTCAAAGAGCCTAGGGTTATGGATGTGATTACAATAGTTTACAGGAAGAAGGGCTGCTAAAAGCATACTTACGTTTGCATCTTTCATTTATAGAAGGAGATGGTTTTTGCTGCCTTGATTTTTGCCACTTGCTGAGTCTTAGTCACCTGGTTATTAAAAATTGCTTCATATATTTTCCATTCATTTCTGTTTTGCTCAGCTTCTGTGCTTTAGAGGTTTGTTTCCCACTAATGGGACTTGTTGTCTCTTAGCTCAATGTGACACTACTCTGAAGACCTTGGATCAGTTTCCATGGTTACTTCTTCTGGGATTCTCCCTTTGGAAACCTTGTGTTCTTTCCTTACCTTTAACTTCCATCTGAGAAACTTAAATACACACTTCAGGGTCCTCCAGAGTGTTAACATTCTTCCTAGAAATGCTTCAAACCACAGAGGAGAGAAATCAAGGACTTCACATTCCTTTTCTTCTGTTATAGATGGAATGGGGTACATGATTTGATCCTGAAACCCCTTGAAGGACAAAGAAATCTAGATATTTCTTGCAAAAAATGAATAAATAAAAAGACTTCCCCATATTGCCAAAGCCACAGTCTCCTTATTCCAAGTGATTTATATCACAAACATGGGCATTGCCATCAACATCAAAGACTTTTCTTTCTTCTTTCCTTTTTTATTTCTTTCTTCTCCTCCTCCTTTCTTCTTTTTCTTCTTAATGAATCCTCATGCTAAACTATTAACTGATGTGTCTTGCCTTGAAGTGCCTTAAATGTGTTAGTGACTGAGAAGAAAATCAGAAAAGAGTAAGGCTGGTAGAAACTGGGAGACAAAGGCAATTTTCTTTTGAGAAATTTCAAAAACTGAACAGATTTATGAATTAAATTTGACTTTCTAGTCTTCTACTCCTTCTCCTCCTGGGATTATTATTGAAGGTCTAAACAATGAGAAACTTCCAGGGAATCAAGTTCCGGACTCACGTTGGGTACACCCAGGATACACTTGTGGACCCCAGTGGACTTCAAATAAATGTCTAAGCTATGCAGTCAGTAGTAAAAAACACCCTGGGGGGACACCTCCCCTTTTTGGCTCCCTTCCACCTGTCTATCCAGTCTCATCTCTATGCCCTCATTTCCCCCATACAATCTCTTATTCTTTCTTCAAACAGCTCCTAGCGAATTCTCTTCCCAGCTTCCAATGGCCCAGCTAGTAAAATTAGAAGAAACCATGTCTAGTTCTTTCCAATGGGGCTCCATGTATTCAGCTGTTCTTCAGACCCCATGCTCCATGCATCTATTCTCCAGAGGTATGCTTGGCTCTGGAAAGAGCATAAGGCAACCAGGCCTTTTCAATGGGCTTACTGCTTCTGCCTAAATGCAGGAAGTTTAACTGGATTCCCTTGTGGATATTCCTATCTTTACAGGTCTTTACACTGTGGTCAGGCCTGTCCTGGTAGCATGGGCCCATCCCTATGCCATTTGGGAGCTGATATGGTTTGGCTCTGTGTTCCCACCCCAATCTCGTGTCCATTGTAATTACCAGTGTTGGGGGAGGGACCTGGTAGGAGATGACTGGATCATGGGAGTGGATTTCCCCCTTGCTGTTCTCATGATAGTGAGTGAGTTCTCACCAGGCCTGATTGTTTAAAAGTGTGTAGCACTTCCTCCTTCTCTTTCTCTCCTGCTCTGCCGTGGTAAAACATGCTTGCTTTCCCTTCACTTTCTGCCATGATTATAAGTTTTCTGAAGCTTCCCAGCTATGCTTCCTGTACAGCCTGAGGAACTGTGAGTCAATTAAACCTCTTTCCTTCATAAATTACCCAGTCTCAGGTAGTTCTTTATAGCCGCGTGGGAACGGACTAATATAGGAGCCCTCAGGGAGGAAGCAGCAGTAATGGGGTTGGAATCTGGAAGCATTTTGGTAGGCATTATGGGGTAGTTGCTAAAAGTGCAGGCTCTGAAGCCAGGCCACCTGCATTCACATTCTTGCTTCCCTGCTTACTAGCTGAGTAATCTTGGGCAAGTTGCTTAGCCTGTCTGTATCTTTGTCTTCTTATCTGTAAGGTGGAGACGATAATTATCGTACCTGGCTGTTCTGAGTATCAAATGAGTTAATCACATAAAGCACTTAGAATAGTGTATTGCACATGGTAAGAACCCAAAAAGTGTTGTCTACTATTATTATCCACATCAAGGCTTCTTTCTTTTCTTAGTGAAGCAAGTACTGGTCAAAGTCCTGCTTCTGCCACTTTGGGGCTATGTACTCTTAGAGCAACCCATATATTATAGATTCCCTGCCATTCCCATCATGAACAGCCACAACTAAAGCTGGGCCTCAGTTTCCCCAAGATAGTTAGGAAGGTTAAATGGGTTAATGGGCATGTAAGTACCTGAAAATGAATAATAGTATGTTTTCCTTCTTGTTCTTTATGATCAAGAACAGATCTCTGGGTGATATTTGACATCTCTTTTCTCTCATATCTTTTTCTTTCCTTCACTCTTTGACTCCCTTTCTTCTTCTCTGACTTTCAACTCTTGTTCTTTTCCTACTTAATCTCTTATAACTATTTTGCCAAATTATGTCAAGCATGAGAAAAAACAAGGGCCCAAATAACCCTTTAAAAACATTGTTGAGTTTCCATCTCTCAGGTCCTCCTTTGGTGAGTGTAGAGTGGCTGAAAGGAGGAGCCCAGTAGGCCTTCTCTTTCTGGGCCCAGGTAGCCTAGGCCAGGGGCAGTGAGGACCCAGTGTAGGGATCCTATTTCCCCTCTGTTCATTAGCCACTCATTCTGCTCAGCCTGGCTTGCTAACTACTACCTCAGGGGCTTCCATGAGCCTCCTTATGGTCTGGAGCTATTACATCTATCATATTACAGCTTTCCTCCATCCTCGCCATGCATGGCTGCAACTGACATCAGCGTTTGAAAAGAATAGCCATTCTCTTCCCTCCTGTATCAGTTAGCTTATGGTGCATAACAAGTCACCCTAAAACTTAGTGGCTTGAAACAACAAGCTATTACTTAGCTTACAGAGTTGGCAATTTGGGGTAGGCTCAGCTGGGTGGGTCTACTGTTGCCTCAGTTGGAATTACTCATGTACCTACAGTCAGCTGCCACCCAGAAACATGGTTCTGCTTCTGAGATTGACTGGCTATAAGCTAGGATAATGGGGGAAACTGCATCATATGTTTCTCATCATCTATCAGGCTAGCCCAGGCTTCTGCATATGGAGTTGGTGGCAGGGGCTTTAGAAGTAATTGAAGGAAATCTCTAATATACATTTTTCAAGTCTCTGCTTCTGTCACAACTACTATTGTTCCTTTGGCCAGAGCAAATCACATGACCAAGCTCAGGGTCAGTATGAGAGGGGACTATCCAAAGGCTGGATACAGAGAGGTATGAAAAAATTGAGGGCTACTACTCTAACAATCTACCACACCTCCTGAGAATGCAGGACGTGACAACTAATTTCAAAGTCCCTGTCACATATTTTTTTCCCCCATACAGCCTAAGGCCCTCATGAAAATAGAGACATCTGGTGAAATATCTCAGAATTCACAAATTGGATATGAACACTGGTTCTTCAAAATACGTTAGCCCTCTGTCAGATTGCTTCTTTAAGAAAATCCAGGCTCTGAAAACAACTACATTAGCAGTGGCTCTTAACTCATTTTTTTTTTTTCTGGAGATGGGAAGGTAGTCACAAACTCCTTTCAGGATCCGATGAAAGCTTAGTACCTGCTTCTCAGAGAAATTCACATTTATGCATAGACACAGAATATTGCTTATAATTTCATAGGATTCACAGACTCCCTGAAGCCAAACTCCAATTTAAGGAACTTTTCATCAGAGGGGGAATATATACTTTTATAAAAGAATTCCTCTGAATCCAAAAGGATTTGCCATAGTCTTGCTTATTGAAAGGAAATTGATTCATAAACTACATTGCCTCAGGTTTATCTAGAACACTTCCAAAAACATTAGTTTGGTTAGCTTGCTCTTCAATTAGGAAAAATTTAGTTTCCACTTGACTTTTCAGGAATTGCATTGATTAAAGTCCAGATGGGCTCCTTTAGATCTATTTCTGTGCCTGTTCAGGCTGATTCTTACAGACATTACATACATCATGTACCAATGCCAGAGAATGTGGCCAAGGCAAGTGAAAATATATAAGCCATTAAGAACATTTGTGGGTAGATTGGCTATTGGTTTAAGCCATTCTTTCATAAGCATTTTTTTAAAAAAACTAAGTTCCAAAGTCTAAGGGCTTTATTATATCATTTAAGGATGCTTTTGGTTGCAAGTAACAGGTGACCCAACTAAAATGGGCTTAAACAATTAGATAAGCAGGCTCTAGGGCAGAGTTAGTGGCTCAATGACATAGTGGCTCTAATTCCACTTCTCAGATCTTCTCTTTGATTTCCCTCTTGGTTCCAAGAGGACTGTGGCAATTCTGGGTGTTACACACAGGTGACAATTTCCAGAGGCAGAAGAAAAAAAGAAACCTTTTTCATGAGCAAGGGAAACCTTCCCAGAGACCTCCATTGGCATTCTCTAGGTCTCAGAATTGTCTAACATAACAATATCTAAACTAGTCATTTGTCTGGCCAGACGCGGTGGCTCACGCCTGTAATCCCAGCACTTTGGGAGGCTGAGGCAGGTGGATCACCTGAGGTCAGGAGGTCGAGACCAGCCTGGCCAGCATGGTGAAACCCCGTCTCTACTAAAAAATACAAAAAATTAGTTGGGCGTGGTGGCACATGCCTGTAATCTCAGCTACTTGGGAGGCTGAGGCAGAAGAATTGCTTGAACCTGGGAGGCGGGAGGTTGCAGTGAGCCACGATCGTGCCATTGCACTCCAGCGTGGGTGACAAGCATGAAACTCCGTCTCAAAAAAAATAAATAAATAAAAGTGAAAATAAAAACAAACAAAAAAAAGAAACTAGTCATTTGCAAGGGAAAGGCTAACACCCTGATTGGCTTTGACCAAAAAGTATTTCCTCCCTGGTTCTGGGGAGAGGTGTGGCCTCCCCTGAAGGACATGGCTTCTACTTGAAGGGTAAACAAAAATCAGTGTGTTCTTGGCAAAAAGAAGAGGATAGAATGGTCATTGGCTGGACAATCCACAGTGTCTGTCACAGTGCTGTTTAACTTAGTGCTCATTTTGAATGGGCAACCTGATCTTTTATGGAACAAGAGAGAAGGAAAAGCTTTTGCTAACATAAGTCATGGGGAGAAGTGACTTCTGAAATATCACAAAGGCTGATTCCCGAACAGTTGGGAAAGAAGCCAATGGTCAACATAAAGGGGAAAATAAAGAATAACAGCTCAAGGATGAGGGAGTTGAGCAAAACACAGTGTGCCGAAGAGGGCACTAATATAAGTTGGTGGCAGGAGGTGAATGTAGTGCAGAAAATAGAGTAAGAATGAGGCATAAGGATTAAATAGGAGCATGATTACAGAGGAGGAGAATGGCAAGTGCATCACACATACTCAGCAAGATGGCAAAAGAAAGACTTTGAAGGGGAGTGGGATGCAGGGAGGGGCAATAAGATGAGGCCAAAATATTGAGCTGCTCATCTGTGCTTGGCATGTGCTGGTTACTTAAAGTAGGTGCTGAGCTGCTCTGCTTGCATCCCATGGTCCTTTCAGAATGCTTTGGCCCACTTCCAACTGCAGGTGATGGAGCCTGCATGCCTCAGGGCTCATTGCTGCCCCCTCCTACCTGCTAGACAGTGTGAAGGTTGAGGAATTAACACCCTCCTGGCGTAGCCCTCAACTAATAACTCTTAGGAATTGGGATGTAAATACCCCAGTTCCCTCAACTCTTGTTTGAGATAATTCTGATTTAGAGGGTTTGACGCTGTTTCCCAGAGTTTTCCTGCAGGATGAAATCAGTTGCCCACTGTGGTAGCCAGCTTACCAATGCCCTCTTTATGGGCTGTCTCCCTTCTCTACTTCGCTTCTCCCACTTCCCTACCAGTCTACTCTGCACCTCCCAAATAAACTAGTTGCATCTGAAGCCTTTTCTCATGATCTGCCTTATACCCAGTTACCACAACAACCCTAAGGGTAGTAGGTATTATCAGCTCCAATGGATAGGTAAGGTAACAGACTCAGGCAGGTCAAGGGACCTTCTCAAGCTCATTCAGTTGGTAAGTGGCAGAGCTCAGATTGAAATCCAGGTCTGTCTGGCAAAAGCCCATTCTCTTTCCCTAATAACAATTTGTATCTTGGTGATATTGAACAAGACGCTAAAGCAAAGACTGGAGGGCCTGGATGAAGCTAAGAACTGTGGGACTGCTGTGCCACATGTCCACAACCTGTTCTAGGCAGCAGCTGGTTGCTTTAGGATTTACATCTATCAGGCATTTTCAGGCCAAAGTTCAAGAAGCCGAGGCAACATGTCTGCTTGTAAGCATGGTGAGATGAGACAGACCAAAGACCGTAGTCACCCACAGTGTATCAGAGGACCCATAGAAGAACATGGACCCTGATTTCAAATTACAATCTGAACCAGAACTAAGATGAGAACTCAGGGTCTGACAGACCATTGCCTATAGCTTGGACTACATGGAAGAGCTTTCCAGGCAAGAATGTGACCAGTGAAATATATCATACATGGTTGACCATTGAGGCAGTTTGATGGATGGGTTAGAAGATGGATTTTGGAGTCAGACAGATCTAGATTAGAATCTTATTCCATCACTTCCTAAATTTCCGTTGTTCTGGCAGCTCCCCACCTCCAGAACTTAAATGTCTCTGTTTCTTTCCTAAGGGCATTCACTGACATCACTGGAGACTGCTCAGCCACAAGTAGGTACAATTCAGAATCACTGGGTGGGTTAACACCCCTGGGGGAACTCTCAACCAATGAGGAATGGGAGTCAGTGGATACATGCTGCAGCCTCTCCATATTCCAGTGAGATGATTCTGAAGGTTTTTTTATTCCAAAAAATTTTGATTTCTCAAAGGATCCCCAGCAGAATTGAGCCTCTGTTGCCCAGAGCTCTAACCCACTCATTAACGCACTTATTCATTGGTTTTTGTCCCATCCCTATGTCACTATTACCAAGTTGCTTAATTTTCTTAAGCCTATGAAATTCAAATCACGCCGTCATCACAGAGTTGCTGTGAGGATGGAAAGAGCTCCTATGTGTAGAGTGGTCTGTACATAATAAGCATTCAAATAAGAACATGGTTATTATTGATTCCTTGTTTTCAGCGGTTAAGCTCCATCTCTGCAGTCCCAGTTCCTCCACTAGGTGGCAGAATATCAACATTCATTATCCATGGACGGCATGTCTCTTAGAGTAAGTAAAATAATTAGAGACTCTGAGGGACCATGGCCAGTGTGACATAAGAAGGGCAAGCCTATGATTAAAAACAACCCAAATAAAGAAAGTGGTGCCCTGAAATTCCAGCCTCAGTCAGATCATTGTCTGATTTACGGCTTTGAAAGGTAGAGACTGTTGGATGAATTCCCAAAGCAACATGGGGAACCTGTATGAGAGAAGCAGGTGGAGTCTGTTTACAAAAAATTACTGGGTGCCATTTTCCCATGCCTGGGGTAATCCCAAGTCATGGGAGATGGTGGGGGAATGGCAAAGAGCCAAGGAAAACCCAAACAATCACACAAACAAAGTAGAACTTGGAAAGGGTCAGTGTGATCCTGTGGTCAGTTTTGGGGCAAAAACCTTACAGGATTATTTGTTATTCCTTTTGGTAAGATGTTTGTATCACTGGACAAATCATACTAGCTGAGGATTCATCAACTCTCCGGTTAAAGAGTGGGAAGGACGGACCTTTATCCACTGGCTTCCATCCCTCCTTGGGTGAAGGTTTACCCTGGGGTATTAACTTCACCATACATGCAAGGAGTTAAGATGCAGGCATTTAAGGCAGGAAGCTATTGGCATGTTAGAAACTGTCTACCACACCTGCTGATGAATTAGGTGGGAAGATGAGATATGGGTTGGGGGCATCAACAATGACTGCTACAGCAGTGCTTTTCAGAATTTAGGGTATATGCAAATTACCTGAAGATCCTGTTAGGTTGTGGATTCTGATTCTATAGATTTGGGTGGTGACTAAGATTCTGCCTTTATAACAAGCTCCCAGATGATGGTGATGCTGCTGGTCCATGGACCATATTTTGAGAAGCAAGGGCTAAACTATTCTTTAAACCAGTCTTGCTATTTATTTTATCATCCCACATCATTGTTAACCCAAACAACACTGCAGGTACTAGGACCCTTGAGCTTTGGTCTTTCCCTCTCTGGACTTTCAAAATGGGGCGCTTGGCTTAGGTGAGCTATTCCTAATTGGGATAGTAGATGTTGGGAGGATAGGAGAGAGGAATTTTTAAAATGGCATTTCAATATTTAGAAAACACTAAGATTTTTTTTTAAGCTACAAAAAAGTAAAGTAGGAACAGATCTTCTGAGCTGGCCAAGATCCACAGAGGGCAACTCTAGTTTCACATCTCCTGGTTTCCTGAAGGTGACCTAGAGATTTTCATTTTTACATAAAGGAAGGTATTGGTTCTAAAAGGTTGAGAAAGACTGGATTTGAAAATCCATAAGACCTCATTCAGGTCTAATATCTTTACACTGCATTTTATATAACCTATTATATTGTTATATCAAATTGCCAACTAATGTCTGTCTTCCCCATTGGCCTAGAAGCTTCTCTAAACAGGGATTCATCTTCATCTCTATCACCCACTATAGTGCCTGGCACATAGTAGATGCTTAGTAAATCCTTGCATGTGTGCATGAGTCTATGGATTTCTTAGCTCTAAAAAAATTGTGATGCTACGCACGAGGTTGAGCTACACTCTGCCTTTTCAAAAATGTCTTTCTTTCTTTTTTTTTTTTTATTGATCATTCTTGGGTGTTTCTCGCAGAGGGGGATTTGGCAGGGTCATAGGACAATAGTGGAGGGAAGGTCAGCAGATAAACAAGTGAACAAAGGTCTCTGGTTTTCCTAGGCAGAGGACCCTGGGGCCTTCCACAGTGTTTGTGTCCCTGTGTACTTGAGATTAGGGAGTGGTGATGACTCTTAAGGAGCATGCTGCCTTCAAGCATCTGTTTAACAAAGCACATCTTACACCGCCCTTAATCCATTTAACCCTGAGTGGACACAGCACATGTTTCAGAGAGCACCGGGTTGGGGGTAAGGTCAAAGATCAACAGCATCCCAAGGCAGAAGAATTTTTCCCAGTATAGAACAAAATGGAGTCTCCTATGTCTACCTCTTTCCACACAGACACAGCAACAATCTGATTTCTCTATCTTTTCCCCACATTTCCCCCTTTTCTATTCGACAAAACCGCCATCGTCATCATGGCCCGTTCTCAATGAGCTGTTGGGTACACCTCCCACACGGGGTGGCCGCCGGGCAGAGGGGCTCCTCACTTCCCAGAAGGGGCGGCCGGGCAGAGGCGCCCCCCACCTCCCAGACGGGGCGGCGGCCGGGCGGAGGCGCCCCCCACCTCCCTCCCGGACGGGGCGGCTGGCCGGGCGGGGGCTGACCCCCCACCTCCCTCCCGGACGGGGCGGCTGCAGGTCGGAGGGGCTCCTCACTTCTCAGATGGGGCGGCCGGGCAGAGACGCTCCTCACCTCCCAGACGGGGTCGCGGCCGGGCAGAGGCGCTCCTCACATCCCAGACGGGGCGGCGGGGCAGAGGTGCTCCCCACATCTCAGACGATGGGTGGCCGGGCAGAGACGCTCCTCACTTCCCAGACGGGGTCGCTGCCAGGCAGAGGCGCTCCTCACATCCCAGACGGGGCGGCGGGGCAGAGGCGCTCCCCACATCTCAGACGATCGGTGGCCGGGCAGAGACGCTCCTCACTTCCTAGATGGGATGGCGACTGGGAAGAGGCGCTCCTCACTTCCCAGACTGCGCAGCCGGGCAGAGGGGCTCCTCACATCCCAGACGATGGGCAGCCAGGCAGAGACGCTCCTCACTTCCCAGACAGGGTGGCGGGCCGGGCAGAGGCTGCAATCTCAGCACTTTGGGAAGCCAAGGCAGGCGGCTGGGAGGTGGAGGTTGTAGCGAGCCAAGATCACGCCACTGCACTCCAGCCTGGGCAACATTGAGCACTGAGTGAATGAGACTCCATCTGCAATCCCGGCACCTCGGGAGGCCGAGGCTGGCAGATCACTCCCGGTTAGGAGCTGGAGACCAGCCCGGCCAACACAGTGAAACCCCGTCCCCACCAAAAAAATACGAAAACCAGTCAGGCGTGGCAGCGCGCACCTGCAATCGCAGGCACTCGGCAGGTTGAGGCAGGAGAATCAGGCAGGGAGGTTGCAGTGAGCAGAGATGGCGGCAGTACAGTCCTGCTTCCACTCGGCATCAGAGGGAGACCGTGGAAAGAGAGGGAGAGGGAGAGGGAGAGGGAGAGGGTCAAAAATGTCTTTCAAGATATTTTTTGATCTATATGGTACTAACCCCTTTGAGGTTTTATTGTAATGGAATTCTAGCCATATACAACTCTATGTCCAGAATTTAATAACCCTATTAATTAATGAGAGCTGCTCCAGGGCAAGTACCATTTAGTGACATCTAAATGACTATTCTTTGGCAGAAGAAATGGTTGAAAATGGTGCTTTAGGCTGGGTGCGATGGCTCACCCCTGTAATCCCAGCACTTTGGGAGGCCAAGGTGGGTGGATTGCCTGAGCTCAGGAGCTTGAGACCAGCCTGGGCAATATGGTGAAACCCCATCTCTATAAAAAATGCAAAAATTTGCTGGGCATGGTGGTGCATGCCTGTAATCCCAGCTACCTGGGGGGTGGGGCGGCTGAGGTAGGAGGATCACTGGAGTCCAGGAGGTTGAGGCTGCAGTGAGCCAAGATCGTGCCACTGCACTCCAGCCTGGGTGACAGAGTGGGACCCTGTCTCAAAAAATACATAAATGAGAAAGGAAAGAAAGGAAAAAGAAAGAAAATGGTGCCTTGGAGTAAGAAACATCTGCCCTGGTTTGCCATGGAAGAGGAGTCTGTGGAGTATATTTGGATGGGCTTTGCCTGATTGAGCTTGCCAGGGAGAGGCGGAGGCACCACTAATTACATGTCTTGCATTATGGGTTGAAAGTAGATACACAGAGCAAATGCTCTGGCCCACAAAGCCCCAAAATGCGATGAAAGCAACGTAGACTTCAAGTTCATTTTCAAAATTCCCAGCAATGCAGAGCAGAGCCAGCTATATGATTTTTCCTCTTGTTTTCACGTGGCACTTAAGACACAAAAGAATAAACCAACTGAAGATCTGAAAATCAACTTGCAAATCCAGAAAAAAAAGTGGCAAAAAATTATAGAAAGTGACTATGTTAACATGTAATTTTTATTAATTAGTAACTCTCTTGAGCCCTTGCTGTCCTTGAACTAGGTCAGCACCATTGCTTTGCTTGACTTTATGCAAACTTGATTACACTCAGTTAAAAATTGCTCTTCTCCAGGTAGGTCTCAGTTATATGACAGCCAAAGGGATCTTCCTAAAGGGAACTTGGGAGGCTGAGGCAGGAGAATCACCTGAGCCTGGGAGGTCGAGGCTGCAGTAAGCTGTGATCACGCCACTGCATTCCAGCCTGGGTGACAGAGTGAGACTCTGTCTCAAATAAGAATAATAGTAATAATAATAATAGAAAGAAAGGAAGAAAAGTGGTAGAAGCAGCAGGCACAATGAGAAACCCAAATGGGCAGTGAATGGGTTAAGTGAGCAGCCCTGCCTTGAGGTTCAAAAGAGAAACTCTATAATTACAGAATGGGGAGGCCAGCTTAGCAGCAGCCCATAAAAGTAAAAGCTAAGAGGGTTCAGACAATCTCAAGAAGCCAACAATGAAATGCAGGTGCCCAATGGCTAAATATCTGCCCAGTGGCAGAAGTAGTTGGACTACATTTCCCAGCCTCCCTAGCAGTTGGATGTGGCCATGTGACTGAGTTCTGGCCAACAGAATGTGAGCAGAAGTGAGGTCTTCTATTTCCAGATCTGGTCCATAAATATTGTCCACACATGCTCCTGTATATTTTTTCCCTTTTTATCTTTGTTGTTGTTGTTGAGACAGAGTCTTGCTCTGTCACCCAGGCTGGAGTGCGGTGGCACAATCTTGGCTCACTGCAATCTCCACCTCCCGAGTTCAAGCGATTCTCCTGCCTAAGCCTCCAAAGTAGCTGTGATTACAGGTGCACACTACCACCCCCGACTAATTTTTGTATTTTTAGTAGAGACGGGGTTTCACCATATTGGCCAGGCTGGTCTTGAACTCCTGGCCTCAAGTGATCCACCCGCCTTGGCTTCCCAAAGTGCTGGGATTACAGGCATGAACCACCTCACCTGGCTCTCCCTTTCTATCTTGATACAAATAAAACAGGTGACTTGGGAAGTTGTGTGTTGGATATAACAGAGCCACAAGATGGAAGAAGCCTGAGTCACTGAGTCACTGCTTGGAGTAGAGCTGCTTGACAATCAGAAGTTTATGTGAGAGAGAAATAAACCTTTATTAAGGTGTTGAGATATTGTGGTTTATCTGTTTCATTATTTAATTAAATATATAGTCATTAGCTGTATTAATAGAGGGATTGTAGGAAGAGCAAAGGAGGGTGCAGTTTTGCTATTCTGTAGGCGGGATTTGGTCAAACATGCACATAAATGAAAGACAAGAGTGATAAGGAAGTGGGAAATGATCTACTGGGGAGTATAAAAGAAAGGGGCTTCAGCCTAAAGAAAACTTTGGGGTAGAATAATAAGGGCGTATAATATCTATCTTTAAAGTTTTAGAAGTATGTCACAAGGAAGAGGGTTTAGCGTTACGCTGAGGCGTTCCAGAGAGCAGTGCTAGGAGCAAGATTTGGGCTCAATATAAAGAACTTTCCAGCTGGGCGCGGTGGCTCATGCCTGTAATCTCAGCACTTTGGGAGACCAAGGCGGGAGGATCATTGGAGGTCAAGAGTTCGCACCAGCCTGACCAACATGGTGAAACCCCCACTCTACCAAAAATACAAAAACATTAGCCGGGCGTGGTGGCGCATCCCTATAGTCCCAGCTACTCTGGAGGCTGAGGCAGGAGAATCGCTTGAACCCGGGAGGCGGAGATTGTAGTGAGCTGAGATTGCACCACTGCACTCCAGCCTAGACAACGGAGTGAGACTCCATCTCAGATAAAAAAAAAAAAAAAAAAAGAAAAGAACTTTCCAATAATTAGCACTTCCCCAAAGTGAACTGGCCTTTCTTAAAGCCTTCTTCTGTTGATTAACCATTCAGCATCCATTTACCCCTTCTTCTCTGACTACAGAAACCCAATTTTGTTGAAGTATTGTCCTCATGTGATTATGGGAGAGGGAACTCTATGCCCAGTTCTAGGGATGGATCCTGATTAGTCCAAGCCATTCAGCACATGGCATTCTCTTAGTGGCTCTTGCTGGTCCAAAGGTTGGTACATACCCTAAGCCAACCCAATCAGACTTAAAGGAAGGTCTTGTATTTCATGGTTAGGAGAGAGGGTTTCCCCCTTTCCTGCTGGACATTCATCAGAACTCATTAGTCTTAACTGTCACTGACAGCCATCTTGTGGCCAAGAGGGAAACCAGCTTTAGGATGAAACCAGCACTGAGGATGGCAGAGCAGAGAGATGAAAAGGACCTGTCCATTAAGCTGCTGATCATCCTGAGCCTGAAGGCTCTTCTACCCTTCGATTTCATTTTGAGTTGGAGTTTCCATTATTTCTAGTTTGAAACATCCTAACTGATACATGGATCCTGAAGAGGTTGAGGAATACAGGTTGAATATTGCCTTGTTATCAGAACTGCTGGAGGGTTATTCTACCCTGGGCAAGTAGGCAGGCCTCTCAGGGTACATCCAACTCTGAGACTCATAAACTCTGGTAAAGGACTTACAGCTAACTTCATTTAAATTAAAACATAGGCTTCCTTACAAGTGTCTGGAAATCCATTTTGTTACAATCATGTGTTGGATTTTGGCAGTTACACGTCTGACCTACTCCCTTCCTGCCTCCATTTCCCTTTGTAGGAAGTTTCCTGTAACAGAGACAATTCTTTGTCCACTGAAGATTTGAACTTCCAGAGTATAGATTTATTTATTTATTCATTTATTTATTTATTTAGAGACAGAGTCTTCCTCTGTCACCCAGGCTAGAGTGTAGTGGCGCGATCTCAGCTCACTGCAACCTCCGCCTCCCAGGTTGAAGCAATTCTCCTGCCTCAGCCTCCTGAGTAGCTGGGATTATAGGTGCCCGCCACCATGCCCAGCTAATTTTTGTATTTTTAATAGAGACGGGGTTTCACCATCTTGGCAAGGCTGGTCTCTAACTCCTGACCTCGTGATCCACCTGCCTTGGCCTCCCAAAGTGCTGGGATTATAGGCATGAGCCACCACACCTGGCCACAGAGTGTAGAATTATTGATGTAAGCAGCTGCTTACTAGGAATTACATTTCCTAAGTCTCCTTACATGTAGTTGAGGCCAGAGACTTGTTCTCCCCAGTGGAACGGTAGCAATAGTGATATATATCACATCTGGGTCAAGAAACTTAAGCAGTGAGTGTACATTCATTGTCTTTGTTCATTCTCCAGTTGAACACAAAGGACTCTAAAGCCCAAGAGGAGGGTGGAGCCACAATATGAAAGCAATCTGGGTAGTGAATACTCATGTGGAAGGTTGACCACCAACCAGAAATACTCGTGTGTGTTATACAGTTACATGACTGAGGAATGCACTTTCACTGTGTTAAGCTGTTAAACTTTGGGGTTCGTTTGTTGCTGCAGTTAGCATTGCCCTAACTGATACACCTCCATTGTGCGTGGTCTCAGTAGGAGGGCCATAGCCATCTCGGCCACCTGCTCATGCTCTCATTACAGAAGCTGAGGGGGTCCAGCCTGGTTCAGCTGCTCCCTGGTTCAGCCTACATTAAATAGGCAATTAGACACTTGCTCCTGGGATACTGAGTCTCAAATAAGGGACACAAAGATGCAGGGAAAGTTAAGAATCAGACATCTAACAGTGGTAAGAGAAACTTGAGGAAAATATGGTGCTTATGGGCAATTGAGCTTTGGCTGAGGTTTCTACTACTTCAGGAGCACACTTGGGTCCTGCTGGTTGTCCAAGCATTGTCCTCCAGCTTCTCATTGATTCTGTTAGCTCCTGATAGCCAGCTAATTAATTCCCCCTTTGCTGAAAATAATCAGAATTCTTTTCTTGCTTGTAATCACTTGGGGGTGCATAATAAGTGAAGGCTTTCCCTTACAAAATTCTGTATTTATCTCAGCATTTAACTCTGCCCTACCATCTTAGATTCATGATCTAACAGCAGTTGAGGTTGGCACCTCTCAATTTCCTCCTTTCATTGACTGCCTATCCAGATAATCAAGTCATTATTTATTTTTTTCCTTTTGTTGATAGTTTGGTCTCTGTCCCAGCTTTCAGCAATTATTTTCCTCTCTTGCCGTACTTACAGATTGTCCTCACCTACGCATTTTTATGACATTTCTACTTGTTAACCATTTCTAGTATTGAGTTGTACCATCCAATTAGCAATCTGTAACATTTTTCTGATGGTAGACGGGCATAGTTGGCAGAGAAAGCACTGAACCCATTGTCCTAGACACCTGTTTCTGTTACTTACAAGATATGTGACCTTGGGCAAATCATTGAACTTGTCTGTTCCAGAGACTTGTTTTGCAAAGTATTAGAATAAAAGACTATACGAAAATCTCAGGATCAGTTACAATGAGAACAGTTAATTAAAAGCCAAATAGCTAGAGAAATACAGTTGGAGAGAAGGTAGGAAAGTATGAAGGCAGGAAATCTACGACCTTGCCTGCGAAGTCAGGAGGTGAGAGGTAGGAATCAAGGAGGGGCTATTCATTGGTACATGCACACTGCCATCAGCTGATGGGAACTACACAATCATGTTTTTCTTTTTCAGCTGACTTTATACTTTCGGTTCATCCTTAAATACCACTCCTGAAGAGAATCCAAGATGAGCAGTGGCCCCGCTTCAACATTTTATCCACTCCTTACACATAGTGAATACAAGACAAATTTGATACCCCACAGCTATCTTTTACATCATTCAATTTAATTTCTCAATTACAAATTCTTTTGCAACATCTCTGATTAGCTGTTCATATTTGGAACTGAACTGCATTAAAAACTCCATCTCTGCCTCCCAAGGTGTACTGGGGACAAGATTTGGTTCCTTCTAACACTAGGCCTCAGTTTCCTCATCTGCAAAATGGGGTAGCTAAACTGAAGCCCCTAGGGTTCAGTCTCAGGTCCCAGTGCACTGTGGTGCTGGAACACAATCTTGTGACTCCTGAACATCTGTTTAGACTCCGGATGGAGTTAGCTCAGCCTCCTCTGCCTTGTGTTTTAGATGAGCCATCTATGCAGATGTTTTGTACACTGGGTACATGATTTCAACAACTTGACCACAGACAGGGCTTCCTTCATGACTTCCCATGCGTTGAGGCCTCTCTTTGTCATCCACTGTCCAGCCTGCCTTTGTCTTCTCACTGTTCTTTCTCTTCAGCTACCTCATGTACACGTCTGCCCTTTCCCTTTACTTCCTCAAAGCAAAGGATGAACTACCTGGAGTTTTTCCTCTTGTTGAATACCTTCTCTTCCCTTCACTGGGGTGGAGATTGTTGTCATGGTAACCTACAGCCAAAGGTTCTAAGGTCAACACTAAATCCAGCCCAATGGACTCATATACATGGCTGCAGAAGGTCAGGACAGAATGTTTCTCCAAAACTGAAGATTTGATAATAAAAAACACAGTATTTAGCTGCTCTGACAACTTTTCATAAAATTTTCCCTCTTTTCTTTAGGAGTCACTTGACAAATAAGAGAGGACGGGGGCCAATTTAGTTCAATTTGCTAATCTTTTTGAATGTTTTTATAGATAGATGCATTCATCTCAAACCATCTTTTGCCTTTGAAAAAATTGTCTTCTCCTCTAAAGCATATTCTCTTGAACTTTACCCAAGAGGAAAAAAGAAATGCAGGAAACATGAGCTTAAATAACTAATAATATTCAGATAATATTCATCAGATATTATTCAAATAAATATTTTGAGCAGTATCCTCTCCCAGCCACACCTATATACGCATACCTACACCCTTTTCTAACTATCTCCCATATAACCAGATGAAACTTGAAGAAAAAAAAGTAATGACTCCACAGAGTTTGGAAAATGCTGGGCTAGCTCTGCCTTTCTGGTTATTCCACATAGGTCCAAGGCCAATTATAGAAGCAGTTGGTTAAGGAAAATATGGTGCCATGGGGAGTTGGAGGGTTATAGAATGCCTGAGCCAGGCAAATTCTTTTCAAGTGGAGCTTACAATAATTGAAAATAAGGAGGCTTAGAATGTAGGAATTCCAGCATTTTAGGTGCCATCATGAAACATTAGGAGCAGCCAGGGCCCCAAGATTCAGGCGAGCTCTCCGTTTGAGGCTTGGAATAAAAGGCATGTTGCTAACTGTGACGAAGCTGAAAGGATCCACGCACAGCCTAGGAGCAGAAAGGATCTGCCCCTAGGCTGTCAGACTGTATTTGTGTCTGTCTGAACTGTTCTGAAAAGATCCTCCTTTCCTGAATCACTAAGACCCCCAGACAATAGAGGAACGGAGTGGCAGCGCTCCCTGTGCTAAGCAACAGATTGGAGATGTGGGAGTGGGAGTGGGAGCTTTTATCTTGGCTCTGTTACTTACAGCCACCACTGAACCCAAGGCTAATGGCCTCAGCTTCCTTGGCTACTCGGGTGGAGGTAGTCCAAGACAGTAAGTCACAATGCGATACGCTGCCCCCTCCAGTTTAAGCTACTATCATTTCACACTGGGGTTTTAGCAGCAGCCTTTCACTTGGTCTCCTTGCTTCCACTCTTACCTCCCTATAGCCTACTGTCTACCCACACCAAAGCCAGAGTGATCCTCACAAAATACAAGTCAAATTATGTCCCTCCTCTGTTCAAACCCCTCCGATGGCTTCCTAGTATTCTTACTATAACTTACAAGGTCCTACACAATCTGCCCCACACCCCCATTACTTCTCTAACCTCATGAACGATTACCTTCTCCCTCTGTTACTTTGTTCCAAACATACTGGCATTCTTACTTGAACTTTCAATTCATGCTTCAGAGCTTCTGCAATTGCTGTTTCCTCTGCCTTGAATGGTCTTTCAGCAACTACCTGTATTACTTGTTGCTTCACCTACTTCAGATCTTTTCTCAGAGGCTGTCTTCCAAATGAGGCCTTCTCTTATCACCTTATTTAAAATTGTACCTGAGTGATGTCACCAACATGGTGGAATAGGAAGCTCCTAACTCTCCCTCCACCAGTGGACACACCAAATAAACATCTATCCACGGATCAATTCCCTCTGAGAGAAAGTCAGAGACTGGTCAAGAGACTCCTACCCACAAGGCAACTGAGAAAACATTCACCTCAAATGATACGCTTGGGTATGGACACCACCTCAGGCACTGTGCCAAAAAATTGGGAAAGGAATCCCCAACACCCAGTTTCTTCCTGTGGAGAGGAGGATCTGGATCTCACATATAGGACCCAAACCCTAAGTTTCCCCATGGTTTGACTCTTAATTCACCAACTACAAAAGCAGGGGGGATTAGACACACTGATGTCCCCTAGACCATAACAAAAAAAAGTGGTGAGTTTATAATGGTGCACGAGCACTTCCAGGGCCTTCATCCCCCTGGGAACAGTGCAAAGAAGGGGCTTAAAAAAACATAGCCATCTGTTTGGGTTTGAAAAACATCCCTCCAGCAGCTGCCTGGCAGCCTGGCTTCTAACTTGCATCAGGAAGTTAAAGAGACAGTCAAGTATTAACCTGCTGCCAGCCTTGGAAGAGTTTGCACTCACATCAAGCACCCCAACTCTTACAACGTCTACCTAAGAGATTGCATACTAAATCTCCTAGCTCTGGGAGCAGAAGGAACTAGCATACATGTGTCTCTCTAGACTGCAGGAAGAGGAGCAGTGGCTTTATGCCAGCCTGCAAGCTTTTTAAGGGACTCCATCCCCCCTAGGATCAATACTGAGAAGGGGCCTGTTTCTCTCCAGAAGGGGTTTATAAAGCATCCCTCCAGTAGTTAACTGGTGGTCTGACTTCTAACTAACTTACATTGGGGAGTTAAAGGGACAGTCAATAACCCACCAGCAGCCTAGGAGGAATTTGCACTCAAAATAAAAGCCCCAACTCTTACCTGCATTTATAATAAATCTCCTAGCTCTGAGAGCAGAAAGGACCAGCATACATATTTATCTCTAGGTCACAGGAAAAAAAGCATTTTTAAACAGGTATGCAAGTACCTTCAGGGAATTTATCCCCCTGGAGTGATGTAGAGAAGGGGCCTCCAAAAACACAACCCCTTGTTTCTCCCCAGTAAGGGTTTATGACACACATCAGGAGCCCCAGTTTTCAAAGCTGCCTCCTGAAGGACTCTATCGTCAACTTAGTAGCTCTGGGAACAGAAGGGACTAGGCATATGCAGGTCTCCCTTGATCCAAGAACAAAGAGATGGTTTTAAAGGGCAATCCAAACATTCCCAGGGACTACATCTCCTTGGAGCAGTGCAGGAAAGGAGCAGGAATGTGCAGCTCTCACTTTCTTTCCAGAAGGGGCTTATGACACACACTTCCAGTGGCTACTTGATGAGTTGGTCTCCAATGAACTTGCATTGGGGAATTAACAAGGTAAACAAACAATAGCCCTTTGGTAGCCAGAGCCAGAGCTCCACACTTCATGGGACCTCCACCTGGATCACCTCAGAGATAAATCCAGGCCTATCTATTCTTTTTTGGAAGGAATTTGGCTATGCTCAGAGTGTCATGACCTAGCTCTGGAAGTCAAGTGGGCTTTGTGATCCTGAGTGACCCAAGACCATAGAAGACAAAGAGGTGGAATATAACAAGTTCACACCCAGTAGCTAGTCCTCCAGGATGAGAAGGTGCAGGCTGAAAGTGAGTCCAAGTATTTACCACAGATCTTCTCCCTAGCTTAGTGCAGAGAGAGTTGGAGATAAACACTCACATCCAGCCTCATCATAAAGATAGAAAAAAATGAACACTTCCAACACCCCAACCTTTCCAGTTACATTTAAATACCCTGGATCCTATCATACCAGTCTTGGGGTACTGACAAGACGTGGCACATCCTAGGCTCCAGGGGACCACCATAAACAGAGATGGTAGTCTGGACAAACACAAAAATTAGAGAGGTGTCTTAAAATTTCTGGCCAGATGGATTGGTGAAAACCTTCTCCTACACAAGGCTAGTCTAACAAGACAGAGAGAAGTAAGTGGCTTATAAAATGCACAGAAACCAACACAGAGAATCAAGGAAAATGAAGAAACGGGGAATATATTCCAAACAAAAGAACAAGATAAATTTCCAGAAAGCAGCCTGAATGAAATGGAGTTCTGCGATTTACCCAATAGGGAATTCAAAGTAATGGTCATAAAGATGCTTAGAAAAGACAAGAGAGCAATGTAAGAACAAGCTGGGAACTTCAATGAAGAGATAGAAAGTATACAAAAGTACTAAACAGAAATCATAAATCTGAAGATGCTATGACTGAACTGAAAAATTCAATAGAGGAGTTCAACAACAGAGTAGATCAAGCAGAAGAAAGGATCAGTGAACTTGAAGACAGGTCACTGGAAATCATCCAGTCTGAGGAGCAAAAAGAAAAAAGAATGAAAAAGAGTGATGATAGCTTAAGAGACCAATGGGACACCATCAAGTGGGGCAACTTATGCATTATCAGTGTACCAGAAGGAGAAGAAATGGAGAAAAGGACAGAAAACATATTCAAAGAAATAGTGCCAGAAAACTTCCCAAGTCTATGGAATGAATGAAAAGCCAGATCCAGGAAGCCTGTAGGACATCAAATAAGATGAATCCAAAGAGAGCCACACCACAACACATCATAGGCAGATTGTCCAATTTAAAGACAGAAAGTATTGAAAGCAGCAAGAGAAAAGAATTGTCATATATAGTAGAACCCCCATAAAGCCACAAGAAGACTTCTCAACAGAAACCTTGCAAGCCAGAAGGGAGTGGGATAATATATTCAAAATCCTAAAAGAAAAAGACTGTTAACCAAAAATATTATACCTAAGAATCCTGTCTTTCAAAAACAAAAGGGTGATAAAGATTTTCTCAGACAAACAAAAGTTGAGCGGATGTTTCACCACTAGACATGCATTGCAAAAAATGCTAAAGGAGGTTCTTCAAGCTGAAGGAAGAGGACACTAATTAGTGACATAAAATTACATGAAAGTATAAAACTCACTGGTAAAATAAGTACATTGTCAAACCCAAAACACTCTAATACTGTAATGGTGGTGTGTAAATCCATTGTATCTCTAGTATAAAGGTCAAAAGGCAAAACTAGTAAAAACAACTAAAGTTACAATAATTTGCTAAGGGATACATACTATTAAAAGATGTAAACTGTGACATAAAAACATAAAATGTGGGAGGAGGGGGTGTAAAAGTGGAGAGTTTGTGTATGCAATCAAAATTATGCTATCAGAGTAAATTAATCCATTATAAGATGTTTTATGTAAGCCTCAGGGTAGCCACAAACCAAAAAACTTGTAGTAGATCCACAAAAGATAAAAAGAAAAGAACCAAAGCATACCACCACAGAAAGCCATCCAATCACAGAGGAAGAAAGCAAGAGACGAAGAAGAGAACAAAAGATCTAAAAAACAACTATAAAACAGTTAACAAAATGGCAGGAGTAAGGCAGTACCTATCAATAATAACCTTGAATGTAAATGTATTAAATTCTCCAATTAAAAGATATAGAGTGGCTGAATGAATTAAAAAAAAAAACTGGCTGGGCATGGTGGCTTATGTCTGTAATCTCAGCACTTTGGGAGGCCAAGGTGAGTGGATCACTTGAGGCTGAGTTCAAGACCAGCCTGGCCAACATGGTGAAACCCCATCTCTACTAAAAATATGAAAATTAGCCAGGTGTGGTGGTGCACACCTGTAGTCCCAGCTACTTGGGAGTCTGAGACAGGAGAATCACTTGAACCTGGGAGGCGGAGGTTGCAGTGAGTTCAGACTGCACCACTGCACTCCAGCCTGGGCAACAGAGTGAGACTCCATCTTAAAAAACAAACAAACAAACAAAACACTATATGTAGCCTACAATACTCACCTCACCTTAAGGATATGCATAGACTAAAAGTGAAGGGATGGAAAAAGGATATTTTATGCAAATGGAAATCAAAAGAGAGCAGGGGTAGCTATGCTTAAGTCAAAAATTGTAAAAAGAGACAAATAAGGTCATTATAAATAATAAAGACATCAATTCAGCAAGAGGATATAACAACTGTAAATATATATGCAATCAATACTGGAGCACCCAGATATATAAAGCAAATATTAATAGATCTAAAGGGAGAGATTTACAACAATACAGTAATAGTAGGGGACTTCAACACCCCACTTTCAGCAATGTACAGATCATTCAGACAGAAAATCAACAAAGAAACATCGGAGTTCAACTGCACCCCAGACCAAATGGACCTATCTGACATTTAGAGAACATTTCATTCAACAGGTGCAGAATAGACATTATTCTCATTGGCACATGGAACATTCTTCAGGATGGACGATATGTTAGGCCACAAAACAGCCTTAACAAATTTTTAAAAATTGAAATCATATCAAGTATCTTTTCTGATCACAATGGAATAAAACTAAAAATCAATAACAGGAGGAACTTTGGAAACTGAACAAATTCATGGAAATTAAGCAACATGCTCCTGAACGACCAATGTTGAATGGAGAAATTAAGAAGGAAATTAAAACATTTTTTTGAACAAACAAAAATGGAAAAACAACATACAAAAACCTATGGGATATAGCAAAAACAGTACTAAGAGAGAGCTTATAGCAATAAATGCCTACCTCCAAAAAGTAGAGTGATTTTAAATAAACAACCTAATTATGCACTCAAGGAACTAGAAAAGCAAGAATAAACCAAACTGAAAATTAGCAGAAGGCAAGAAATAATAATGATCAGAGAAGAAATAACTGAAATTGAGACTTAAAAATAAAAAAATTAACAAAACAAAGAGTTAGTTTTTTGAAAAGATAAACAAAATTGACAAACCTTTAGCTGAACTAGAAAAAAAGAAGACCCAAATAAATCAGAGATGAAAAAGGAGACATTACAACTAATGCTAAAGATATATGAAGAATCATTTGAGACTATTATGAACCACTGACTACACATCAACAAACTGGAAAATCTAGAAGAAACAGATAAATTTATAAACATATACAACCTAACAAGTTTGAATGATGAAGAAATAGAAAATCTGAAAAGAACAATAATGAGTAATGAGGTTGAGTCAATGATAAAAAGTCTCCCAACAAAGGAAAGCCCAGGACTGGATAGCTTTACTGCTGAATTCTACTGAAGACGAACACCAATTCTTCTCAAACTATTCAAAAAAAAAAAAAAAAGAAGGGGATGGGAGTTTTGCAAACTTATTCTTTGAGGCCAGAATTATCCTGATATCAAAACCAGACATGGATGCAACAACAACAAATACAACTAAAGGACATTATCCTTGATGAACATAGATGTAAAAATCCCCAACAAAATAATAGCAAATGAAATCCAATAGCACACCAAAGAATACTATACACCATGATCAAATGGGATTTATCCCAGGGATGCAAACGTGATTCAATATATGCAAATCAATACACATAATACATTACATTAACTAATGAAAAGACAAAACCATATGATCATCTCAGTAGGTGCAGAAAAAGAATTTGATAAAATTCAACATCCCTTCATAATAAAAAAACCCTTTCAAATTAAATATAGAATGTACTTCAAAACAATAAAGGCCAAATATGACAAACCCACAGCTAACATCATACCGAATAGGGAAAAGTGGAAAGCCTTTCCTCTAAGATCCGGAACAATACAAAGATGCCCATTTTCAGCACTTTTTTCAACACAGTACAAAGCAAGAGAGGAAGTTTTAGCCAGAGCAGTTAGGCAAGAGAAAGAAATAAAGGGCATCCAAATTGGAAAGGAGAAAGTCAAACTGTCACTGTTTACAGATAACATAATCTTATATTGAGGAAAACCTAAAGACTACACTAAAAGACTGTTAGAGCTGATAAATAAATTCAGTAAATTTGCAAGATAAAAAAATCAACTTACAAACATCTATAGAAACAGTGATATTACTATAGAAACATTGTTTCTATACACCAATAATGAACAATATGAAAAGAAATCAAGAAAGCAATCCCATTTACAATAGCTACAAAAAAATAAAATACCTAAGAATAAACTTAATGAGGTAAAAGATCTCTACAATGAAAACTATAAAACACTGATGAAAGAATCGAACAGGGTACACATTAAAAAATGGAAAGATATCTCATGATCATGGATTGTAAGAGTTAATATTGTTAAGATGTCCATACTACCCAAAGTGATCTACAGATTCAATTCAATCCCTGTCAAAATTCCAATAACATTTTTGACAGAAATAGAAAAAACAATCCTAAAATTCAGATGGCAACCACAAAAGACCCTGAACAGCCAAAGCAATCCTGAGTAAACAGAACATAGCTGATAGCATCCCCCTATCTGACTGCAAGATATACTACAAAGCTATAGTAACCAAAACAACATGGTACTTGCATAAAAACAGATACATAGACCAATGGACCAGAGGAGAAAACCCAGAAATGAATCTATATCTTTATAGCCAACTGACTTTTGACAAACGTGCCAAGAACATACATTGGAGAAAGAACACCCTCTTCAATAAATAGTGCTGGGAAAATTGGATATCCATATGCAGAAGAATGAAACTAGACCCCTATCTCTCACCATATACAAAAATTAATTCAAGATAGATAAAAGATTAAATGTAAGACCAAAGCCTATAAAACTACTGGAAGAAAACACAGGGGATATGCTTCAGGACATTGGTCTGAGCAAAGATTTTTTGGATGAGACCTCAAAAAGCACAGGCCATAAAATAAAAAATAGACAAATGGGATGATATCCAACCTAAAAGCTTCTGCACAACAAAGGAAACACCAAAATAAAGAGAACCTAGAGAATGGGAGAAAATATTTGCAAACAGTTCAACTGACAAAGAACTAATATCCAAAATATATAAGGAACTCAAACAACTCAATAGGAAAACAAACAAACAAAAAACCAAATAATCTGATTTAAAAATCGACAAACGTTCTGAATAGACATTTCTCAAAAGAGGACATACAAATGGCTAACAGGTATATGAAAAATTGCTCAATATCACTAGTCATCAGGGAAATGCAAATAAAAACCACAATGAAGTTTCATCTCACCCCAAGTACTGGTGAGGAAGTAGAGAAAGGGAAATTCTTATGCACTCTTGATGGGAATGTAAATTGGTACAGCCTTTATGGAAAACAGTATGGAGGGTCCTCAAAAAATTAAAAATAGAAATACCATATGATGTAGCAATCCTACCATGGAGTATATATCAAAAGAAAGAAAATCAGCACACTGAAGAGATATCTGCACTCCCATGTTTATTGCAGCACTATTCACAGTAGCCAAGATATTAAATCAATCTAAGTGACTATTGTCAGATAAATTAATAAGGAAAATGTGATACATATAGAAAATGGAATATTATTTGGCCATAAAGAATGAAATTCTGTCATTTGTGGCAACATGGATGAGCCTGGAGGCCATTATGTTAAGTGAAATTAGCCAGGCACAGAAAGACAAATAACCACATGTTCTCATTTATATGTGGGAGTTAAAAAAATTGATCCCATGGAAGGAGATAATAGAATAGTAGTTATCAGAGTTTTGGAAGGGGAAGGGTACAGGGGCTAGGGAGAAGCTGGTTAATAACACAAAATTACAACTATATAGGAGGAATAAGTTTTTTTAAATTCAAATTTTCAGAGGCTTTATTCTATTTTTTAGTTTTACTTTTAAAAAGGTTTTTAAAATTTTCAGTAGATTTATGGGGAACAGGTGGTGTTTGGTTTCATGAATAAGTTTTTTAGTGGTGATTTCTGAGACTTTGTTGCACCCATCACCCAAGCAGTGTACACTGTACCCAATGTAGATAGGAGGAATAAGTTCTAATGTTCTATATAACACAGTAGGGTGGCTATAGTTAACAATAATTTATTGTATCTTTCAAAACAGCTAGAAGAAAGGATTTTGAATATTCCCAACACAAAGAAATGATAAATATTTGAGGTGATGGATGTGCCAATTACTCTGATTCGATCATTACACATTGTATACATGTATGGAAATATCACAAGTACTCCATAAATATGTACAATTATGTATCAACTTAAAAGTTTAAAATAAAATAAAATTACATCTATTCTGTGTTAGTCAGCTATTACCAGAACGAGGCAGCATAACAAAACATGCCCAAACTCAGTGGTTAACAAGCATTTATTTCCATACTCATGAGTTCATCTGAGACTTGATTCATTTAGGATGGGCCTTGCTTGGGCTTAGCTCTGCTTTAGGCTGTGGGTTCGGTTTAGGTCTGCTCTATATGTGTGTTGAGGCACAGAATTAAGGGGAAGTAGGTACCCTGGACATGCTCTTCTCATGTTGTATCATCACAGCATAAGAGTCAATCCAAATAATATAAGCAATATTGGTCAAAGGAAATCACATGATCAAACCCAATATTAATGAGGCAGAGAACTATACTCTGCCCATACTGGGAGAAAGAAGGGAAAGAATATTTGCTGAACAATCACCCAAATTATCACACACAGACACACACATACTCATGCACACACCTCCCACCCATCTCCATATCTCCCTTCCATGCTTTGCCTTTCTCCTTAGGGCTTATCACTACCCTACATATGACATATTTTACTTATCTGCTTTGTTTATTGTCTGTCTCTTTGATTAAAATGGAGACTCTCCGTTTTTATTTATTTATTTATTTTTATTTTTTATAGTTTTTGGGGTACAGGTAATTTTTGGTCACATGGATAAATTCTTTAGCGGTGATTTCTGGGATTTTAGTGCACTCATCATCCAAGCAGTATACACTGTACCCAATATGTAGAGACTTTCCATTTTTAAATGGAGCAAGGATTTTTGTTTGTTTTGGTGTATCATCAGTACCTTGAAGAGTACCTGGAACCTAGTGGACACTGAATAAATATTTGTTGAATGACAGTAAAGAAGTCCACCCATTATCACTGAGGGCACATTCAAAGAAATTCAGAAATAAGTTCTAGGCTCTTAAAGCCTTCTGAATAGGGACATTTTCTCTGTAAAAGACTGGTCTTATCATTCTATCTACCACATTACTACCTCTATTACCACCATCATCAACACCATTCTTCTCACCACGCCTATTATTATCATGATTATCATTACCATCATCACCATTACCATCATAATCTCCATCAATATCACTATTACCACCATCTTTCTCACCATTGTCATTGTCACTGTCACCATCACCACCAGCACCAACACAACCACCACCATCACCACCTATATTGCATCACCATCAACACAATCACCATTTCACTTCTACCATGATCAGCACCACCACTACTGTCACTGCAATCACCACCTTCATCACATTGCCATCACCACAGTCATTACCATCCCATGCCCACCACTATAATCATCATTACTCCCATCTCCATCACCACCATCACTGTTATTATTAACATTATCTCCATTATATAGTGATGATGGACAGTAATACTGATTCCACACAGCTCTCAAACTAATTGCAGTATGGGAAGCAAAAGAAATGATCATTCTGTCCCAGTAGGGTAGCTGCAATGAAAAAATCTCAATGTGAATTCAATGAATCTAAATGCCCATCAACAGTAGACTGGATAAAGAAAATGTGGTACATATACACTACAGAATACTACACAGCAATAAAAAAGAATGAGGTCATGTCCTTTGCAGCAACATGTATGGAGCTGGAGGCCATTATCTTAAGCAAACTGACATAGGAACAGAAAACCAAATGCTGCATGTTCTCACTTATAAGTAGAAGCTAAATATTGAGTACATGTGGACACAAAGAAGGGAACAACAGACACCGAGGCCTATTTAAGGTGGAGGGTAGGAGGAGGGAGAGGATCAAAAACTACCTAGCAGTTATGATATAGTTTGGCTGTGTCCCCACCCAAATCTCATCTTGAATTGTGGCTCCCATAATTCCCACATGTCAAGAGAGGGACCCAGTGGGAGGCAATTGAATCATGAGGGCAGGTCTTTCTTGTGTTGTTTTCATGATAGTGAATAAGTCTCATGAGATTTGATGGTTTTATAAATGGGAGTTCTCCTGCACAAGCTCTCTTGCCTGCCACCATGTAAGATGTGACTTTACTTTTCCTTTGCCTTCCACCATGATTGTGAGGCCTCCCTAGCCATGTCGAACTGTAAGTCTATTAAACCTCTTTCCTTTATAAATTACCCAGTCTCATGTATGTCTTTGTTAGCAGTGTGAGAACAGACAAATACAGTAAACTGGTGCTGGGTAGTGGGGTGCTGCTGTAAAGATACCAGAAAATGTGGAAGCAACTTTGGAACTGGGTAACAGGCAGAGGATGGAACAGTTTGGAGGGCTCAGAAGAAGATAGAAAGAAGTGGGAAAGTTTGGAACTTCCTAGAGACTTGTTGAATGGCTTTGACCAAAATGCTGGTAGTGACATGGACAATAAAGTCCAGGCTCAGGTGGTCTCAGATAGAGATGAGGAACTTGTTGGGAACTGGAGTAAAGGTCACTTTTGCTATGCAAAGAGACTGGCGGCATTGTGCCCCTTCCGTAGAGGTCTGTGGAACTTTGGTTTGAGAGAGATGATTTAGGGTATCTGGTGGAAGAAATTTCTAAGTGGCAAAGTGTTCAAGAGGAAGCAGAGCATAAAAGTTTGGAAATTTGCAGCCTGGTGATGCGATAGAAAAGAAAACCCCATTTTCTGGGGAGAAATTCAAGCTGGCTGCAGAAATTTGCATAAGTAGCAAGGAGCCAAATATTAATTACCAAGACAGTGGGGAAAATGTCTCCAGGGCATGTCAGAGGTCTTCATGGCAGCCCCTCCCATCACAGTTCAGAGGCCTAGGAGAACAAAGCGGTTTTGTGGGCCAGGCCTAGGGCCTTGCTGCTTTGTGCAGTCTTGGGACTTGGTGCCCTGCATTCCAGCCGTGGCTAAAAGGGGCCAACATACAGCTCAGGGCATTGCTTCAGAGGGTGCAAGCCCTAAGCCTTGGCAGCTTACACATGGTGTTGGGCCTGCAGGTGGACAGAAGTCAAGAATTGAGGTTTGGGAACCTCTGCTTAGATTTCAGAGGATGTATGGTAATGCCTGGATGTCTAGGCAGAGGTGTGCTGCAGGGGTGGAGCCCTCATGGAGAACCTCTGCTAGGGGAGTGCAGAAGGGAAACATGGGGTGGGAGCTCCCACACAGAGTCCCCACAGGGGCACTGCCTAGTGGAACTATGAGAAGAGGGTCACTGTCCTCCAGACCCCAGAATGGTAGATCTATGGACAGCTTGCACCATGTGCCTGGAAAAGCTGCAGACACTCAATGCCAGCCCATGAAAGCAGCTAGGAGTGGGGCTGTCCCTGCAAAGTCACAGGGGTGGAGCGGCCCAAGACCATGGGAACCCATGGTGGTTGTGAGATATGGAGTCAAAGGAGATCATTTGGAGGAGATCAAGATTTGACTGCCCTGGTGGATTTTAGACTTGCATGGATGGGGCTTGTAACCCCTTCATTGTGGCCAATTTCTGCCATTTTACAGATGTATTTACCCAATGCCTGTACCCCCATTGTATCTAGGAAGTAACTAACTTGCTTTTGATTTTACAGGCTCATAGGTGGAAGGGACTTGCCTTGTCTCAGATGAGACTTTGGACTGTGGACTTTTGAGTTAATGCTGAAATGAGTTAAGACTTTGGGGGACTGTTGGGAAGGCATGATTGTGTTTTGAAATGTGAAAAGGACATGAGATTTGGGAGGGGCCGGGGGTGGAATGATATGGTTTGGCTGTGTCCCCTCCCAAATCTCTTCTTGAATTATAGCTGCCACAATTCCCATGTGTCATGGGAGGGACCCAGTGGGAGGTAATTGAATCATGAGGGTGGGTCTTTCTCATGCTCTTCTCGTGATAGTGAATAAGTCTCACAAGATCTGATGGTTTTATAAATGGGAGATCCCCTGCACAAGCTCTCTTGCCTGCCACCATGTAAGATGTGGCTTTGCTTCTCCTTTGCCTTCCACCATGATCATGAGGCCTCCCCAGCCATGTGGAATTGTGAGTCAGTTAAAACTCTTTCCTTTATAAATTACCCAGTCTCGGGTATGTCTTTATTACCAACAGGACAACAGACTAATACAGTGTACTATTCTTATTACCTGGGTGACTAAATAATCTGTATACTAAAGCCCTATGACATGCAATTTACCTATATAACAAACCTGCACGTGTATCCCTGAAACTAAAATAAAACTTAACAAACAAACTCTCAATCTGAGAAAATTATTTCTTTTAAGAGCCCCAGAATAACATATGGCAATTATACAATCAATATTTACTACAGCTTCAGAAATGCCACTCACTCTTTTGGAGGTCTGCAGAGATTGTCAAACCTCCAATTTTAACTTCTAAGGGATACTGAAATTTTCTCCACTTCCTCTTTCCCTTATCCTTTTGGAGGGAAAAAAGTTGTTTACTAAGTTGTTTTCTTTGGTCACTTAAAGTTCATTACTTCTTGTTGCATAATAATGGGCCATGTGACTCCTTATTAATCTTTTCCACCCTGAAGCAAAATCTTTTCCTGAATCATTACTGCTTCTCCAGTTCTTTGTAAACACTGGCTGACAAAAATGTGTGGGTGCTGGAAGGCCCCCAAATACCAGAGATAAGATGAAAGTTCATCAAATCTCTGCTTCAGATCAGTTCTTTCTGCTTAAAGAGTAAGGCAGTATAGTCTTTCTCTTAACTCTACTTGGTTTTTTTTTTTTTTTAAATAATTTTCCTCTTTAAGGCCAGATTTCACTCTAATTTTGTCTGGTCTGTGACTCTAAAATTATTTGATAAAGCCTCCACTTTATTTATTTATTTTTGCTGAAGACATCAAATGAATCAATTTGACATATGGAAAAATACTAAAAGATCGTCCTCATAAAATATTGTGTCATGGGTTGGGGAAGGGTCTGTTGAGGGTAGTATACAGAAGAAGAATTTTATTTAATACTTAAAAGCAATTTTCCCCTGAAGGGAAGAAATTGCCAGTTTGGCTTTGGTCTCAAATCTGCTATTATGATGAAACACCAATAATAAGTTTATACTGTATGTCTGATGGCAATGCATCTGATTTAGATTCTATTAAATTCAGTGAAAAATTATTGGCTGGAGGAGGAGGGATGGTTGAAAGAAGAACATTAGAGTTTCCTGAGAAGCCTTTTTTCTTTTGTGAGAATGAGAGAATGTTCCACAGGCAGAGGGAGAAAGAGATGAAAAGGCCTATACTGTTAAGAAGCTAATAAAGAGACCTTTGCACAATGATTCCCAGACAATGATGTGGCTGAGATTCAGTGTCTGCTGTGGGCATCTGTCACATCAATAAGTTGGACATCTCCAGGGCTGATGTCAAGAGATGTAGCTGTGTAGCTGCCCTAGCTATTGACCCCAAACCAGTCAGGTCAAATCTGTGTTTGATTGTTCCCATCATTCTCTCATTCCTCTAAATGATTCTTAGTTCTAGTTGGCTTTGGGCTGGACTAGCCTGGAAAAACCCCAGGCTGCACTCTGCTGAGGGGCAGTAGGAGCCATCTCTACCCCAGGAACCCAAAGGCTATCCCCAGCTGAAAGGTAGCAAACCTGAGCTGCAGCAACTCTGCAAAGGATGCTGGGAGAGCAGCTGGTCTGTGCCAAGGGAACCTCTACTGAGCTGAAAGTTTTGCTGTGCGAGACAGGACCGCCTCTTGACAGGGATGCTGAGATTTGAACTTGGGAGGTGCTCAGTTGTTATAAGATATTGGACAGGCACTTCCTGTAAAAGGATTCTGTTTCAACTAAATAGTGTTCAGTTTACAGTTACTTTGGACCCAAAGAAGGAATTTTTGTCTGTTTGGATTGTAACAAGGTCTCTGAGTAGAGATGCATAGACAATATATAGAGGAGTGGGAAGGAGGGGGGCAGAGCAATCGAGTAGTGTCTTGTAAGTGAGGCCTGCAGCCCTATCTCCTTATCCTTTAGGCCTCTTTAGTGAAAAGTCAGCTCAGAAGTGGATCTGGGTTCCAAAAGGTACTTGATGTTTTATGGATCAAGCCTGAGAAAAGCACATCTAAAACAGAGGTTACAGAGTTTTGCCTGCTGTGTTCCCCAGGATGCAGATTCTGATGGAGAGATTCGTGTGCAGAGAGTTTATTAGGGGTGCTCTCAGGATCAACACCTGTGAAAGAGGAAAAAGTAGCAGGATTTGGAAGGGAGAATTTGAGCTACAGTGAAGTTGCAACACAGGTCTCTGTTGATCCTGTGGAGAGCTCTAAAGCATTGGCCCATAATCAGATGAGGGCACCTCCAGTAAAGGGGCACATCTTTGCCAAGGAAGATATTTCCATCAAGGGAAAAATGCTCAGTCTCCAACACTCCAGGCAGGTGGGGAAATGAGTAGTTCAATTCTGAAGGGTGGATCAGGGTGGCATGTCAGAGCATCCGCTACACTGAGCTAGAAAGAAAGCTAAAGAATTTGGTTCTCAGCTGGGCGCAGTGGCTCATGCCTGTAACCCCAGCACTTTGGAGGCCAAGACGGGCAGATCACGAGGTCAGGAGATCGAGACCATCCTGGCTAACATGGTGAAACCCCGTCTCTACTAACAATACAAAAACAAAATTAGCCAGGCGCGGTGGTGGGCACCTGTAGTCCTAACTACTCAGGAGGCTGAGGCAGGGGAATGGCGTGAACCCAGGAGGCAGAGCTTGCAGTGAGCCGAGATCGCGCCACTGCACTCCAGCCTGGGCGACAGGGTGAGACTCCATCTCAAAAAAAAAAAAAAAAAAAAAAAGAATTTGGTTCTCTTCCAAAGAAAAGGGAGGGGTAGGGGAGGTGGATGATAATAAGGGAAGGAATAAAGATGTCATACCAATTTATCCCTTTTAAGTTTCAATTTAAAAAGTTGAGTGCTTACTGGAGTCTAGGCATTAGAGATATACAGATGAGCAAGACAAGATTCCTCCCTCTGAGAAACCCATAGTCTGCTGGAAAGATAGGTGTATTAGAAATTAACCACCAATCAACATGATTATGAAGGCACTGAACAGGTAGAATGTGGTGCAGAAGGAGCTGCCAGATAAACTAATATGTGCTACACTTTAGAAAAACAACCATTTCTTGGCCGAGCATGGTGGCTCATGCCTGTAATCCCAGCACTTTGGGAGGCTGAGGTGGGCAGATCACCTGAGGTCAGGAGTTCGAGACCAGCCTGGCCAACATGGTGAAACCCCGTCTCTACTAAAAATACAAAAATTAGCCAGGTGTGGTGGCAGGTGCCTGCAATCCCAGCTACTTGGGAGGCTGAGGCAGGAGAATCACTTTAACTCTGGAGGCGGAGGTTGCAGTGAGCTGAGATCGTGCCACTGCACTCCAGCCTGGGTGACAATAGTGAAACTCCGTCTCAAAAAAAAAAAAAAAAAAAAAGGAAAAGAAAAACAACCGTTTCTTGAAGTTTCCTTTTTCCCATTCTTACGGAGAAGAGCTTTTCTCCTGAGTTGTTACTCAGGAAAGTGCAATTGTCGATAGTGTCAGATAAATTATTTTCAAAAACATTAGCACTTTCTTTTGGATAAAAAAATGTTTGGTGACTGAAATCCGAAAAAGGGAAGAGGAAGGGAAGGTGGGCAACAATAAGGGAAGTAGTAAAGACAATGTCATAGCCACTTTTGCAGAGGTGGAACTAGAACTCACATTTTCTATCCTCAGTCCAGAGTTCTTTTTTTTTCCCCCAGCACTGAATTTTCCCTGCCCAGCCCTTCCCACCAAGTACCCTTTCTTCCATTAACTGATATTCTTTTTGCTGGAGCACACTGTCTATACTTGGTTAGGTGAAATCTCCTGATGGCCATGGACCTGATCCCCTCTGAGAGACAATCAGCCTTGCTCCATTCCCTGGCCACAAGAATGTACCCTTAGCGGAATTCTTGCTGTGGTGTGCTAGTGTTCCCACTAGAGAGCAAGATGAGAAAGAGGGGATAGATCAGTGCAAACTGATCAGCAAGACCAAGGTGGATATTAAAATATTTTAAAAGTATATTTTTAGAGACAGGGTCTCACAATGTTGTCCAGGCTGGTCTTGAACTCCTGGTCTCAAGCGATCCTCCTACCTCAGCCTCCCGAGTAGCTGCGACTACAGGTGTGCGCTACAGTGCCCAGCTGGATATGCAGGTATTTATCACCTGGTGCATCATGGAACCCCACTAAGCAGGCTGAAGACAACCAGCATGGCTAAAACTGTGCAAACAGGTTGAATATCAGCCTGTCCAGGATTATTTTTAAAAATTGCAAGCACTTATCTTCTAAAAATAATTTCTATTTGTAAAGAGCATTCTTGTTATTACCATTGAGCCAATTATTTTCCTAATTTATTGAACTGCTAAATTGTAGCATTTCGAGAAATTAATCAAGGGTGAACTGGAGCAAAGACTAACATGTTTCTCCTGTAAGCAGGAGGGCTGGAGATGACACTAAAATTATTGATGGGGCTCCCAGTGGGGCTTCAACAGCCACACATCTGAAGCCTGTGTTTCTTTATTTCCTTATTCCTTTTTCTCTGTAAAACCAAATTAACAATGTTTCTTGGTTACAATTTACTTTCATTAAAATGACACTCTTATATGTTCACAAGTAAGCTTATTTTTAGTCTTCTTAAAAATGTTATAAATTTAAATACATACAAGAAAGATGGAGAAGACTGTAATAAATACCTGTGGTCTCACCTTCCAAAATGACGAACCTTTACATTTGGTCATTTTTGCTTCAGATTTGAAGTGAAGTTGAAGACTCCTCCTGTTAATCTCACACTTCTCCCTCATTGCCTTCCCCAGAGGCAATCACTATCACAGATTTTGTATGTCTCCTTCAGGCGCAATGGTTCTCAACCCTGGCTGCATATCAGGATTACCTGGGAGTCTGTTGAAAATCCCTGGTTTCTGGACCAATGCCGGCAAAATAAAATCAGAATCTGTGTAGGAAGGAGAGAACTCAAGCCTCAGTTAGTTTTTTTCTAAATCAAAGTGATTTCTATTCACTTCTTCAGTATGATTTTCACAGATTCTTAAGAGTATTTTTGTGTATGTTTTTCACCCCCTATTTAATGTAGATATGGATATGTAGTTTTACTTCTTGAAACTAAGGATCACTAGAGTGACAAAGGGAAGAACTGAGACTTACCCTCTTTGCCCACATCAGTAGTTTTTAAAGCTCCTCAGGTGATCCCAATGTGCAGCCAAGACTGAGAACTAACCACTGTCTAGCCCATGTTTGTATACTTTTAGTACATGTGTATCTATGAAAAATGCATTTTATTGCCTGTGTGTATTTTATTTATTTTTTGAGACAGAGTCTCACTCTGTTGCCTAGGCCGGAGTGCAGTGGTGTGATCTCAGCTCACTGCAGCCTCTGCCTCCTGGGTTCAAACAGTTCTCCTGTCTCAGCCTCCTGAGTAGCTGGGATTACAGGCACCCACCAGCATGCCCAGCTAATTTTTGTATTTTTAGTAGAGACGGGGTTTCACCATGTTGGCCTGGCTTGTCTCAGACTCCTCACCTCAAGTGATCTGCTCACCTTGGCCTCCCAAAGTGCTGGGATTACAGGCATGAGCCACCATGCCTGGCCTGCTTGTGTATGTATTTTAGAAGAATACGTAAATGAGATCCTAATATAATGTTATGCACCCGCATTTTTTTTTTTTTTGCAGACAGGGTATTGCTCTGTTGCCCAGGCTGGAGTGCAGTGACAAAATCATAGCTCATTGCAGCTTTAACCTCCTGGGCTCAAGTGATCCTCCCACCTCAGCCTCCTGAGTAGCTGGGACTACAAGTGCCTGCCACCACGCCTGCCTAATTTTATTTTAAATTTTGTAGAGATGGAGGGTCTCACTATGTTACCCAGGTTGGTCTTGAACTCCTGAGCTCAAGCAATCCTCCCACTTAAGCCTACCAAAGTGCTGGGATTACAGGCATGAGCCAGCAGACCCAGCCCTGCATGTAGATATTTTACTCAATATTGTTTTCTTTAAAAATGTTATATTGGGCCAGGCGCGGTGGCTCACGCCTATAATCCCAGCACTTTGGGAGGCTGAGGTGGGTGGGTTCACGAGTTCAGGAGTTTGAGACCAGCCTGGCCAACATGGTGAAACCCCTTCTCTACTAAAAATACAAAAAAAAGTTGCTGGGCGTGGTGGCTTATGCCTGTAATCCCAGCTACTTGGGAGGCTGAGGCAGGAGAATTGCTTGAACCCAGGAGGTGGAGGTTGCAGTAAGCCGAGATCGCGCCACTGCACTCCAGCCTGGGTGACACAGTAAGACTCCATCTCGGGAAAAAAGAAAAAATGTTTATACTGAAATCATTTTAGACTTACAGATAAATTGCAAGAATAGTATGAATTTCCCATATGCTTTCAACCCAGGTTCCACTACTGTTAACATCTTTCATAATCATAGTACAATATTGAAATCAGGAAATTAAAATGATAAAATACAATTAATTGATCTGTAGGCCTTATATGGATTTTGTCAGTTTTGTCACTAATGTCTTCTTCTGGTTCAGGGTCCAATTCAGAATTCCATATTGCATTTAGTTGTCATGTCTCCTTAGTCTCTTTAATCTGTGATAGTTCCTCAGTTTTTCCTTGTCTTCTACTACCTTTGCACTTTTGAAGAATATTGGTCAGTTATTTTGTAGAATGTCCTTCCACTTGGGCTTGTTTAATGTTTTCTTATGATTATATTGAGATTATGCTGTTTTAGCAGGAATCTCACAGAAATGATGTTGTTTCTGTCTTAAGCCATCCTATCAGTGGTGCATGGTGTCAATATGTCTTATTACTTGTGATGTTAACCTTGATCATTGGTTGAGGTGGTGTCTGCAAGGTTTCTCTACTATTTTAAAGTTATTATTTTAAGCTTTGTAATTAAAAAGTATCTTGTGAGGAGACGCTTTGACACTATGTAAATATCTTGTTTCTGATCATACTTTTGCCCACTAATTTTAGCATCTGTATTGGTTAGCTAGGGCCACCATAACAAAATACCATTGATTGGCTTAAACCACAGAAATTTATTTTCTCACAGTTCTGTAGGTTGGGAGTCCTAGATCAAGGTGTCAGCAGGATTGGTTTCTCTCAAGGCCTCTCCTCTTGGTTTGCAGATGATCACCTTCTCACTGTATCCTCATGTGGCCTTTTCTCTGAGTGTGCATCCCTGGTGTGTCTTCCTCTTCTTATGAGGACAGCAGTCATATCAGATTAGAGCCCATTCATATGACCTCATTTAATCTTAATTACTTCTTTAGTGGCCCTATCTCCAAATATAGTCACATTTGAGATTAGGGCTTTGACATAGGAATGGGGTGGCATTCCGTCCAACAGCATACATTAATAACTTTTGCCGGTAACAACTATTACTGTGGTCTTTGCCAAATGGTGATGTCTTTCAATTTACATCATTTCTTCTATATGTATTAATTATAATTCTACTTTAAGAGAGAGCTGCTCCTTAAATCTCCATTTATTTATGTATTTATTTATTTATGTCAGTATAGATTTTTTTCCTGTGGGTTATAAACTGTTACTATTATTATTTTCTTGTTCAAATTCTTCTAGATTTTGCCATTGGGAGCTCCTTCAAGTTAGTTCCATGTCCTTTTGACATGCCCTCATCATTTTTTGAGCACTTCCTTACTTTCTGGTACCATAAGATGTTTCAGGCTTATCTTGTATTTTCCCTGCCCCAGCCCTGAGATAATTATTTCTCTAAGTAGACCTGGTTTCTTTTGTGGAGAATTGTATTTAGAAATCAAGATGTGAGCACTAGGCGTGCTCATTGCTACTAGGGTGTCATTACTTCCTCATGCTCTCAGCAAACAGAGTTAGGGAATATATGCATATATGTTCACACATGTATAACATACACCTATATCTATTTCTATACCTCTCCATATGTACATATGTGTAAACTATGAGTTCATACTGATACTTCCTTCAACACAGCACTACAGGGTTCCTTTTAGACTTTCTCTTTTCTTTATTTGTAGTTCCATTTCCTAACAGTGAGAAACTCGGTTCTCATTATTCATGATAAATTTAGGTATTTGCTAAGCCCTACTATACACATAGAGCAGTTTCAGAATTGCTAATCTAAATCCCTGTGGAAAACAATTTTGTAACTGGAGAACAACATACACTGTTTGCTGTCTTTAACATACAGTATACAACCAATCTTGCTAAACAAAGTTACTTAGGTTAGTTCTTTTCCTTTCAGTGTGGTTATATTGTTCACTTGCAATACCATTAGACTCATGTGTTACTGATTGTATTCCATTTTGAACTCTCCTTACATATCAGTTTTAATTTTTTAGGATATACAAAGCATTAACATAGTTCTAAAAGCCAGAACTAACCGAAAATGTATACACATACAAGTGTCACTTTAAAGTCTATTACATATTCCCCATTCCCTCAATTTTTTCCACTCTCTTCCCATGCACCTCCTGTAGTTACCCCATCTCTTCAGTTTCTGGTTTATCCTTTCTGTATTTCTTTTGCACAACTGGGCAGATACATGTATATTTTCTTATATCCTCTTCTTTTTTTGCATGAAGGGTAGCATGCTACTCTTTTGTACTTTCCCATGTTTTTTGTTTCACTAGCCATTATGTCTTGGAACTCACTCATCAGCTTTCTTATTCTTTTTTTTACATTTGCCTAGTACTCCCTCATGTAAATGCTCCATTTATTTATTCAACCACTCTCCTATGTATCAGCATTTGGTTGTTTCCAATATTCTATGATTACAAATGATGCCACAGTAAGTAACCTTGTTGCATATGTATTTTTGTTTTGTTTGACAAAAATACATCAGAAGAAATATTGCTGTATCAAAAGGTAACTTGCATATGCAATTCTGTACATATTGTTAAATGTCCCTTCAGAAGGATTGTACGAGTTTGCATGCCCACCAATAAAGTATGAGAGTGCCTGTTGCCCACAGCCTTGCCAACACAGTTTGTTCTTACACTTTTAAAGTTTACCAATATGACAGGTAGGAAATGGCATCTCAGTGTTGCTTTATTTTGTATTTCTGTAATTATGTGAATTTGAACATTTTTCATATGTTTTTTTAATTTTATTTTTTTATTTGTATTTTTTTATTTTTTAGTATTTATTGATCATTCTTGGGTGTTTCTCGGAGAGGGGGATGTGGCAGGGTCATAGGATAATAGTGGAGAGAAGGTCAGCAGATAAACACGTGAACAAAGGTCTCTGGTTTTCCTAGGCAGAGGTCCCTGCGGCCTTCCGCAGTGTTTGTGTCCCTGGGTACTTGAGATTAGGGAGTGGTGATGACTCTTAAGGAGCATGCTGCCTTCAAGCATCTGTTTAACAAAGCACATCTTGCACCGTCCTTGATCCATTTAACCGTGAGTTGACACAGCACATGTTTCAGAGAGCACGGGTTGGGGGTAAGGTTATAGATTAACAGCATCCCAAGGCAGAAGAATTTTTCTTAGTACAGAACAAAATGGAATCTCCTATGTCTACTTCTTTCTACACAGACACAGTAACAATCTGATCTCTCTTTCTTTTCCCCACATTTTCCCCTTTTCTTTTCGACAAAACCACCATCATCATCATGGCCTGTTCTCGATGGTTGCTGTCTCTTTGGAGCTGTTGGGTACACCTGCAGAAAGGCTGTCACTTCACACTTGGAAGATTGCACAGCGGCCAGGCAGAGGCGCTCCTCACTTCCCAGACGGGGTGGTGGCTGGGCAGAGGCGCTCCTCACTTCCCAGACGGGGTGGTGGCTGGGCAGAGGCGCTCCTCATTTCCCAGACGGGGTGGTGGCTGGGCAGAGGCGCTCCTCACTTCCCAGATGGGGCGGCCGGGCAGAGACGCTCCTCACCTCCCAGACAGGGCGGCCGGGCAGAGGCGCTCACTTCCTAGATGGGGCGGCCGGGCAGAGGAACTCCTCACATCCCAGATGATGGGTGGGTTTTCAATGGCATCTCATCATTTTTGTAGATGAAACTAAAACCCTTCATTTTAGTTCAAGAAGTTCCTCATGATCTGATCCATGCCTGGCTCTCTAGCATTTAGTCCTGCCTCCTTCCTCCTATATCCCACTGAATTTCTCACCTTTTCTCCTCCTCCACAATGCTGTTTCATGCCTCCAGACCCTCACACGTGCTGTTGCATCTGCCCAGAACCTCATTCCTTCTTCTTCTGAGTGGCTTAGCATTCTGATCTCATGTCACTTCCACTAGGAAGCCTTCTCTGACCTTTTCACTTGAGCCAGAACCTCCTCTCTTGGACTCTTGCAGTAGCCAGATATAATATAGTCATGGTCTCATTGTGCTATATTATAATTGTGGGTTTACTTGCCCATCTCCCCCACTAGAATATGAGTTCACTGAGGCCAAGGACTGGGTCTTCATCTTGTGTTCTTTTTTTATCACTAGATACAAAGAAAGCTTGGTAAATACTTACAAGGGCATCTAGGCTTGGCTTAAATTCTTCAAGTAACAGACAGTTTGCTACCTCAAAGAAACCCTGTTACATTTTTACATTATTTCAAAGTTCTTCCTCACAGCAAGCTGGACTCTGCCTCCCAGTAATTTCTAATCACTTGTCCTTGTTCTGTCCTTAGGGCCTAAATCTCTTATTAAAAGACAGCGATCTACTCCCCAAACTGGGCTTTGGCCAGGGATACGGCTGTAACTGGTAGTTCTTTTTGAAACAATTTAGGACTGCTTGTTTTGGGTATGAATTCTTCTTTTCAATGAATATTTGATTTAAGGTAAGAAAAAAATTGAGTTTCTTCTAAAGTGTTTCAGTCTGTTATGCTATTTTGGTGTGTCCCCAAAATCTGCTTTCCTGAAAACATTTTGCTACCTTAATTCAAGCAAAGTAGTTACATTCAGCACATTATTTGTCACTTCAATGATGACAGTTATCCTTTCCCTCCACCTTTTCATGCAGACTCAATGGATTTCATTGGATTCTTTGTTCTCTGTTCTGGGCATTCCGTGGTGCTGACTTGCTAGCAGTTCTGTGCACTATCATGTTACTGCTCAGTGCCCCAGGCTTTGGCTGAAGAGGCCTGGCCTAGATCTGCCCGTGAGTTCTGGTACCACATCTGCAAAGTTCTGTGGAAATGCCGCACCTTAGCACAGGCTAGAGTTTCTCAAAGGATCATCTGCATTAGAATCTTTCAGCAAGTTGGTTAAAAATGCAGATTCCTGAACTCCTACTCCTGATCTTCCAGGTGAAAATCTGAGGATGAGGCCTCATAGTGCATATTTTAAGAAGCCTCTGGATGATTCTCATACTAACTAAGGTGAAGAACCACTGTCCTAGATGTTGGCAAAATAATCACCAAATACACCATCAGTCATCTGTTCTGGATATTCATTTATATCTACGTAGATGCAAACCTGTATCAATGTCCTATCTACTCATTTTGCTTTTTTCTCAATTATAAGCTCAGTGAGGGCAGAGATCCTATCTATTTTGGTCATTGTAGCCCCAGTGCCCAGGATAGTGTATGGCACACAGGTGCTGTTGAATGAAAGCACAGGAAACAAACATGTCTTTTTCATTGATCCTTGTAATACTGGGAAAGGCTACAGTGGAAATGAAGTGAGAGGCATGGGAACCAAAGGAGAAAACTAAAATGCATGTAATCACAGTGTATGGTGGACCCAGAGCTCTGGAGAAAGCCCTCCCATTAGTTAGTTCTGTAGGTGCAAGGTCTTCAGGCCATTCTTTTTGACTGTAACAGGCTGAGCAGCTGTACCTTGAAGAGACAGAGACTCCAATATGAATTCCTCCCTCCACACCAACCTCAATGTCTTTGGAGTTTGAGGAATGAGGGAAAGGCAAGATATGACAAGGGATTGCATTGTCATATCATCACTCATCACTCAAATAAATTAAAGCCTCAAGGAATTTTAATAATAATGGCTATAACAATTACCTTGAGAAGGTAGGATGTGGAGTTGCTATGAATCACACAGACTGGGTTTATATTCCAACTCTTACTAGCTTAATTTCTCTTTACTTCAGTTTCTTCATCAGTAAACGGAGATAACTTGATTATGTAATCCATGTGTGCTAGTTAAGGTAATGTCAGTTACCATACCGTAGATACCCTCAAACCTCTTGGTTTACTACAATTGAAGTTTATTACTGATCACATAAAGTCCAAATGGACGTTCTGGTCTGGTGAGTGGCTCCTCTCCACATGGTGATTTGGGGACCCAGGTTCTGTCTATATTGTAGAGTCCTCAGCTAGAACCTCTGCATTCAGTCAACAGACAGAGGAAGAGAAAGTGAGAAGGCACACCAGCTCCTAAACCACTTTGGCATGAAAGTGACACATGGCCATTTCCACTCAACATTTCATTGGGAAGAACTAGTCACATGGCAAATCTAGAAGCAAGGGAATATGAGAAATGTAGTTTAGTTGTGTGCTCAAGAAGAAACATGTATCACTTTTTGTTTCATTACAAGCAATCACAAAACTTAGTGGTTTTGAACAACAGCCCTTTATGTAGTTCACAATTCTGTGTGGCAGCAATTTGGGCTGGGATTAGCTAGGCAGTTATGCTGATCCCAGTCAGACTCACTTGATCTCAGCAAGGCTTACTCATGGCAAATGTGGTCAGCTGCCATGTTGGCTGGGGACTGGTTAGTCTAGGATGGCCTTATCTGGAAAAGCATGTCTTTATTCCATTTGTCTTTCACTCTCCAGTAAGCTAGGCCAGTCTTGTTTATATGGTAGGTAGGCAGGCTCCCAAGAGCAAGAGCAAAAGTCTGCAAAGCATGTTGAGGCCTAAGCTTGTAAATCACACAAGGTAGCTTCTCTCACATGGTTGTCCAGAATCAAGGAGTAGAGATATATAAGCTACAAAGAATTGTGGCCATTTTTGCAACCTATCGAAAAGAGGAAATATGTTTAATTAAATAGGTGGTCTGTAACTTGTTTAACAGAGTACATGACATCACAGTAAGTTCCCAATAGATTAATCTATTGTCATTATTATTGTTATAATTTATTGAATATCTACTATATGTTAGGCTCTGTACTAGGCAATTTATATATATATTATCTTATTAAATTACCACAACTATTTATTTTACATATGAAGAAACTGAAGCTCAAAAAGATAAAGAAAACTACCGGAGGCCATTTGATTAATAAATGATGGTACCAAAGCTCACATTCCCTACTTCCTTATGTCTTAGGATGCAAACTAAGCTTGGATTGCCTGAAACTCTGAAGGAGAAACAAAACTTGAAGCTAAGATGAAATTAAATATTTAAGAAAGTCTGAGGAATGACATGGGAAGAAAGAACCGGGCATTCTGACCTGAAATATGAGGGTGATGCCCAGAGCCAGTTTTGGCAGATGACCCTCAAGTTGGTCACAGCTCATCTCAAGGGCAAAGCAATGATGATTATTGTGACTCATTTGATATTGTATGTTGCCTGGTTCTTTCCCTTTTCACAGAGGATGAGGAAATTCCTTTCTGATCAAAGAATCTGTGTTCGTGTTAGAAGATCTTGAGTAGAAGGAAGGAGGTAGAAGGCAAGTGGGTAGAAGAAAGGGAAATTTAGCTTAGGAGTAGAAAATACTAGAGCAGAGGAGGAATTTAAAATCCCCTAGGCCAGATATTCCCAGCATCTTTTGGGAATGAGGACACAGATAAGATAGAACTTTGTTGATATTATAGACAAGGCTTAGAGAGCATATGTTGAAAAACATATTGCAGTAACCTCATTGCCTCTCAGGAGTCTGCAGCCCATAGGTTGGGAACTGAGTATCTAGTCCTGAAGAGTAGATAGGTTTAATTTTGAGACCAACTGTATTAATTTGGTAGTGATTACTGGAAGCACTGTGTTGAGATAGATTCTGAGGACACATCTAGATGTTAACAGAAAAGATTGCTATGAGTGATTATTGATCTCTCTCACTGGTCTGGACAAGGATGGTGGTGGCATGTATACTAAGTATGTTTTCTATCTCTGATACAGTCACATCTTCGTAAGAAGAACTGCAGCAAAGGAAGTTGGCATGATTTTCTTCCTATTACGAAGTGAGTTAATAGAAGCAAACCTAGATCCCTGATGTCCTGATTCATGCCTTTTCCATGACACTAAGCCAGTTAAAGAACCATATTTTTTGTTACCATTTATTCTCAGGCAAAATATGTTTTTCAATTTTCTTTCTATGTTGCCCCTGTTTTTTCTGGAAGTCTGCTTTCATGCCAGACATGGTATAGTTTTCTTCTTTCATTTAAGAAAACAAAATTAACCAAAGTTTATTCAGGGATTGCCTGGTGAATTTAACGGATTGTTGAAAAAAGGGTCTCATCTCTGCTCCATTTCCATGTCCCCCCTATGGTTATGACACATTTGTGCCCAACCATTAGACTTTGAGATTAGAGGACTAGCTCATTGCTGAACTAAAATCTAGTTCAATTCAAGAAAACCCGGTGAAAGTCCCCTTTTCTCCTCCTTTTCTCTCCGTCCTCAACCTCCGAGTCCTCTTGTTCTCTTTCTATTTTAATGCTTTTCAGGTACCTGAGATTAATTAATTTGTTTACTCATATGCACACTCCTGCCCCCACCACACACACACCTCTATACCCATGAAACTTGAGGTTCCCACAAAACCTTTGTTCACCAGAGCTAGAATGGATTTAGGCTTCATCCAGTTTATCTTCTGAGGACATTAAGGCTCAGAGAGGGCAGAGCTTGAAGCCAATGTTCCAGGATCCAGTACACAAAATGGCCAGTTTGCTGAATGGCCAATGCACAACCCAGTCTTGCTTTTGTGAACTCTTTAGTTTATGGGTTTTCATTTTGTCTTCATTTTAAGGATTGTTACGTTTGCCTCTGCCCTAGCTTTCTCCTACTGCAGCTGAGTCTGGGGAGAAGAGAAAGGGGAGAATGAAGAGCATGAAAAGATTGGATAAAGAATGTGAATAATTTCTCTTAGCATCTTCTCTATTAATAATATATAATTAAAATGCTTCAGATATATTCAGAATGTATTGTTGAATAAGATTCCATTAATGAAGGACTCTAAAAAAGAACATACTATCATGACCCCACTCCCCTGATAAGCATATGAATAAATTTCCCCTGTACCCCTAAATTTTCTCTCTCTCCCTTTCTCTGGTCCTCAGTCCTAGAAGCCTTTCTTCTTACCTTCTCTCAATTCTCTCAAAACACCAAGCTCTTTCTTATCTCATGACCTTTGCACTTGCTGTTCTCTATGCTTTGAATGCCCTACCCCCTCTTAGCATCAATATCTCCCTGGCATTTTTAAAGTCTCAGCTTAAATGTTCTCTTTTTAGTGAGGCTTTACTCAGTCACCTAATATAACTTCACCACTTTATCCCATGTATCAGTTAGTTTTTGCCATGTAACAAACACCTCAACATTTAGTGGCTTAAAACAACCAGCGTTTATTTAACTCATGATTCTGCTGGGCCCAACTGGGCTCACTCATGGATCTGAACTTGGCTGGTGAGTTGGTGAGGTCCCAGATGACCTCAGTCACATGTCTAGTGGTTGGCTGGCTGTCACTTGGGGTGATGGGGATAACAGGGCCATATATTGCTTATTCTCCAGAAGGCTAACCCAGGCTTGTTCACATAACATCTTAGAGTTCCAAGAACAAGAGTGTAAGTCCTTAAATGTAAACACTTTTCAAGTCTCTGCCTACATTGTATTTATTGTGATCATAGTGGCCAAAGCATATCAAAAGGCCACCCCAGATTGAAGGGGAAGAGAAAGACTTCACCTCTTGAAAAGAGAACACAAGTAGAGGTTTGAAAAGCCCTTGCACATTGGAGTTTGCTCTCTCACTGTGCTTGGGACCCTGAAGCACTGTATGACAAGCCTAGTATAGCCTGCTGGAGATTGAGGCTACAGGGAAGAGAATTAAGGTGCCCCAGCTAATAGCCTGCCAATCACCAGACATGTGAGTGAGGCTGTCCTGTATCATCTGGCTTCCAGCTGATCCACCAGCTGAGTATAGACATGTGAGAGAGCTGAGCAGAGATCAGCAGAGTCAGCCCAGATTTTTAAATCACCTGGTCAACTCACAGAATTGTGAGCTAAATAAAATATTTATTGATTTAAGCCACTGTGGTTTGGGGTGGTTCGTTACACAACAAAAGCTAACCAGTACAGGGGGCCTCGATTAAGAAACCAGACTGAATCAGAGAATAATATATGATCCTATGTGGTTAGGTCTTGTAGCTGACAGTATTAATGCCCCACCCTTAATTGGTCAGGCCTTACCATTTCTGTCCATGTTTATCTGACTTCCAACTGCCAATTTCTGCATTTTTTTTGCCAAAGGGCTTTCTCTGGGCACCAGAGCCCACCTTGCCTGTGCACACAGTGGGCCAGAAGTTCTGGAGAATTGACATTTACTATGAGCAGCCTTCAACCAATGATGAATGGGAGTTCATGTATATATAACCCAATAACTTGCAAAGTGAACAATATTTTCCAGACCATCTCCTGGAGTTCCCCAGTGGGACTGTGCTCCAGGAATTGGTAAAGAGCTTCCAGGTTCAGCAGAGGGGAGGACTGCTGGCCAGGGCCTTTGATATGCTGCTTCAGTGAGGGGATCCATTGCCGCCACCCTGCTTGCTGCCTTCCTGGGTGCCACTCCCCCAGTGAGTCCAACATGACATGCTCCTCTCAGGCTCTTGAATGCTGCTCTGAGCAGTGTCACCCTTTACACTAGAAAGCTGTCAGAAACTATGGGGGAAAAATAAAACAAGAAGGAAATAGAGGAGGTGCTAGAAGAGGAGGAAGAAAATTATGTGGTGGAGAACATTGTTGACTGTAACTGGTAAAGAGCAAAGTGGAGCACCTCCTAAAGTGGAAGAGTTTCTTAGATGAAGATGACTCTTGGGAGCCAGAAGAGAACCTGGATTGTGCGACCTCATTGCTGAGTTTCTACAGCCACAGAAAATAGCACCTGAGACAGATAGATCAGAAAGAGGCAAGTGCAAAGCTTATTCTCATTCTGAAGATAAGGGAGAGGAGAGCAAACCAGAGAAGAAAGAAGAGTCAGAAAAGCCACGAGGCTTTGCTGGGCTTTGGAGCTGAGCAGATTATTGGAGCTACAGACTCCAGTGGAGAGCTCATGTTCCTGATGAAATGGGAAAACTCTGATGAGGCTGACCTCGTCCCCGTCAAGGAAGCCAATGTCAAGTGCCCACAGGTTGTCATATCCTTCTATGAGGAAAGGCTGATGTGGGCATTCCTACCTCAGGAGGGCAATGGCAAAAAAAGATGGCAAGAATTACTTCTCCTGAGCACCAGCCCCTGTCACATCTGGCTGGGAGTTTCAAGTGGGGAGAGAAGGGGTTAAGACTTGTGTTGACATCACAGAGGTGGCTTGAGAAGATGTCCTTTGAAGAGCCAGTATAGTCTCTGTGTCCTGCAGCAGGCCAAGTGCTTCAAAACTGTTCCCAGCTGTGTAGCTTGCACATGGTTCCAGTGGAGGGGAAGCGGGATAAGTGTTTCAAGGCAACCTTTGTTGCACTTTGCTGAGAAAAGCAAAGGGCTTTCTATGAAGGAGAAAACTTGCAGAATTGGGTGTGTGAGAGAGCAAAAAGATCCTCAAAGAGCATCTCCACAACCCTCAGCCTTCTTCCCAATAGTGTCAACTCTGCGTTTTTAGAGTGTAGCATTAGGTAGTTTTTGGCTATTACTGGTGTATGCTTTGGGGGAGGGAGAGATGGAGTGGGGAGAAATGGAGATGGGTAGCCTCATTTTTATTACCATTTGGGACCAGATTGGGAAAATAGTGAAACAATGGAAAGGGCAATGATTTGTTTCTATGTCCAGAATATTTTACATTAAAAATGTCATTGGTACCATAAATAAGGACTGTGAAAGAATGTTTAAAAGCTGTTAATAAGCATGTTCATACCTCAGTGTCTTGTGTATCCCAAAAGTATATACACCCCCTATGTACCCACAAAAATTATTTTTTAATTAAAAAACCTGAATGTCTGAAACCTGTAAGCCAAGGTATTCCCTGCTTGAATTTAATCCTGTTCCCCACAAAGAACTAAGCCAGATCATAAGTTACCAAAGCTGCCATTTTGCAGATGGAAATTGACTGAGGAGGGAAAACCTTTTATTGGAGCCTATACACAGGTGGATCATTCTGTCTTAGAGGTGCTAATTCCTGAAATTACAGAAGAAAACCCTTTATTTTCCAATTATGAAGTTATAAATATCAGCTTCGCCATCCAAGCCACAGGCTGAGGTGTTGGGGAAGGAGAAGAGGGTGATAGAGGAGATGGAAGAGTAGGGAAAGGCAAGGGCCTATGCTCAGGATGGAGAACTCTTGGAGCCTTTCTGTTTGTTGAGCTTTGAACTCTGAAACCATTGGTGGCAGGTTTCAATCACTGACAGCACAAGTTTCATTGAATCAGTTTAGGAGGTGAATGATTTCAAAAGCCTTTGTATCAGGAGAAGATTAAACTTTCATACTGGGGCAGTGGTTCACTTTAAAACAAGACAAAACAAAACAAAAAACATTTTAAAAGGAAATCCTAAGAATTAAGTGATACTCAAAATGCTCTGTGTTAAGTCAGGAGCTCCATCAGTTCTTGATGTCATCTAGACTTGCATCTAGAGCTACGTCGTAAAATTGTTTTAGGCATGTGTTAGGTTTCTGTGAAAACTTTGTTTACATGTAAACTTCGTACCACGCTGTCAATTTTTGTCTTAATAAAACTATTGATTTATGTTTTTAAAAAGCACTTCCATCATCACCTCCCTGCTCTTGTCTCATTCATCTTTAGCCTGATTTGGAACCATACGGCTCATTTAGGCTGTGTCACTGGCTGAAGCTGGACATTTGCACGCAAAAAATTTGGCATGATGATTTTGAAGTGGGGAGGGGAGGGGAGAGCTTTTGATATGGTTATCAGAGATAGAATGAAGGTCAAGGATAGGAAGAAACTGGGAGACAAGAGAGAGGAATGAGACTGGGGAGAGATCGTCTGTATCTTATATAGCAAGAAACAAAAGTTACAAGTTTAATGTGTTCATTTTTCTTTTAATAGTCTTTTTTCTTCCAATACTATTTTTAGGTGTGTGCTTGTTTGATGTATAATTTACATATAGTGAAATACATAGATCTTCAATGAGCTTTAGTAAATGTATATGCCTGTATAAGCCCCTCACAAATCAAGATATAGAGCATTTCAATCACCCCCAGATTGTTCCCTTGTGCCCCTTTGTAGTCATTCCTCATTCTTCACCAGAGGCAATCGCTACTGTGATTTCTGTCATTATATATTATAATTGGCTATTCCAGAATTTCATAAAAGTGAAATCATACAGTATGTACTCTTTTATGTCTTGCTTCTTTACTCAATACAATGTTTTTGAGATTATCCATGTTGTTGTATATATCAGTAGTTCATTCCTTTTTATTGCTGGATAGTGTTTCATTGTATGACTATAGTATAATTTATTTATAAATTCTCATGTTGGATATTTGCGTTGCTTCTTGTTTTTATCTATTCTGAATAAAGCTACTATGAGTATTCATTTACAAGTCTTCTTATGGGCATATATTTTCATTTCTCTTGAGTATATATCTAAGAGTGAAATTGCTGGATCATAGGGTAGGTGTGAAGCATTTGCTCTGGTTGCCTTTGCGACTGACTCAGTTTCCCCAGCCCTCTGCCTTGCCTGCCTTCCTTCAGGGTCTAGAGTACTAAGATTCCAGCAAGCATTCTGTGGAGGGGCCTCATGCATTCCCCTGCAAGTTTCAGAGCAGGAAATAGGGGAGGGTGAGGAAATAGCATAGGGCTAGAAGTTAAGCATGAGTGATTAGGCGACCAGGGTCTAGTCTTGGTTTTTCCATTAATAATTTTGAGGCAAGTAATTTTCTGACCTTTAATCTTCCCCATTGGCTGCTCTTCAAGACTCCTTCCGGATGGTTCTACACCTGTCTTGTGAGTTCGTAATAGATGCTCAATTAGAATTTGTTTCCCTATGTAGGAGAGGGAAAAGTATTAAGTTATTTGTTTTTCTTCTGACTACAAAACATTAACGTAGTTATTTTTTCACTTATTTTCCTGCCTTCTGATAAGGGCAGGTGCTAAGGATGATGTTTTGTTTTTGTGACCTGGATGGCTGATAAAGGATACAAATAGGGGAAGCCAAGAGAGACCAGACTAGAAGGAAGAGGAGGCTCTAGAAGGACAGCAAATAGATGATGAGGGGGTGTGTGTTTGTGTGTGTGCATGTGTGTGTACGTTGGGGGTGCTAGCATAAAAGCAAGAGAACAAAAAACACACAGAGAGAAGATGGTTGCCACAAGGAGTAAACTTTGGGGAAAAAATATGTTTTGAAGCAGTTTTGCTGAGTCATGATCAATGTCAACAACTCTTTTCCCCCTTACTGAGAAAATTGCAGAAATAGATCCATCATTCTACAGTCTTTTCAGGCTTGGATATGTATTTCTAATGACCTTAAGGCCAGAGGAGAATTTTCCAAAGGGACCCTATGATATTTAGGTTGAACAAATGAAAGTGTTAGGATAAAAGCTAACGTGCTGTAACAAAGACACCTAACAACATCATAGCCTACAGAACCAGGAAGTTGATTTGTCTTTCAGGTAACAATTCAGAGGTGCATGATCCAGATTGGTGAAACAAATCTCCACAGTCAATCAGAAACCCAAGGTCCTTCTATTGTGTGGCTCTGAGGTATTGTTATCTGTATAGTTGAAGCTAGATTGCTGTGGGTTCCAGTTGGTGGGAAGAAGAAAGATAGCATGGAGACAGGCCTACCATCTTAAATTCTAATTCTGGAAGTGGCATACATTACTTCTTCTCACATTCCATTGGCCAGAATTCAACCATATGATGAAGCCTAATCTCAAGGGACACAGAAGTGTAGTCAAGCCGTGTGCCCAGCAAGAAGGGGAGAGTGGATTGTAAGGGACAACTGGCAGTCTTTACCCCAAAGAGGAAGCCCTTAAATCCCCCAAGGGACTGCTCGGGGGGCCATTTTATTCATGTCCTGAGGGAATAGCAATATTCTTCAGGCTTCTTTGAGACTTTTTTCTACTCTGGCCTATCCTGCATCTGTCTTGTGTGTGTGCACTCACGCCATGGGCTTTGGGCAAGGGGATTATTTACAGTTCTTGAATCCTTGCTTGATACCAACTTAGGCTAGAGCTGCAAGTGCTTCAGGAGCAGGGTAAAGCAGGAGGGAAGCAAGCTAAAGGGCTCTGTCCCTTCTCCCACATGTTTGTCTCACAGTGGGGAGTTGAAACTGAAGTCTCAAGTCCCTCTCCTTTCCTGGAAAATCTTCCCTAGCCAGATGTGTCCTTTTCTACTCACCTTCATTATCCAATAATCTTTTTTATTCCGTCTTTCCTCACAGACCCCAATAGTGTTGACTGACTATGACAGTATGTAATTGAATGCAGAGTATTCTCCCTCCAATATGATTAGTTAACCTTCATCCCATATGCAGTTAAATCACCTTCAAAAAGATGCAGCTAATGTCTCCAGGCTACAAATTCCTCCTGAGGTGTTGAGTGGTATGCGCTTGGGTGTTCCTCCATGGTGACATCAATGCCAATTTTATTAACTGAGCACTTCCTCTCCTCTTTCTCTCTCTTCTTTCATGACTTTGACTCTTCAGTTTTTCTTTATTCCAAGCCCTCCATGGCCTGTGAGCCAAGTCCACACTGCCAACAGGTCCCTTGGAATGGCATCCTATATTTGGCTTGTAACCAGACTCTGGGGACATCTATATGGCAGTCATAGTTGATTAGGGAAATGGAGAATTTTCTTTTCAAGAGAAAGAGCTAGAGTTTAATTAATATCAGGGCAAAATGGTTCATATCAAAATAAATTATATTCTCTAGCTGCTAGAACAGCTGTTGAACAAAACACATTCTCTAGCAAGTGAGAAGAAGGATGACAACCTGCAGATCTTAAATGAGAAGAGAATTGGAAAAGCAAAAACAAGCAGGTGTGGTAGGTTATATTAATAATGGCCCCCATATATTTCCCCTTCCTGTGGCATCACAAATCTTCCCATTAAGAGATGGTATCTATTTCTTTACCCCTTGAGTCTGGGCTGGTCTCGTGACCTGCTTTGGCCAATGGGACATTGGCAAACATAAAGCAAGCAGACTCTTGAAATGTGTTTGTGCATTGAGGCTTTCTCTCTTGTGGCTCTTGAAACCCTGAGGCCCAAGCTAGACTGCTGCATGATGAGAAACATGTAGCTGCCTTCATCACCCCAGCCAGTAGCTTGCCAATGCTGGACATATGTGTGAGGCCATGCTAGGTCACCCAGCCTCTCGATTACTCATTAGCTGACTCCAGGCAAATGAGATATCTCAACCTAGACCAAAAGAACTACTTGGACAAACCTCAGAATTGTTCTAAGTAAATGGGGACTGTTTTAAGACAATAAGTTTTGGGGTGGCTTGTGATGTAACAAAAGCTAACTGATACAACTAAGCAGCCCGTGCATATATGTTTGCATGTCTACCTGTGTGTTTCTATACGTGTGTCTCTTGTCTCTTACATCTTCCCCCATATCCATAACAAATCTTCCCAACATGTCCTGAAATCAGTACAGTCAGTTAAGACCTTTACTCGGTTGCTCTGTAGGACCTTCAAGCTTGGAAAATAAACATGTAGTAAAGGAGTGAATCTCCTTTTTCCTCTCTCATTCCTTTCCTGTCCCATGCTCCCGAACTTGGAGCCTGGCCTGGCCAATCTGAAGGAAGGTGGTACCTATTATAGAATGCCCTATATTCCTCATTTCCCTGGAGACATTGCTTCTCCCTGGCAGCCCCAGCAAGAGGGATGAAAGAAGATATGTGTGTGCCCCTAGGTTCTTCCAATCCTAGGGAAACGAAGGACTACTATTGGTGCTTTCTTCCTTCTCGTCATGGGGTTTAGATACCAGAATCTTACAGCCTCTCCCACTGCACCTCATACCCCACAAGTGTTGGCTGTTGCTGATGGCTTTTTTAGGCAAGTTCCCAAAGAGTGTTCTTATATATCAGATGTGGCTATTGGTTCTTAAACCACATATTTGGCATTTCTGGGTATGTGGAGTGGGGGACTCCTTTGGTTAGACAAAGCCCACATGAGATCCTGTCTTTACTGTTAGTTTTCCATATTTGAGTGGGCAAGGTTGGCCTAATTATT